>NC_000016.10:50623106-50926136 GCF_000001405.40 Homo sapiens
AGGCCTGGAGGCTGAAGTGCCGGCGTGCTGTGTGGAGAGAGTGAGTGGCGTGATGTGGCCTGTGCTGGATGGTGGGACATGGGGGAGACGCCCTGTGTGCAGGGTCTCTGGTGACCGATCTTACCCCCTTTCCAGTGTCATCTCCCTGCCATGCCCCACCATCCTGCACAGGCCACACCACACAGCTTGTTCTCCCCACACAGCACAGGAGCACTCCAGCCTCCAAGAGGCTTGAAGGCTCGCCTGAGGAGGATAGGTAGTATCTAGTAGGAGTTAGGGCTGCCAGCTTCTTCCTGGAGCCCAGCCCCGCCCTAAGCCCACCTGGGTCCTTGTAGGGTCTTTTGGGGAGCTTGGCAAAGCCCAGGGCTGAACTCAGTGGCAGAAGGAAGACCAGGCCCAGGCATCCTGCCTCCCTGGAAGCCCAAGTGCGCTTGCTTCTGGAGGGGCAGACTTGGGACTGAGCTGTGGTCCATGGGCAGGACTCAACTGAGCTGAGAAGCCCAGGTGGGGTGTGGGAGAGGCCTAGGAGACCCGCATGTGACAGGTGGGACAAGTGGCCAGTTACTCAACTCATGTTTCTGAAGCTCAGACCCAAGCTGTCTTGGAAACAGGTAAGTGCTGTGTGTGTGTGTGTGTGTGTGTGTGTGTGTGTGTGTGTACACAGGTATGTGAGCGTAGGATGTGCACGTATAGGGGTATACCTGTGTAGGTATGCGTGTGTGTAGGTACGTGTGTAGGGGTATGCGTGTGTGTGTGTGTGTAGGGGTATGTATGTAGGCACGTGTGTCATGCCACATGAACAGTGCCTCAGAGAGCAATGAGGGCCCTTGGCAGTTATCAAACGGGTGTGGCTGAAGCAAGGTTGGCTTTGAACTCAGCGTGGGCGCCCGAGAATTGCTGGAGGGAAATGGCTTAGAGCTGCAGCAGCCAGGGTCAGGACGCCGTGCTGGGGCTCACTCCACTAGCATTTGTAGGCAGGTGCCTTTCCCTCTCTGGGGAGCTGAGCCTTCCTCCTGCCAGGCCAGCCAGGTGCCACCTTCCTGATGGTGGAAGGAGAGGTGGAGTTTGGCATGCCATGGAACAGAATGGTCTTGTTTCCATAGAATCTTATGGATCTGAAAGGCCATTTGTGGAGCCCTTTCCTGCTGAACAGCATGCTTCCTAGAACTGTCTATCTGACACTCAGCCAGCCTCTGCACACAGCCCTCCGGTGACCAGCTCACCACTTCGCGTCTCACATTCCCTGGGGTCAGACACTTCAGGTTGCTGAAAATGATAATAATGAAATGATTGTTTCATTGATTATTGATTGAAATAATTATTTCAATGACTGTTAATCATTACAGCAAAAATAACAGCTACTACCATTGATTGAGCTTTTCCATGTGCCAGACAGTGCTCCAAGCATGGGTGTAAAGGACACCAGCATTTACCCTCCACTTCCTGTTTCCAATTCCCATAAGCAGACCTGACCACATGGCACTGGGAGCAGGCAGTGTGTAGGGGAGGCGATCCTGGGGCGCAGGTGCGAGGAAGGAGGAAAGCCAGTGAAGGCTGGGTTCATCTGTGGGCTCTGCCTGCTGGAGAGCCTCCTAGGAGCCATGTAGCATGCGCTCAGATTTGTCCCAGGGAGGGGTGAGGAGGCCTGGCGTTTCCACTGCCTCCTGTCCCTCCCTTGTTCCGTTGCCTCTGGGCATTCCTTCCCAGGCTCTTCAGGGCTGCCCTGAGACAGAAAAGTGTACATGAGGTGGGAGGTCGGGAACTGTCCCCACCACAGCTGCAGGGAAACAGCTGGGCTGAGGGCATGTGGGTGGGGCATTTAATCTTCCCAGCAACCTCGTGGGAGAGAGGCTGTCATTTTCCATAATGTATACAAAGAGAAACTGAGGCACAGCAGAGGGCAGTGACATGCCCAGGGTCACACAGCTGTGGAGGGGCCTGCAGGGGCTGGATCCCGGGGCTGACCGACACCCGAACCCCTCATGCTCATGCTGTCCTACCCTGGCATCCTCCTGGGGCTCCCAAATTGCCGCTCCTTTGCCTTCTAGTTGCTTCTTGCCCTTGGTCCAAGTTCAGCTTTTCTGAGGCCACAGTGCCTCTTCTCAGAACCCCCTGTGTTTCCTTTGTCTTTGAAGACCCACAGACCACCAGGCACCCCTGCAGGCATCCCTCCCCAGGCCAAACCTCCCCTGCCCGGGCTCTGGCTGCCCTCCTGGGCCAGTTCTGTCTTGGCCAAAGTGCTCCCTGTCCACTCAAGGTCTGGGGAGGGCAGAGGACAGGTGGCCGCCCCTTGGCCTGGCCTCTAGGCCCAGGCTTCCACTACCCAGTCAGTGTTGCCACAGATAGGGGACCAGCCCCGCCCATCTCTCTGCATCCAGGAGCTCCAGTGCGACGTGTCCATGGAGGAGGACAGCCGGCAGGAGTGGACCTTCACCCTGTATGACTTTGACAACAACGGCAAGGTCACCCGAGAGGTGAGTGCACCTGCCTGGCCTCTTGCCGTGTATCATACCCGCAGGCACAGGGCCTGGGCACAGCACCCTGCCACTGCCACTTCTCTCCCCTGCATCGGTCCTGCCCCTCAGGGAAGGCCGTAACAGCCAGGGAGTTGCTGGGAGCTCCTGCGAGATCTGGAGGGGCATCCCAGAGCTGCTGGCAAGTGGGAAGAGAAGACAGGGAGGGAAGGCAGCTCCCCTGCTCTCAGCCCAGGCACTGTCCCTCCCGGGAAAGAAGTTGGGGGGGGCAGGTGCAGAGCCCTAGGGCCTCTCTGGAGATGGCCCCAAGGCCCTAACCGAGTCCTGTCCTGCTTCCCTCTCTCCACAGTCCCAGAGCTCTAGGGGTGGGGCTGGCACCACCACAGGCCACCTCCCTTGCTCAGCCATGCTGCCCAGGAGCTTGGGGGTGGGGGCACAAAGAGGCCACACAGCGCCTTGTTTTGAGGCTACAGGAATGAGCACCTCCAGTGCTAAGGGCCCTGCCAGTGGCTCTGCAGTCACAGCTCTGGTCACAGCCTCGTCCCAAACCTCTTCTTCCTTATCCCTCTGCAGGCCGGTCTCTCTCGCTCAGGGCCCTCCTCCTGCAGCTCTCTCCTTCCTGCCTGTGTCTTTGCATATTGAGCACCAACTGTATGCATCTGTTGGGTGCTAGGTACTAGGCATGAGGACACAGCAGGGAACAAAACAGACACGTTCCTCGCCCTGGAGCTTTGACCTTCTGACAAGAGGCAGATCCAAACAATTGTAGGATAACTGTGAGCGGTGATGTGTTCAGTGAAGGAAATAAACAGGTGCTGGGACAGAGACTGGCTGGAAGGTCCAGGGGAGGCCTCCTGGAGGGTCCAGGGGAGGCCTCCTGAAGGAGGCGGCAAGGGAGCTGAGACATGCAGCATGCACAGCCTTGGGGGAGTCCTGGGCAGGCAGACGCCAGGGGCTCAGGGTGTTTAAGGAACTGAAGGAGGTGGCCGTGGTGGCCAATCAGCAGAAGAGACACAGATGTGGCTGGGGATCCAGCAGGGCCAGACTTCTGGGGCCTTGGAGGCCCTGGCAGGCAACCTGGATTTGATTTCAGGTCCTGAGGGCACCGCTGGAGGGTTGGTATCCTTCCTTACACTTCCTCATTCCTTTTCCTCCCCTGTCCCTCTCTGATGACCTGTCCCTCCCCGAGAGGACCCCATCTTCAGGCACGAGACCTGTTATAGATCTGAGGTTACATGCACCTGCGCGGCGGTCGCAGGTTAGCACGTCTGGGCTCCACTTGCTTCTTGTCCAGCATGTGGGGGCCTCATGTTCCCAGAGAGACACTAAAGCTTTGCTGACTGGTCTCCTCATCCTGGGTCAGGACGAGTGTTTTCTTCTCTGTGGATAGGGCAGGAGAAGTTCACCTTTATGCTGCCATATGTGAATTCTGGGTTAACAAGGTCACCTCCTCCTCAGGCTGTGGTTTTCGGGCTGTTTCAACAGGTTGGAGGAGGAAGTTGTGACTTTTAAGCACCCAGGACTCTGACATGTAAGTGACAGAATACATGCTCCAACTGCTGTATTCGAAAAAAAAAAGAAATAGATTGGCTCATGTAACTGAAATTTGGTCCGGGGTCTGACTTTGGGGATGGCTTGACCCAGAGGCTCAGTGGCTTCAGGACAAGGTGTTCATCACTGCTCTGTTTCCTCAGTCTATTTCCTCTATTCCTCAGCTCTATTTCCCTTCTTGTGAGGCAGACTCTCCCCTTGGCAGTAGCAAGATGATTGCTGACAGTTTCAACCTGCGTTGTCCTTCACTGCTTTGATAATGAGAGGAAGGGAGAGAGGGTTTCCAAGGAAGGTGGCCCAGCCCGGCCCTGGAGAAAGTGTTCACTGGGTCATGTCTTCCTCCCACCGAGGAGCCAGGGAGTGGTTTTGAGTGGAGGGAGGACTGGTCTGGTGTTTCCCTGGTCTATTTTTAGCCCTGACGCCACCCCTCAAATTTGGCTGTAAATACAGTTCCCTTCCACGCCTTCTGAGTGCCAGGGCAGATGGGCTCCCACCTCACGGCATCTGCAGCCCAGAGCTGGGGTGTGGGCCAGCTTTCCAATCAGAAAGAAGACCTGCTCCCCCTTCAGGCGTTCGTTCATGCAGGAAATACTGAGCACACCGATTCCTACGTGTCTGCCCTGTGTAGTCAGTGAGGTTGATTTTCAAGCTAGAATTGCCAAAGCACATAGGCTCTGAGACCCTCGGTCTGCTGGGACCACCCCCATCCTGATCACACACCAGGGCTCCAGGTCCTCTAAGGTATCAGAAGTTTGGGGGATGAAGTGAGCGGCCATCAGCTGCCTCATCTGTATAATGAAACCTCCTTCATGGGCTGCCCAAGATAGAGAGAGTGAGCAAATGGGGCCTTATGGAGAAGCCAGAGGGAAGAAAAGGAGGCACAAGGAGAGTCCTCTGCGGGCCTCGTCGAAAGAAGTGGGATCCCTCCCCGAGATGAGCAAGGCAGCTAGGGAGTGCCTGGAGCCTGGGTCTCAAACTTATGGCCCCCACAATTTCAATCTGGCCCCCAGATGTTCTGGTCTGGTCCCGCAAAGGGTTTTGTTAAAAATCAGTTGCCAAGATCAGCAATTTTGAAGATTTAACAGAAGATCCTGGATTTCTGGCTTTTCTGTGTGACCCCCTCCCACCTGCATTGTCAAAGGACAAGTCAACTGAGCTGAGCGGCCGTGCCTCCCAGGACAGGGTCAGCGCCTCTGTCGGCCCCCATTACTCTGGACCACTCACCCACATGCCTGCCTGGCTGGGGCTGCGCTGGGGTTGCCTCAGCTGCTTCAGCCTGTGGGACTTACAGGCAGGAGGTGAAGGATTGCTGGGCAGGTAACTGACCATGGATGGGGTTGCTTCATAGAGAAAAAATGTCTTCTCCAGAGGTTTCCAATGCCATTTAAAGCAGGACATTGCCCTGCACCCCAACACCAGACAAGTGACCACAGCAGATACCCAGATAGAAAGGGCCTAGTGAGGAGAATCGGTGCCCTCCAGTCCCAATCAGAAGGGTTTGAGACACCTGGAAGACATTGTATGGACACCCCTGTTCTGGTTGAGGGGTACCTGAGGCTCGGAGAGGAGATGAGATTTGGTCAAGTTCTCACAAATTAGTTTTATCTTTTAGGGACAGTCTCAGCCAGCTCAAGCTGCCGTAATAAAATACTACAGACTGGGTGGCTTAGCAGAAATTTATTCCTCACGGTTCTGGAGGCTGGAAGTCCAAGACCAAGGGGACACCTGCTTCAGTTCCTGGTGAGGGCTCGCTTCCTGGCTTGCAGACGGCCACCTTCTCACTGTGCCCTCATGTGGTGGAGAGACCTCTTCTAGTGTCTCTTCCTTTTTTTTTTTTTTTTATTTTAAACAAGAGATGGGATCTTGCACTGTTGCCCAGGCTGGAGTGCAGTGGTGTGCTCACGGCTCACTGCAGCCTCAAACTCCTAGGCTCAAATGATCCTCCCACCTCAGCCTTCCAAGTAGCTGGGACTACAGGTGTGCACCACCACACATGGCTATTTTTTATTTTTTATTTTTGTAGAGAATGTTATGTTGCCCAGGCTGGTCTTGAACTTCTGGGCTGAAGTGATCCTCCCACTTTGGCCTCCCAAAGTGCTGGGATTCCAGGTGTGAGCCATATCCCTAGCTCTCCTCTTCTTCTAAGGGCCCTGATCCTATCATGGTCCCGCCTTCATGACCTCGTTTAACCTTAGTTATCTCCTTACTCCGAATACAATCACATTGGGGGTTAGGGCTTCAACCTGTGGATTTGCAAGTGAGTGGGGAGCCACAGTTTAGCCCATAGCAGGGACACATCTCCCTTTCCATTTTTCATTTCGAACCCGAAGCAGATGCTGTTGATGCCCCCACTCCATTTTCCCTGGGTCCACCTCAAAGTTCACCTGCTGCCATGGTGGATGGTGCCCACTGTAAGAGCTTTCTCAGGTACAAGGAGTTGGCTTGGCCCCTGCAGGGAAGCCCAAAAGCACAAGGGAGGGTTGGGCACAGTGGCTCATGGCTCACATCTGTAATCCCAACACTTAGGGAGGCTGAGGCTGGAGGATCGCTTGGGACTGGGAGTTCAAGTCTGCAGTGAGCCATGATCACACCCCTGCACTCCAGCCTGGGTGACAGAGTGAGACCCCCATCTCAAACAAACAAACAAAAATCCAAAGTACAGGGAATGTAGTAGTATCCTTGGGGAGCTCTCAGGCAGTGAGGAATGAGAGTCCATTTCTAAACCCTCCCTCTATCTAGAAGAGGCTGTTCCAAGGTGGGCTCCACACACTCCCTCCAGGGCCCCAGTGCGACTGAGCCCCAGTTGTCCCTGGATGTAACCTGCCCTTTTCCTTTTCTCTTATGGGATTTTCCTGTTCTCTCTCCCTGCTCCCTCATTTCTGCTTCCTAGGATCTCCTCCCAAACGAACCTCAGACATCCAGGTTTCTGCCTTAGATCTGCTTTGGGGCAGCCAGAGGGGTTCAGGCCTGCAGCGTCCACCAGGCCCTCTGGTTTGTATTTTCAAGGCCCTGTGACTGAAACCCTGCATGGGTCTCCGCTTCCCTCCCATTCAGGACATCACCAGCTTGCTGCACACCATCTATGAGGTGGTGGACTCCTCTGTCAACCACTCCCCAACATCCAGCAAGATGCTGCGGGTAAAGCTCACCGTGGCCCCCGATGGCAGCCAGAGCAAGAGGAGCGTCCTTGTCAATCAGGCTGGTGAGGGCTGCAGGGCTGAGCCTGGGAAACAATGTCCTCCCATCTCAGGAAGGAACAGAGCCTTCCTGGGAGGGCCGGAAGGGAACCTGTGGGCTTTCTGGGGCAGCTGCTTTGTGGACAGGTGGGGTTCAAATGGGTCCTTGAAAGGGTAGGAGGAAGGGTGGGAAGGGGAGGGAAGGGATTCTGGGTGAGAGGCCTCATATAGGCAGAGCCATGCAGCTGGAGTGAAGGCTGGTGTTACGGGCAGCATGGCGTCTGCAAGCCTTGAGGCCAGCTGGAAGGAGGTGAGGCTGGAGGGGGAGTCTGGGGGAGGAGGTGAGGCTAGATGGGGATGTGTCCAGGGCAGGTAGCCTTGAGACCCCTTTATTTAGCCCCAGCTCAGGGAACCCTCCCACAGTGGCCTTGCAAAGCAGCTGCACGCCAGGCAGCCCTGGGGAGGGTGGGAGCAGGCAGCTCACCTGGTGTCTCCTGTGCTTCTCGGGCCGGACTCAGACCTGCAGAGCGCAAGGCCCCGAGCAGAGACCAAGCCCACTGAGGACCTGCGGAGCTGGGAGAAGAAGCAGCGAGCCCCGCTCAGGTATGTGGGCATGGTGCACATGAGCATATGTTGAGCACCAGCTGTGTACCTGCTTCTGAAGGATTCAGAGCAGGAAGTTTTGCTCTGGTCTGTGTTCTCTTCAGGGAGCCAACACTTTTGATGCACAGACTCATAAATCAAATGAAAATCTTAACAAATAACTACATGTAGTCCACATCCTTTTATGGAACACATCTTGGGCAGACAGGACTGGAGGTCAGCATTTTTTGGGCTTTGGAAAGGTGCTCTCAGCAGTGCATCAGGCTCTGACGTGTTGCTGTTTCTGCTGGGAGATGACTGAATATTCACACTAAGTGAGATAAAGACCGTAAACACCTTCCCATCCCTTTAGGGTGGGCCTGGCTGCCACGTGGGTTATGAAAACTCTTAGTTTTCAGGCTTTTTGGACTTCAGAATGGTGGATAAGGAATTATGAGGCTGTAGTTACCTTTCACCTGTTACTTCTTCAGCTGCAAGGGAGGAAGGGAGGAAAGGAAAGAGAGATTGTTTAAAGAAAGGGATTGAGTAAACAACAGTAACACGGCAGGCATAAGGCTGTGTTAACCTCTAGTGTGCAAATGGTAAGGGAATGATCGGAGCTGGATTAGTACTCGCTAGGGGAAAGAAAAAACAGTTCAAGCAGGGTCACAGCCAGGTGTGGGGACAGGGCTGAGAATCAGAGGGACCCAGGCTGGCTAGAGATCCTGGGGGAAGGTGGTACTGTGTTGTGTGGGAAGGAAGCCAGGAGGGAGCAGATCGAAGAGGTCCTTGGAGGAGAGGGCTAGGGAGCCCCGAGCCCTGCAGGGGAAAAAGAAAGCCTCTGGCAGCATCTCTCCCCACCCCTCCATGCACACTGTGTAAGTCACACATGCATGTGCACACACACACTCACACACTGGTGAGGCCCATCCTGGGCCGTAGGGCAGGTCATGGGGTCTGCCTGGCCCAACCCCAACAGTTTAAGGGGATTCTGCTGCCCACACCCCCTGAGGAACCAGGCCAGGGGTTAGGCCGCCTACCTGCAGTGGGCACATATGGCTTGAAGCCTGGCACTGGGGCATTCCTAGAAGTTGACCAATAACCTCTCACGTTTGCTTTGAACCTGTTCAGAGCAAAACCCCGTCCACTCCTCCCAGAAGCTGCGGGGAGGTCGGGCTGTGGGCTGTGGTCTATGGTCTGTCTCTCCATCGGCAAGGAGGGAAATGGAGGCACAGTTCGTATAGAGGACTGTTCCTCCCCACCCTCTCCAAAGGCCAAGAAGGAAATGAATGAAGGGTCCAGAGTTCATTCTGGGGGCTTCCTAGTAGCCTATGCGCTTGCCCCCACCTGGTGGTTGGTGTTATCCCACTCACTTGCCTCCCCTGCCGTAGGTTCCAGGGTGACAGCCGCCTGGAGCAGTCTGGCTGCTACCACCATTGCGTAGATGAGAACATCGAGAGGAGAAACCACTACTTAGATCTCGCCGGGATAGAAAACTACACGTCCCAATTTGGGCCTGGTAAGGGACTCAAGCACCCTGCAATGGGCGATGAGGGCAGGGCGTGGCTGGACGGGCCAGGCGGGCCGTGCGGGTGGTGTTCACTGCTACCCCAGGCTTCGGTAAGACAACTATTATGGGACAGGTCAAAGACTTCTTGGAGAAAGTGACGTTAAAAATGGTTTCAAAATTAAAGTAATACATGCACGAAATCGAACAAAATCCAATAGTATCTAAAGGCTTAGCACCCAATGACAAACAACAGTTTTGTGCCCCATCCCAGCCCACCCAAGCCCTGTTCCCGGGGCAACCACTTTGACCTCTCCTGGCTGTTTCTTCCAGCAAGAACCTCGGTTTCCCTAAGTACAGCACTACTGTGTCTTTATCAGCCTTGACATATGTTGACCTCTTGCTCAATTTCACTCCCACAACTCCCTTCTCCCCTTTCTCTTCATATGTTTAATTCCTCTATGAGTTACTTCTGTATGTTTTTAGCAATATACTTAGAGTTCTTTCTTGCCCCAGTGACCTTAGATAGTTTTCGGGGTCTCTGCTGCCATCTGTCTTTCTCGGCTCCCTCTCGGAGAGTATTTTTGAAGACCTACCAAAGAACCAGTTCTTCCCACTTAGCAGATGGGAAAGTTCCATTTCAGAGAGTTTTCCTGCAAGGCAGTGAGGGGCAGTCAGGGCATTGGGGGGTAGCTCTGGTTTTGGAGAACTGGGGGCGGGGGTGATGTCTGGGGTATAGCGCAAGCCCCAGCACACAGTAGGTGCTCATTAAATGTCTGTTGAATTGGTTCCTAGGCTCCCCTTCCGTGGCCCAGAAGTCAGAACTGCCCCCCCGCACCTCCAATCCCACTCGATCTCGCTCCCATGAGCCGGAAGCCATCCACATCCCACACCGAAAGCCCCAAGGCGTGGACCCGGCCTCCTTCCACTTCCTTGACACCCCAATCGCCAAGGTCTCAGAGCTCCAGCAACGGCTCCGGGGCACCCAGGACGGGAGCAAGCACTTTGTGAGGTCCCCCAAGGCCCAGGGCAAGAGTGTGGGTGTGGGCCACGTGGCCAGAGGGGCAAGAAACAAGCCCCCTCTGGGACCCGCCATCCCTGCGGTGTCCCCCTCCGCCCACCTGGCTGCCAGCCCGGCCCTCCTCCCCTCCCTAGCCCCCCTCGGGCACAAGAAGCACAAGCACCGAGCCAAGGAGAGCCAGCAGGGCTGCCGGGGCCTGCAGGCACCACTGGCCTCAGGTGGCCCTGTCCTGGGGCGGGAGCACCTGCGGGAGCTGCCCGCCTTGGTGGTGTATGAGAGCCAGGCCGGGCAGCCGGTCCAGAGACATGAGCACCACCACCACCATGAACATCACCACCATTACCACCACTTCTACCAGACATAGAGCCCCTCCCCAGGGCCCCACCCTGCCATATGAAGGACCCCACCCCCGACACCACAAGGCATTATTATTCTATTAATTATTGTTATTATGATGATTATTGTTATTAATAATTATTGTTACTCCACTAATATTTAGCTAGCCTACATGTAGAAGATCTATGGAAACACAGAACTAAACTTTTATTTATATGTTGTGGGGACTGCATAACTAGCCCAGGAAATGACTCTGGTTTTGAGTGGCCTGTAATGGGCAGAGGCTCCCTCGGGGCTCGGGATCTGCAGCATCTATGTGGATCAGCCCACACCCTTCCCAGAGCCAGGGAGCCCTTAGCCTCAACTCTGCCCCACCCCAGCCTCTTCCAGGAGAGCACCCTTACTTGGCCCGGCTTCCAGAGACCCTCGAAATCTCCGAGAAGATAAACAGCTGCTACCTCTTAGTATTATTCTGATTTTATTTTGCCCTTAACTGATTGTTATATGCTACAAGGGATTTCAGTGGACTGCAGAGTGCGAACGTCTTGCTGTTGTGTTTTTATGTCCCAACCTAGAAACCTTAGCTGTCTTTTCTGGAGTTGTCTTTCATGCTTTTCCAGTGGGATCAAGCCCTTTTCCCCAAGAGTC
Organism: Homo sapiens; assembly: GCF_000001405.40. Classification (NCBI taxonomy): domain Eukaryota; kingdom Metazoa; phylum Chordata; class Mammalia; order Primates; family Hominidae; genus Homo; species Homo sapiens. Next base: position 50,634,402 of record NC_000016.10, read on the forward strand.
CCATCTCTTCTGCCATGCACGACATGAAAATCCACTTCTCTTCCTTCTCCTTCTTCTCTCTCTACTTTACAGTGATACACACACGTATTTAAGGACTATCCCTGAGACCATCCTTCTCATTTTGGAAACTGCTAGGGAGGGAACCAACCACTTAAACAAGCGTGGTTTTCCAAGATCCAGGCAATTGTGTGCTGTTGGTTGTGGTGGAGGATGTGGCACATATATACGTACCTACACGGTTCTCTAACAGAGCTTTCTGTATCTATAGATAGATGCCATCTGTCCATTTCTATGTATCTTTCTATAAATATACACTCTCAGGTATCTTTTCTGGTGTGTATAAATCAGTGGTTTGCTTCCCTGGATGCTTCTGGAACCCAGATGTGACCCTGCTTGTCTCCTTTTGGGGCTGGACGGCTCTCAGATGCTTTCATCAGAGGTCCATTCTCGGGTTTTGGGGTCTGATGGATTTTGGAGAGAACTGCTGGGGTACAGAAACTTGGTGGGAAAAGGGGACTGTGGCCAGAGTTGGGACCCTGGAGCAGCATCCTCTGCAGAGAAGGATTTTGTCTGGCCAGAGCCTGGAGAAACCTGAAAAAGAACCAGTCAGCTAGCCAGGGTCTCAGAGAAAAGCAGATTACACACTCAAATTGGGTAATTTGAGCAGAGCTTAATAAAGGCAGTATTTACAAAGTGTGGGCTAAGCCTCCCATGAGAGTGCAGAACCCTGGGGCTAGCAGTGTGGGGCGCTATTCCCACCCCTGGGCCTGAGTGGGGAAGGAGTTATCTTTAGCAGACAGAGGATTGCTGGAGGAGTGAGAGGGGCACCTGAAGGAGCTGTGACCTTTGCTTAAAGGATGCAGCCAGTCATGGGGACCCTCCAGGGAAATTAATATCCTGACCTGCTTTCCTGCCCCCCAGCCCCCTCAATCCATTGGCTGAGGCCGCTGGAAGCCACCGGGCCAAGGGAGCTTGTTGATGTGGGTCACACGGGCATGTTCCCAGGTCAGAGAGGAGAGTGGAGAGTGAATCTAGGGAGACTCAAGAGGGAGAAGTGACTCCAGCTACCTTCCTTTCTGCCGTTTTGTCTCCCAGCTGGCATTCTCTTTTCCAGAGCCTCGAGTTTGGGTTTAATGTAGTTAGTAAGGAGTTACTTCCAAAGGTAGTGGGCTTAGTTGTCACCGTATTCTTAATTTTATTAATGACTGATGTGCCTGGGATTGGATTAATACATTAATCCTTAGGACAGCCCCATGAGGCAGCTTGGTGGCAGCTCAGGAAGCATGTCTAAGGCTCAGAAGTTCATAACTCCCTTGAGGCCGCACAGAGGGCGGAGCTGGAATTCTGGTCTCCCACTCGATCCCTTCGCCACTGGTGCAGAGCTTAATCACGGCCATGGGCTGCCCTTGTTTTGGGTTGTGGGTTTCTGTTCAGTGAGAACGCAACTCAATCCAAAGTGAATGAAACCAAGTTGGAAGGCAGGGAGGGAACTGGCTTTGAGATGACAGGGTCCAGGATGTGAATGCAGCTGAGACTGGTTCTTGTCCCTCCCTCTTGTCCCTCGGATTGATAACTTGTACTCAACTACATGCTTTTGTCAGGGAACCCTGGCTGCTGGCCTTCTGGGTCCCCTAACCATAAGAAAAAGGACCTTCCGTTAGTGTAAAGCCCAAGGCAGGATTCTGCTTGGCTGGGCTTCGATCTGGTACCCATAGCTGGACCAATCATGACATCCCAGATGGGGTCACGTGGCCAACCTGCCGCAAGGGGGTGGGGTCTGTACCGGAAGACAGGAGGGGAGGGGTGCAGATCGGACAGGAAGTAATGGCATCCCAGGCCCCGAATTGCTGCAACCCTGGAGGCCAGCCCGGAGTTGAGACTACTGGTTTTAGAGCAGTTCCTCTGCCTCCCTAAGCTCCACACCTGTCAGGATTCTGTTACTTCTTGGTAACTGGGACTTGCCCAACTTTAAAAACATTATTTAAAAAAATAGTAATGTGCACATGTAAAAGATTCAAATAGTATATATACAAGGTGTACAGTAAAAAGTAAACTTCCCTCCATCCCAGGCCTGCCAGCATCCCTGATGCCGACTTTCTGGGTGTGGCCTAGGGCCCCTCAGTGTAATGTAGGGGTTGTGAGCACAGACTTTGGTGCCAGTTTGCTAGGTTCGAATCCTGACTCCCTCTTTGTAGCTCTGTGCTTCAATTGAAATACTGTGCCTCAGTTTCTCCTTTATAAAGGCAGGGATCATGAGAGTGCCTGTCCCTTGTGAGCACTATGAAAGTGTTAGCTGTTCTTTACCAGAATAAATGCATTTCTATATCTTCCCATATGCATTTTGTTAATTTTTAAAGTATTTCAAACACAAAGTTTGAAACAGAAAATTGTGTAACATTAACTATGAACTTACCACCCAGAATTTACAAATGCTGACATTTTGCAATATTTATTTCGGATCTATTTTTAAGGGGGGGAACCCTGCAGTTACTGCTTAATCCTCTTCCCACCCCACCCTTTTATTTTTACACAAGGAGCATAGTGTTCATACTTATGCTATTTTTTTCAGTAACTGAATATATTTGGAGATCTCCCTCCCTAGGTCATAGAGCTCTGCCCCCTTCTCTCTAACAGCTGCTCAGCCTTCTGTGACTAGAGGTGCTGTCACCAGCTTGCCCCATCCCCTCCTGGTGGTCATAAGGGTCATCTCTCATCCCAGGCTCTGGCGAACACTGTGCTGAGAGTCCTTGCATACAGCTCTCCCGGTGCCCACAGGCAGGAACACAGGCGACAGAAAGTTTCCACGTGGAACTGCAGAGTTCAAGAGCAAGTGTGATTTCAATTTTGATGAGATTGTACATGACCTCTAAAAGAGGTTATACTGGCCGGGCACGGTGGCTCACGCCTGTAATCTCAACACTTTGGGAGACCGAGGTGGGTGGATCACCTGAGGTCAGGAGTTCGAGACCAACCTGGGCAACATGGTGAAACCCCGTTTCTACTAAAAATACAAAAAATTAGCTGGGCATGGTGGTGCGTGCCTGTAATCTCAGCTACTCGGGAGGCCAAGGCACGAGAATCGCTTGAACCTGGGAGGCAGAGATTGCAGTGAGCTAAGATTGCACCACTGTACTCCAGCCTGGGCGACAGAGTGAGACTCCATCTCAAATAAATAAAGAGGTTATACTGAATAATGAGGAATCAAAGGAAGAAGAAGAAAGAGAGAGGAAGGAAGGTTGGAAGGAAGGAAGGAGGGAAAATTAGAAGGGGAAACCATGATTGCTGGTGAGGTTTTGAGCACATTTTCCTGCAGGCTGGTATGGGTGAGAGGTTTGGTCTTGTTTGCAAATCTTCTGAAGGCCATTCCAGAGGAGCAGTTGCCACTGCCCCATCCCCTGAGCTCTGAGCGTGGGGGTTCCCCTGGGGAGACTCCTGGTGAGAGGATGCCGATTTCTGCTGATCTGTCACTGGGTACCGAGGACTGGGTGTGTTTAAGGCAGACAGCCAGGTGAGGATCCCAGCTACTGGGGCCTGCTGTCATCTCCTGGGAGTACCCGGGGGTCAGGAGCCTAGGGGACTCTTGCACTTCACATCCAGCCATGCTAATTACACTTTTTGGCAAAGGAAACAGCTAGGAGCAGTTTCTTTCACTCCTACAGCCCCGTTTTCTCAGTGTTTAGACCTCGAATTATTACTGGGCTAGAGGGAAGGCAGCCTCTGAAGTGTGGCAGGAGGAGGGGAAGTCTGCCTGCATCTTGGTGTGTCTGTCAGATGCCAGCACTAATAACCTGGCTTCTGTGAGGCCTGTCAGTGCTCTCAGGAATGAAAGGGGACCCCTGAGAGGTGCTCAGTACCAGCAGGCTGTGAATGCTCTCTACCCACCACCCTCACCTCCTCGTTAAAGATGGTGCTACCTGCCACACAGCAGACATCTGGTCGCTGCACACCCGAAAGACCCCAAGGCAGTCTGCCCCTTGTCCAGCCACACGCCAGCACCCACCCTCCTGGCCCCTGCCTCGGCCTCCCCAGACCAGCTGCACCCAGCCCCCAACACGCACCCCTTCTCCAGATGTGTGCAGGGCCTCATTTTGCAGAGCAAAGACAGATGTTTCAGCCACACGCTTTATTAACTTCTAAAACCTGTGCTCAGGACACTCTTCAACAGTCATGAAAAGTTTGATCACTTGCCACAGTCAGGACCTTTGTGTGGGGCTCTGATCTGATGTTCGGTCTCATCATCTCCCAAACCAGCAGTCGTTTGTACCCCAACCCTCTGCTCAGGGGCTCATACCCCCAAATGATTTTCCTGATTTATGTATTTCCCTACAAAGGGCTTTCTATACCTAGCATCTGCCTCCAGCATGAGAAGGGGGAATAGGTGAGACCCATTTGCCAGTAGCAGACGGGGACCCTGGGGAGAAAATGGCAGAGCCTGTTGGAGACTCCCTGTCTCCAGCTGACCAGCCAATGGGATTCCTCTTCCCTCCACTGTCTCCCACAAAGTAGAAGAATCCTGGTACATTTAGCCCATGAGCCTGGCACAGATCCCTATCTAGACATGAGGCCCTTTAGACATGACTTTGGCATTGACCAGCCTGTTGGCAATGGGTCGGGGAGGCAGAGGGGATGCTCACACCAGTAATTCTCATCCCCTGAATGCTTGGGATCACCTGGGGAGAGTTCACAAAATACTGGTGCAGGGGTCCCACCTCTGATGATGCTGAGTGGTGGGTCTGGGGTGTGGCCCAGGCATCATGATGTTTCAGGCCCCCAGGTGACTTCTTAGGCAGCCCAGCTAAGCCCCTAGAGCCTTGCAATTTCCCCCAAATGACCTCAGAGGGCCCGATTTGAGGGAAATGCCTAACTTCAGGGGCCGTAAGAATCCCCCAGGGAGCATGTGAAATGCAGATACCAGGCCCACCCCCAGAGATGAGCTGAGGTGGGTCAGGGGTGAAGTGCAGGGATCAGTGTTTTTCACAAGCTCCATACCTCCAGGAAATGGTGTTGTGGTTGGGCCCGTAGAAAACATTCTGAGAGTCCTGTTGCCTGTGCCTTGGTGCACGTGGGGTGGAATCCCAGTGGCCCTGCCTTGAGGAGGATGTGCATTAACGTGGTAGGGGAGACAGAGACAGCTCCACCTGCCCCCTGCCCCACCGGGGACCTCCAAAAACTTCATGGATGTTAGAGCAAGCAGCCATGCTGCAGCAGAGGATGAGGCTGGCGGATTTAGTAAGAGCCCTCTGTGTTTGGGCTGAGTTCTTTCTCTAGTTGCCCTGTCATCTGGCCTCTGGATAACCCACCTCTCCTCCCTCATCCTAAAATTACAGATGGCGAAAGATGGCCACATTTAGTGAGACCCCTAAGGTCCTCCAACTAGGGTGGGTCCACAGTGGCCCCTGGTGCATGGACCACACACTCTCTTCCCTCCTCTGGCTCAGGACTACGGTCTGAAATTAGGGAGATATGAATGTCTTTCTTGAAAACTTCTCTTCCCAGTCTTCCCACTTTGCTTGGGGGTCCTTGGTCAAGGCCAGCTTTGGGGACTAGGGCTTGTTGCGACTACCAGCTGTCTCATTTTGCTGTACTGCAAACTCAGGCTTGGTTCCAAGCTTATGGGGGCCCTGTCCTTCCCCTAGTAGGGTTTGTTTTGGGGTCACATCTGGTCATACCCTTCAGAGAGCTCTTCCCCAGCCTCTACATCAGGGAGAGAGGTAGGTAGGGAGGAGCATTCAAGGATTAGAAGAAGGACTAAAGTACAACAGCCTTGGAGGAACTGCCAGGAACTAAGGGCGAGCACTGGAGAAGGCAACCTGGGACCCCCTGCGCTTCTGAGCAGGAAGACCAAGACCTTCAGGGGCCCTAAGCACTGAAAACATCATTCCTCATCCCCAAGCCCTGGCATCCCCCTGTTCTTCTAAAATAATTCTTTTCTAGGTATTTCTGATTGCAAAATTCTGGATGGGTTCATCCAAGCTGACCTTTGCTGTTTTTTCCCTTCCCAACAAGGCCTCACTTTTTGGAGCCACCTTAGCTGGTGCCTAGGCAGAGGGGCAGTCAGCAGTGGTTATCAGGATCCTGGCTCTATGGGTTGCCTTCCTCCTGGTCTGTAAAGCCCCTGCAGGCAGGGACTTCTTAGATAGCTGCTTCCTTAGGGCATGGCATGTAGTGGGTGGTTAATGAATGGAAGAGAGGGAATGAGTGATCAAGGGAGGGAGGAGGGAGTGGAGTGGAGATTTCTCATCCTTTCCTGTTAATTTATGACATCCTCCTGCCTATGAGTCCTTGACTCTGGAGTTTTACAAAGCAGTCACATTTCAAATAAAAGTCTGGGAAAGCAACACATCATCGCCAACTTTTAATTTTGCTAAATAAGGATATTAGAAAAAGAATAGAAAATTGCAGTCCCTTACTGTTTAAAGAAAAACCAAAAGAAGTTAAAAAGAAAAAAAAAACAACCTCATTATGTTGTCTTTGTTTTTGTTTTGTTTTCTTTCCTTGGAAATCAGTGAAAGTTTGGTCAGCCACACATTGTAGTAGGGCTAGAATTTTTCTTCCCATTTTAGAGACGGGAGACCTGAGACTCCAGGTGGGGGTGTGGAGTCCAAATGGACAGTTCTTCCCAAAGCTGAGCGCAGACCGGCTTGCAGGTCCTTTTTCCAGTCATGGCCTCAGCTGTCTGCAAAGGACTTGGGGGAGGCTGACAGCTCTGATGTCTGGAGAGGGGGCTTCTGCAACCTCCAACACTGGTCAGTAACTCCACAGAGGCCATTGGCGGGGGTGGTCTGCTTGTATCAGCAGGCCTGTCATGGCCAGTTCAATGGTCGGGGCTGAACTATGTCTCTTGGTGCCTGGTAGAGGGGTTGGAGTGGGCCTGAGGCCAACTTGCTCAGAGCCACACTCCCCAGGAAGCTGTGGAGTCTGGAACTCTGCCCTGCCTTCCTGTCCCCTGCCCACTCTAAGCCTCCAGAAGTCAATCCTCTGCTCACCGGGACCGTACCTAGCCTGGCCCATCGATGTGTCATGTTTGACCCATCAAGGGTTTCAAAAATTTTTAATTAATTTCCAAAATCTGAGGGTTTCACCTAAAAACCTGGATGTTTGGCTTTTCTCATAAAAATCAGAAAGTGGGTTTACCCCAGGCTCCTGTTCCCACATGGCTGCAATCCGCCCGCCTCTTCCAATGGTGCACATGCCTTTTTTCCTGCGCCCGGAGCCCCTCTCAGCCTGATTTTGAGGCCTGGCTTTGATGCGATTCAGCTCATGACCCCTGCGCAGCCTCAAGCACCTAAGTTTTGGAGGTCAGTGATGCCACTTAAAAACCTGTTCAGGGCAGAGCGTTAGACAGGAGGATGGCTAAGGGAGCAGCTTCAGGCATGGGAGGACTTTCATGGGGAAGTCTTTGGGGCAGTCCTGGAGACCCTCACAATGTGGCCCCACTCCTCCTTTAGATGGGGCAAGGTGGGCTGGAACCCCCAGCAAAGGGTCCCAGGCTGTGTGAGACCCCGCCCAGCACTCCTTAAACAGCCAAGACAGGTGGAAAGCCCCAACTCAAAAGACTGGCTGGATTGTACCCGGCTCAGTGACTTCCCCTCTTTGAGACTCAGTTTGCTTTTCTGTAAAGTGGACCTAATGAGGCCCGCTTGGCTTCAGCTCCAGGGACTTTGGAGATTTAAGCAAAGCAAGAAATGGGAAAGGAGTTTGTTACATATCAGGCTTCCTGGAGGAATGCCCCCCAGCTCTCTTGGAGGGGGAAGCAAAAAGACTGCTGATCAGGCAGGGGACGGGAACTCCCCGAGTGGCCACATGGGCAGTCTCAGTAGGAGTCTCAGGCCAGGCTCTGTCTGTGGATTCCCACTTCTCTGGGCTGCATCTCACTGTTCAGGCTAGAGTCTGGTCCTTGCCCATCTGCAGGTCCAGGAAGATGTGGCCCCAAATTCTCTGGACCTGATGTCCTAGATCCTGTGCACTTGGCTTCATGGATAGAGTCTGAGAAGGTTGCAGGATCCAGTAGCTGGACCACAGAATGCAGCCTGGGGGTTTGGCTAAGATGAGCAGACTGGCCCATGGTTGAGACTTTGGACCTGAGCTGAGTCCTGGTTCTACTACTTCCTAGATGTGTGACCTGGGACAAGTGACTCACCTCTGTGCCTTGGTGTTTTTCTCTAACATGGGGCTAATTGGGGTAACTACCTTACTGAGCTGTTATGAGTAAATGATCCAGTGGGCGTGAAGCGTTCAGCGCAGAGCCTGGCACGTAATAGGCCCTCGATAAGTAAAACAGCAACAGTAGCTGCAGTTAGGAGAATGTGACCCCAGAAGGCTCATGGGAAAGGAGGTGCAGTCCTGATGGATGAAGGGTACCTGTCCTCCACCCCGGCTGCAGAGCCCCCAGTGAGACAGCTGCTGTGGCATGCTGCCTCTGCTACACACTCAAAAAACACTTGAGGACATGACTTTTCCCTCTCAAGTTTGATGGGATCACTCTGTTCCTTCCAGACCCGACTTGTGGTGTGAACTTGGACAAGCCCCTGCTGTCTCTGGCCTTCAGTACCATATTTGTATTATGAAACTGCCCTTGGCTTGAAGCTAGACTATGGGGGTGGCAGCTCTAAGTCCTACAAACAGTAGGGGTAGTGGTGGGGATGGGCAGCCTGAAAGCCATGCCAGCAGTGCCTTCCTTGGGGAAAGAGGTGGCCTCTGGAGCAATGCTTCGCTACCCTACATCTGGGTCTGTCCTTGCCCAACTCCTAAGCTGCAGGATCGCTGAGGAGTCCACATTGCCATATCTGCCACTTACAGAGTGCCTACTGTGCACCCAGCCCACATTCACTAGTGTCCTCAAAACAGCCTTGAGAGGAAACCAACGAGGAAACAGAGTTACAGTTCAGTTAAGCAACTTACCTAACTTGTGGCTAATGCATGGTAGGATTAAACATAAGCCTGACATATGCTAGCCACATGACCCTCCCTTTCCAGGAGCCTGCTGGCATTGATACAGGTTGACAAAGACCAGTCCTACTCCGTTGTCTGCCATTACTCCAGCCAAGTCCAGGGACACGTGAGGCAAGGGGAGCTGGGGCTGCTGGTGTGGCCGAGACCTCAGCCTCAGCAAGATGGTGCCCCAAGCTCTCAGGGTGCCCTGTGGTCCCCTTCATTCATAACATTGATCATGTTTGTAACTGTAGTTGATTCTCACTCATCGCAGTAGTTACATCTTATAAAGTCACCTCTGACACTGAGTTAGCGCATACTGAACTACTGATCCTAGGGGAAATACAGGGTTAGGTTCCTGCCAGCTTCTGGTCACAACATTTTCATTACCAATCAGTGCATAACCTTGTTTTATGTGTGCTTCTGTTTAAAGATGCCTAATTTACTATATATTCTTGATTCGTTAACATTGAACTCAGCCAACAGCTCTATAACTCATGACTGAATGAAGCTTATCTAGCACACATATTTTCTCTGCAAGGCATATCAGAGCCTTCTGTGCTTAAGAGCACAAGATGGCACTTCAGCGTCATGCCTGGGGAGCATTTTAAGCAGCCAAATCACCAACACAAAGCACAAACATGCACAAAGCATGATGCTAAACAGACTGTGAGAAGGATGTTTGTGTATAGGATGAGAACTGAACCACGAAAGCAGAGCATCATCTTGTTCGACCTCAGTTGAGAACATGTTGTCGGGCCACTCAGACTTTTCACTGCTCTGCGCATATCACGAATGAAGTGAATGCACCATGAGTATTGATTTTGGGTGATAGACAAATTTTAGTGAATAGGCAATTTCGTAAATACAGAATCCACGGAGGGTGAGGATCCACCGTATGTACTTATCTATGCCTCTAATTATTTGGTTTCCACCAAAGCACTTGTTCACCAGATTATCTTATAATCCCAAAGGCCCAGCAAAGACAGGTGCTTGTTCAATGTCTGTTGAGCGACTGAAGGACAACACATTCCTGGCCTCCCCACCCGCCCCCAGCGGGACCTAGCACATGGCCTGCTGTTGACACTCCATGTGTCTTTGTTGATAGAATTCATAAAGACAGATGGGAAAAGGGGCACCCCTCTTGCGGGTTCCTGATGCTGAGAGTTGTTGGAATGTTGATGCTGCCCCCAGAGAAGGGTGACAGCATGCAGACAGACTGGAAACCCAGAACCTCCTGGGGATATTCAGATGGTGTCACTGGGCTCGGCCTGTGGGCTCTCAGCACATCTAGGTACTGGGGCCCAGGGTGACTCTGAGTGGCTCAAGTCCCCTGGCCAGATCCTCTCCAGATGGGCCCCTGGCCATCTTAGCCAACATCACCTGATTCTGTTTCCTCTGACTCTGTCCTCAAAAGGCAGCATCTGATTGTGATTTGGTCCAGAAATTCCTGGCCAGAATATTTCCAGTGTGGTGCATGTGAACTTCCCGCCTTCCCTTCCTTCCCTCCTCCCTCCTTTCTTCACTGGGGAGAAAGAATTTGGCATTCGAGTATCTCACCCCGTCTTGCTAAGCAGTTTAGTTAGACTGCAGGCCAGTCTCTGTGGTGTGACCACCCCCCAGTGGCAAGGAGCTGCCAAAACTGAGCTTCTGGGCAAGACGTGGGCAGAGCAAAGAGAGACCCACACTTGGCACTTCCTGCCCAGAAAGGACCTGCTCAGGCCTGGCTGGCCTTTACCACCGTCATCTCCAGGCTTTCTGTTCATCCGTACTTTCAAAGATTTAGTGATCAAGTACTATGTGTCAGGAACCATGCTCAGCACTCGATAAAACAGACATCATCTCTACCTACCTTTGTGGAGCTTTAATCTAGTGTGGGGGACGGGGGGACTGCTTCCACCCAGAAACGACATTTTTATCCACTGCGATAACTTCTGGGGAGACATGGGAGGGAATAACAGAGGGGACATGATGGAGATGGGGGACTGCAGAGGGACTCTCCAGGAAGCCACATTTAGGGGGTGACCTCAAGGGTGAGGAAGAATTAGCCAGGTGGAAAGTTAGAGGGAGCAGCTGGTACAAGGGCCTCAAGGGTGGATGGAGGGTGAACGCTTGATGAACTGGTGCAGGCCTGTATGGCCGGGTACAGCTGGCAACGAGGAGGCCCGGTATGGGCAGAATCTGGGGGCCTGAATGGTGGAGAGTCTGCTTGTCACCCCAAGAGACACATCAGGAAGCTAGGTGGTCAGTCGGGAGAGAGAGGATGTGACACTCTAGCCACCACCACGCAGAGAAGGGATTGGAAACAGTAGCCCGGAGAGGAGGCTCTCTTGGTAGGATCCCACGGCAACCGAATGGATGCACGTTGTTTATGACGTTCTTACCCATGAAAGCGCTCAAGGATCCGCTTGCTTGCTTACATGTGGGATCAGCACTACCTTCCGTGCTGCCGAACATCTTCTTAAGCGAGGGAAAGAACAAAAAGAAAAGTTGGCAAGAAAGAAAGGGCAAAGACAGAGAGACTGGGAGAGAAAGAGGCCCCAATTTCCTCTCTCTGGTAGTTGCTGAATTGGCTCTCGTGAAGGCAGAAAGGGAAGGGCTGACTTATGTCCCTCTGCCAGGAGAGGGGAAAGGAGGGAGGCATGATATTGACTTAAACGTGGGGGATTTAAAAGGCCCCTATGTTCCCACTTTGTGCTTTGCTTCTAACAGACAGCCTGGGACCTTTGAAGTCGGTCTGGCCCAGTGGGGAGCGGGCTTCTGTGGAGACAAGATGCTAACGGGGGCGGGGGAAGGGGGCCAGGGGGCGGCCGAAACTCTATTAGGCATGCTCTAGCAAAAAGAAAGGCAAATCCAATGATAATGTACATCTGTTTCAGGGAATTTATAAGCTTTGAACATTTTTTATGGGCAGATAAGTGGGTCCTTTTCTTACCATAACTTAGAACTTCAAAGCTGAGTGTGTGGATAATGCAAATTGCTGAAATATGAGATTTTCCCTACAAAGAGGTTTCCAAAAAAGACGAGGAAGAAAAAGAGGGGGGGGGGAGAGAGAACGAAGGCTAACTGATGCCACAGTCTTTTATGTACATGGCAAAAACGGGACAGAAATTGATTTTTATGAAAGAAGAAATTGATGGGAGACATGGCGTGGGGAGGAGGCGGCCTTGTGGCAGGTGCTGGGAGGCAGGGACTGGGGCCGGGCGGGTCCACCCAGGCTGTGGGTCAGCCCTGCAGGGTTGAGCTGCCTGGCTGTGGCTCAGGCCCTGGGGACACAGTGCCCTCCCTCTAGGAGCCTTAATGGGGAAAACAAGAACACTGTCACTCGTAATGGGCATGAAAGGACACTTCAGAGCCAGCCAAGGCAGTGTCAGCCCAGAACAACACCCTGGAACACCCAAGGGGGCTCCAAGGCAGGATGGGACCCCCTGGTTTGGGAAAATCAGAAAAGGCCTCCTGGAGGAGAGGGGCTCTAGGGGGCAGGTATGATCCTGAAGGGAAGACAGTGGGGTGGGACATTTCAGATGGCAAAACAGCTGGGTCAGGATATCCCCAGGGTCATGCCTCTGCCACCCAGACCCCACCACATTCAGCCCTCTGTGCTTTTCTTGTCTCCCACATCCCCAGCCCCAGTAACTAGCAGGGACACAGTCAACATTCAATATGTGCATGTTGAATGAATGAATGAATGAATGTGAGATCGTGAGAACACACAGCTGGTTGGCAAGCAGCATCAACCAGCTCTTTCTTTTCACTATATTACATATCTACAGTGGTAGAGTCATACTAGAAGACATGATGGGATGGTGGTGTGGTCTCTGTAGTTGACCCCATCATCCTTTCTGTCCATAGGTGATTCGTCTAAGCCAGACATGGCAAAGTCCTCACCTTTGCCAGTGACTGATTCAGGAAAGATCATGTGTGACCTTATTCTGGGCAATGAGATCTGAAGGGAAGTCTGTTGAGGAACTTGTAACATGTCATGGTAGTGGCCATCTTGCTACAGCCTGAGGACCACAGAGCACACACAGAGAGTGCTGGGTCCTTGGGAATGATGTTGAGCAAGCACTTATACATGACCTGGCAGCCACCCAGCATCTGTACTTTAGTTATTTGGTTTTTCTCAGGAGGAGATCCTGAGATGAAGACTCAGGAGCAGGTTGTTGATTTTGAGGTGGTCCTGGGAAAGACAGGGAGGAGAGTGGGGAAGTGAGGCAGAAAAGGAAGGGAAGTTCCACTCCAGGAGCCCACGTGGAACATACCTCAGAGTTATCCCACCTGCACAGGGAGGGAGCTGAGGTATTTACCCACCCATCCTTGTCAGTCATTGGTCAAGGGCTATTTCTGTGCATAGGCATAGGCTTCAGCAGAATTGCAGGTACTGGCAGTCGGAAATTGGACCAGCAAACAGAAATGATTCCTACAGGGGATACAAGCCAGGCACAGGCAGTGTCTGTTACTTGGGGTTCCTGTTGCTTAGAGTTGAAAGCATCATAACCCATCCCAGGTGATCATAGAAGGACCTCAAAGGAAAAGGTGAGGGGTTTGGACATTTCCTGAGAATCCATGGGGGAACCATTCAGGGTTTGGGGCAGGTGTCAACCACAAGAACATTAAACAGGCTCTTTTGGCAGCAAAGTTGGGAGTGGTGTTGAAGTAACTGGGAAAACTCCACAGAGGCTCAGCGTCCACCTCTACCTGACACCCTGCCAGCAACCTGGGTGATTTCCGCAGGTGTCTGAACCCCGATCTCTCAGTGTTATGGCCCCCACCACCAGGAAGGCCTCCTTTTCTCTCTTCTATAGCCACTCACTCCTGGGCCCCACTGTGAACCCAGAAATGCCACACCATGGAAGCCACACACTCTGCTGTCTCCTTCTGTCCTCATTCCTGTCCTTCTCACAGTCAGTCCCTCTTGGCTCTTCCTAGAGTCCCTTTCATTCCCTCATTTCCACTTCCTGCCGCTGTACTGTCACCTGTGGCCTGGATTTGCACTCTTGGTCCAACACCCTCAACTCCAACACCTCTGTCTTTCTGCCCCATCCACTAGACAAAAGCTGACTCTGGAAAACATTAGGCACTCAGAATCAAGGGTTCTGGGGTCAGATGGATAATTGCCATCATCCTCACCAAGTTGCCACTGGACTTTCTTGCCCCTAAATCCACTGGGCATTTCATTGCTACCTTTCTTGACTTCTTGATTGTTTTTGTGATACTGACACATCCCCCCTTTCAGAACACCCTCTGCCCTTGGATTCTGTGCACAGGAAGCTAGTTGCTCCCCTGAATACACTCTTTCTTCCTTGTAATACAGCCTCTGATTTTGAGCCCAAGAATAAAGACTACAGTTCTCAGACTCCTTCGCAAATAAATTTTGTGACTAAACTCTAGTCAACAGTAAGTGTCATGTAGCAGCTCCTGGGAATCTCCTTTAAAAAGAGAGCTTGTTTATACCTATTGTCATCTCTGTTCTTCTGTGCCCCTTCTTCCATTTTGCTGCCTGGAAAGCAGATGTGATGGCTGGAATTCCAGTCACCATTTTGGACCATGAGGACAACACCCTAGAGATGTGGAGTGGCTAAAAGAAGCCTGTGTTCCTGAGAACTTAGAGGACCAGGACCTCTATTCCAGGCTTGGACACCTACATTTAGACTATTATATGAGGAAGCAATCAACTTCTCACTTGTTTCAACCACTTTCACTTGCAGTCAAACCTGAATTGTAAGTGAAATTGCTTTCCTGATAGCAAACCTGTTGGATTTTCTCCAGAATCCCTGGGCCACTTTTAGCAGTCAGATTCGTCTAATCCTCCTTTAAAGATGGTGGCAGTGAAACTGGTACATGGGACCTGACTGGGCTTTGTTTGCAACTTTCTGATAATTTATAATTATTTCAAAATAAAAAAATTTTAAAAATAGTGGCGTTGCTCAGATCTCAGTGCTGGCTGCCTGGCCTTCTCCGTGGACTCACTTCTTGGGATCTCGTCCACTGCCATGACTGTCTCTAGGTTGCTGCCAACGAGTCCCAACTACATGCCTCAAAACAAACTCATCATCTTACCCCAAAACCTGCTCCTAGCTCAGCAGATGGCAAGACAATCCAACAAGTAACCCAGACCAGAAGCTTGGGTGCCATCCTTGACTCCTCTTTCCCTCATCACTCCAGTTACTGAGACCTTTTCCACTCTACCCATCCCCTCCATACCCTAGCAGAGAGTCCTGTCGGCTCTCCCCAGCCTGGGGACGGTTCCTCCACTGGCCATGCTGTCTCCCATCAGTCCCCGCACTGCAGACAAAAAGCACTTTTAAAAATGCCAATCTGGGCCGGGTGCAGTGGCTCATGCCTGTAATCCCAGCACTTTGGGGGGCCGAGGTGGGTGGATCACTTGAGGTCAGGATTCGAGACCAGCTTGGGCAACGTGGTGAAATCCTGTCTCTACTAGAATACAACAAATCACTAGGCGTGGTTGCACATCCCTGTAATCCCAGCTACTAAGGAGGCTGAGGCAGGAGAATCGCTTGAACCAGGAGGTGGAGTTTGCAGTGAGCAGAGATCACACCACTGCACTCCAACCTGGGAGACAGGGCAAGACTCTGTTAAAAAAAAAACAAAAAACAAAAAACCAGCCTGGTGCAGTGGCTCACACCTATAATCCCAGCACTTTGAAAGGCCGAGACGGGTGGATCACCTGAGGTCAGGAGTTCAAGACGAGCTTGGCCAACATGGTGAAACCCCGTCTCTACTAAAAATACAAAAAATTAGCTGGGCATGGTGGCAGGTGCCTGTAATCCCAGCTACTCGGGGGGCTGAGGCAGAAGAGTCTCTTGAACCTGGGAGGCGGAGGTTGCAGTGAGCTGAGATCACGCCATTGCATTCCAGCCTGGGCAACAAGAGCAAAACTCCGTCTCAAAACAAAACAAAAAACAAAAACAAAAACGCCAATCTGACCATGGCACTTCCTACTGCAAACCCATCTCATTGCCCTCAGGACAAGGGCTCAGCTCCCAGCCCAGCAGACCAGGCCCTCAGGAGCCACTAGCTCCCTGTCTCCTGTCTCCTCCATGACTTTCTGCCTTTCCCCTCTGACCCACTGCCCTGTGCTCCCTGACAACCCTTAAACAATGGAGGACTTTCCTTTCTCTTCCAGCCCAGAATATGCTGCTCCTTCTCCCTGCAGTGCTTGTCCTCACCTCTCACCTAGCTGCTCCTGGCCTGAGCCTGGGTTCCCCAAGGCCTGGCCTAAGACAGAGACTTGGGGGTAGGTTTTTGGTAGGGTGATGCTCAAGAGAGGAGTGATGGGGCAGGAGGACAAGAGGGCAGGTGACAAAGTGACATGAGGGTGCCTTGCTGAGGTCACCATTAGAGAAAGTGGCCCTCTAGGATGAGGACAGAGTGACCCTGGGGTGTCTGGCTGCAGGGCGAAAGGCTGGAGCATGTGTCCACTGGCCCCAGCCTGAGTCTTGGGGGTGTCTCTGGGGGTGTTGATGCCCCTTCACTTCCTGCAGGACTGGAGAAGGCCCCAGGGAATGGGCAGGAAGGCCAGGTACAGTTCTGCTGGGATGAGGTGAGTCTGTGCTTGCTAGACTGTCCTCAATAGCTGCAGCTGAAATGACAGGTGGCCGTGGGTCTCTAGTACAACTGCCCCCTTCCTTCTTCAAGACCCCGCTCCTCCAGGAAGCCCTCCCTGACCCCCAAGCCTTGGGTAGATGCCCCTCCTGGGCCTCCTGCAGAGGCCTCAGATCACAGCTGCCTGTCTGCTGTCCCCACTTAGCCATAAATTTCTATAAGGCATAAATGAGATGAGGTGATGGGCTTAAAATAAGGTAATGGAAACAAAGTTGGAGCCAAGGGGAGAGAACTATAAAGACGATCTGCATTTATAGAAGGCTGTAATAGGGTTTGAACAGTCCAGGGCTTGCCGACCCATGGAGCTGGGGTTGGGGTACAGCCACTTCCTTGCTCTGGGCCCTCTGAGGTGCGAGGTGCCATGGTGCCAGAATCCCACCAGGCAAAGCCACTCTCCAGCCTTCCAGGCAAAGCACTGCCCATTTCATCCTCACAGCAACCTTAGGAGGCAGCCTTTCTTTTTTTTTTTTTTTTTTTTTTTTGAGACGGAGTCTCGCTCTGTCGCCCAGGCCGGATTGCGGACTGCAGTGGGGCAATCTCGGCTCACTGCAAGCTCCGCTTCCCGGGTTCACGCCATTCTCCTGCCTCAGCCTCCCGAGTAGCTGGGACTACAGGCGCCCGCCACCGCGCCCGGCTAATTTTTTGTATTTTTAGTAGAGACGGGGTTTCACCTTGTTAGCCAGGATGGTCTCGATCTCCTGACCTCATGATCCACCCGCCTCGGCCTCCCAAAGTGCTGGGATTACAGGCGTGAGCCACCGCGCCCGGCCAGGAGGCAGCCTTTCTATCACGTCCATTTTATTCCAGAGGACGGTAAAGCTGGGAAGTTGTGTAAGTTGTCTAAGGCATTTGACCCAATTAGGTCCAAAGACTCTCTCACCTGCTCTCTCTCTTTCTCTCTCTCCACCCCTCTTCTCTGCACATCTCCTGATCACCCAAGAAGAAGGGGCTATGGTGGACATCATACCCACTCCTGTTCCATTGGCCAAAGGAAGTCATGTGGCCAAGCCCATGGTATCTGCTGCCATCCCATTGGTCAAAGCAAGTCACATGGCCCAGGCTCATCATATTAACTTCCATCCCATTGGCCAAAGCAAGTCACATGGCCAAGCTCATCCTATCTACTCCCATCCTATTGGCCAAACTAAGTCACGTGGCTAAGTTCATCATATCCACTCCCATCCCACTGGCCAAAGCAGGCCGCACCACCAAGCTCGTTGCATTCATTCCTCTCCCACTGGTGAAAGCAAGTTACATGGTTGAGCTCATGGCATTCACTCCCATCCCATTGGCCAAAGCAAGTCACATGGCCAAGCCCAAAAGCCATGGGGTAGGGGAGCACTCTTCATGCCAAGGGGAGAGAAGAAGATGAAAGTCCACTGAAAAACAGTGACCTCCATTATATATGCAAACTCAGGGTGAGGCCCTATCTTGGGCATTAGATGAGCTGAGTTGAAGGCTCAGCATGGCCAACAATTTGCTCTGCAGTCCTGAGGAAACCGTTTCCCCTCTGTGAGTCTCAGTTTGCCCGTGTCTGCAATGGGGTTAATTACATCATAAGACACCGGCTGTTGTGAGCAGCGAGATAATCCCCAAGGCTGCTGACAGTGAGAAGGAGGGCTGCCTAGGGTCCAAAGAGATGCAAGAGGCAGTGGCCAGTTTCCTGTCCACATCATCCCCCCAACACATACTGGTTCAGATTCAGTTCCATCTGAGCTGGGCTCCAGCTTGACCAGGTACCATGATGGCAGCTGCCGCCTCACTTCCAACACCATCTCCCGGACCACATGCCTGCTCACAAACCCTTTGGAATACTTCGGAGGCCCTCAGTGGCTTCACGTCTCATGGCCGAGGGTGGATTAGGCGGGGTGCCTAGATGCGGGGAGGACAGGCAGGCCTTCCCTTAAACAGTCAGCCAAGCATCACATGCCGCCTGTCAAAGGGGGGTTTCAGATGCGGGGATTATGAACACCAAGAGTACAATTTCCTGATAAAATAGAAGAGGCGATTAAGTTAATGAAGGCTCATTTTGCTGATTTGAAAACTATAATTAATAGACATTAATTGTATATTTAGAAGTTTAGTGTGGCGTGGGCTCAGGAGCCGTTGTCAAACACAATGACGTTGTAAGTACTGCATAATAGACCGAGCCCAGATGTTCCCCGAAGCCCCTCACGAGAGCTTTGCAAGGGGCTTCTCTAATGATAAAAGCTGCCTCTTGCTGTTCTGCTCTTCCTTTAATGACATCCTTTCTGAGACGATGCTTATCACTCGTGCTTTCATCTTTGGTTAAATAGCATATGGCCTCAGCTGATTAAAAACCCCTCCTGGTTTTAATCAGCAACTCGGGATCAGGTTTCTAATGGTGGCCGTGGTGGCCTTACCAGTCCCATGGTAAGGTTTTTGACCACATCTACATGTGGAGAAAGGGTGGTGGGAGTGAGGGGCTTGGAGCTGGCCCTGTCTGGGTCCTGGGTTGAAGGACAGCTGCTGTGGCCCTCCTGGAATGACCTGAGCCAGGGCCAGTTCCAGGGATGCCTTGGGGATCAGGCTGGGCTAGTTCAGGCAGTCTTCAGGGGACCAAGTTGGCTCAAGGCCAGGCCCGGCTCACCTTGGCTGTGGCTGGAAAGTTGGACTCTCAGATCCCCTCCTTCTTAGCAAAAGCTTCAATGTTTGAGGCAAACTCTGCAGGGTCCACCCAGCTAAGGAGGAAGAGGAAGGGCCACAGAAGAGACTCGAGCGATGGAATCAGATGATGGAGCTTGAATCCTGGTCCCACTGCCTGGTGGCTGTTTAGGCTGCACCAATTGGAGACTTGCTTTCTCATGATCATCAGATGACCTCTGTTAAGTCTCTTTTTATCCCCATTGTACAGATGAGAAAACTGAGGCTCATTCCAGGGTTGAGAGCTGACTAAGCTTGGTCTGTGAGTCAGGAAGGATGGTGATGCTCACAAAAAAGGGACACAGAAATGGGGGCCAGGAACTTTGAGGAGGGACTGTTCAATCCCCTCCCTTCTCCGATATGAGCCCCTTAAGGAATGGGATGGGACCATGTCTGTCCTGGTCATTATGGGAGAGCCAGTGCTGAGCACAGTGCCAGGTCTATGTCAGGTCAGTCCCCAACAGGTGTTTTGAGAGGTAGTGATCCCATGGGAGGTAGCAGAGTGGACCGCAGCTGGTGGCATCCAGCAGGCAGGTGACAGATTTCTATTGATCGCTGGCTCTGCACACACTCCCCCTGCGCTCTAGCTCCTCCTGCCTGCATGGGATCATAAGGCTCATTCTGGCCTATGGCTGGGAGTGGAAGTGCCTGGATGAAAGTATTTAAGAGCCAGTTCGTGTCTCTTTAGTTCTCTCTGCCCCTAAAGCCTCATGTTGACATGGCACAGCTGCAAGAGAGGAGGAGCCTGGTTTGCTGAGCTGTGGCATGGAAGAAAAGCGTCTTGGTTACAGAAATCAGCTGGGTGTCAGTCCCAACTATTCAGGAGGCTGAGACGGGAGGATCACTTGAGTCCAGGAGGTCGAGGCTGCAGTGAGCCGTGATTGTGCCACTGCTCTCAGGCTGGCAACAGAGTGAGACCCTGTCTCAAAAAGAAAAGAAAAGAAATTATCCTGGAGAGTCGCCTGCATTGCCCTGGACTTTGTGAGCATGAGAAGTACCCTGTGATATGTGAAGCCATGGAGAGTTAAGGTTATTGTCTGTATGCAGACTTACATTCCTGCCACAGAACCCAGCCCATTCTGACTACAAGGCAGAGTTTCTGAACTGGAGTTAGAGAGGGAGGGAGGGCTGGATTCAGGGATCTGGCTGGTGTGATCCTAGTTTGACAGGCTCAGGGTCATCTGGTCAACCCCTGCCTGGCACCCACAGCCCCTGGGCCATCCCCTCCTCTCTGTGTGCCAGACAAGGTAGGCTGTCGTATGGGGTCTCCTTGGTGGAGGAGGGTCCTCAGGAGGAGGCCCAGGAGAATGGGCCTGGAGGGACTTGGAGGTGGTGGCCCTTCCTTGCTTTGCCACCTTGCTTGATACAGGCCTGTGGGGAGAAGTGCGGGGGTCCTTATCCAAGCCCAGCCTCTGTAGCTGTGAAGGGTCCCCTAGACACTTGTGAACAGTATATTCTGGGCCCCCCACATCTGTTCTCAATACTAAATAATTTGTTTTCTTCTCTGAGCATATTTAATTCATTTAATGTCTGAGGCAGTGGCGCTCAAGCAGCAGTTAACATTGGAGTCACCCAGAGGCCTTGTTAAAACCCACCTTTCTGGCCCCACACCCAGAGCTGCTAATTCAGTGGGTCTGAGGCAGGGCCTGAGAATGTGCATCTCCAACAAATTCCCAGATGATGCTGATGCTGCTGATCTAAGGACCATATTTGGAGAACCATTGGTCTGAGGCTTCTATGCCCCCAGTTCTTGGAAAACCAGCCCCTCTCCCAGAGCACCTTGCCCTGGCATTGGTGCCCCACCCTGCTCATTCTGATCCTCACTGCATCCCCACGCTGCCAGCCTTTCCTCAACCCCAACTGCTACCAGGGCCTGTAACCCACTGGGATAACTGTGAGGGGGTGGGGGTGGTCCAGGGCAGCCTGATCTCCCTGTGTCAGGCCTTCCTGACTTTCAGGACTGCTGTCTTTGTCCCAGACACACAGCCCCACAGAGACTTGAAGGCAGCTACATAATCATGACTCTTTTGGTTGCAAGTAACAGAATCCAAATTCAATGTGGTTTATGCCTAAAAGAGAATTGATTGGCTCTGGAAAGATCCAAGAGCTAGCTCTAGGGCCTTCAGGCATGGCTGGATCCAGAAGCATAATCAGTGTTGTCAGTCTCCCTCTCTCCTAGCTGAAAAGTGAAGGAGGAAGCACTGAGTGGGTGCCAGGATAAGGAGGTGAGAGTAGGCATGCCAAAGTTCCTTGTCCCTGCTGGCTCAGTTCCCGAACCTGTATAGTGGGACTGTCAGGTTCAAGGAGAGGGACATTGGTTGCAGGACTCACAGGGTTGCAAGGACTTTTGATCATTTTTTCAGGCTGTCTGCTGGGTGGGAAGACACCCAGGCTGAGATCACAGCAAAGGCGTGACCTACGACAGGAATTCTTTCTGTGGTATCCCATTTGAATGGGCCTGATAAGGTTTGGATGTGTGTCCCATCCAAATCTCATGCTGAAATATGATCCCCAGTGTCGGCGGTGGGACCTGGTGGGAGGCATTTGGGTCCTGGAGGCAGATCCCTGATGAATGGCTTGGTGCCTTCCCATGGTAATGAATAGGTTCTCTGTAGGTTCATAGGAGAGCTGGTTGTTTAGAAGAGCCTGGCATCTCTCTCTGTCTCTATCTTGCCCTCTCTCTCACCATGGGATGCCCGCTCCCCTTCACCTTCCACTGCAAGTGAAAGCTTCCTGAGGTCCTCACTAGAAGCAGAGGCCAGGACTATGCTTCCTGAACAGCCTGCAGAACGCTGAGCCAAATACATCTTTTTTCTTTATGAATTACCCAGCCTCAGGTATTCCCTTATAGTGATGCAAAATGGACCAACACAGGGCCTCAGTTTCCCAGTCTGTACTTGCGGCCTCTAATAGAGACTCTTCCAGTGTTGGCCTGTGATGAGGCTGGAAGGGGCTGAAATTGTGCCTAGAAATGTGGCTAGAGGTAGAAAAAACTGTATTTGCCAAGTCCTTAGGGATTGTTGCAGGGGGTGAGGTGCCTGAAGATACATGTTCAAGTGATAAAAGATCATCAGAAATGACTGTCTTTTGTCACAAATGAAAAGAAGTAACAGGTTAATCAAAAAAGACAGTTCAGGCCCGGCACCGTGGCTCATATCTGTAATCTCAGCACTTTGGGAAGCCGAAACAAACAGATTGCCTGAACTCAGGAGTTTGAGACCAGCCTGGGCAACATGGTGAAACCCCGTCTCTACAAAAAATACAAAAATTTGCCAGGCGTGGTGACTACTGCGGAGGCTGAGGCAGGGGAATTGCTGGAACCCGGGAGGCAGAGGTTGCTGTGAGCCAAGATTGCGCCATTGCACTCCAGCCCGGGTGACAACAGTGAGACTCCGTCTCAAAAAAAAAAAAAAAAAAAAAAAAGCCAGGTGTGGGGGCACATGCCTGTAGTCCCAGCTACCAGCTACTTGGAGGCTGAAGTAGGAGGATCATTTGAGCCGGGATGCAGAGGTTGCAGTGAGCTGAGATGGTGCTACTGCACTCCAGCCTGGGTGGCAGATTGAGACCCTGTCTCAAAAAAAAAAAAGAGAGTTTACATAGTCAGATGCAGCTTGATCTAGGAGTTTGAGATCATCAGGACAGGACTCAGCATCTGTCCATTTCCCACCCTATCTTTTGGCTCCATTTCCGAAGTTCCTCTTGGCCAAACTCCCTGCAGCTCCAGGCTCACAGCCCTACCCCAAGCCCAGCAGGAAGGGGCGTCTTCTCCCTCTCTGAGCAGTCAATCTCAAAAAGCCCAAGATTGCTCCTGTTTGGTTCTGATTAGGTCACATGCCCAGTTTGAAGTCCATCGCTGTGGCCAGGTCTGAGTCATACACACAGCCCCAGCTCTGGGGATGGAGTCAGTGCCTCCTGAAGGGTGGGTACCCTAAAGCAAAATTAGGAAGCTCTGCCCGGGAGAAGGGGAAATGCAGGCTGAGCAGCCCACCCAACTGATGTCAACTACTGGCGCCAAATTATCAGCCTGCCTGAGGACCCCTCCTCTGCCCTTGCCTGCAGCCTCCTCCCTTATCTCTGCACCCCCACTCTACTCAATGCTAAAAGCCACCCAGCCCAAGATGCCTTGCGATTCTCCTTCCTCCAGGCGAAGGAAAGGGGGCTGCAACCACATTCTCTCATTCGTTTCTCTGACATCTTTTGTCACCTATCAGGGGAACAAGTAATTCCTTTGATCATAGCAAAAGGAGGAAGAGTATTTAAAACACGGCCTGTGAAGATTTGCTAAGCAGAAATTGGGAAAGGCAGTCAGTGGCAGGTTTCAAAGCAGAAACATGATTTCTAGGCACCAGACTTGCTTGTCTGAGTATTGTTAAAAAGGATGTACTCCACACACTCACCTGCAGCCTGGGTTTTTAAATGGGCCAAGGGACCCCGAGGTGGGGAGAGGGTCCCCAAGGGACTTGATGGGAGGGGTTTCTGGGAGGAAAGCGGCAGCTCAGAATTCCATTCATTATGCATTGGAGCCCAGCACAGCTGAACGCTCAGAGGAAGGAGTGCTGGGCTGCGAGCTTGAGAATTGGTGTTGCCCCTGGCACTCTGTGTGACTCCAGACCCGTCCTTTCCCTCTCTGGGCCTCAGCATCCATTCCGGATCAGGGGCCGGATCAGAATTCAGAATCTACCTTCTTTCCCTCAGGCCTCCTTCACATTTTCTGCCATATCCACCATCACCTGACCCTGCTTTCCATTTAATATGGAACATTTCTGTCACCACCATAAATGAAAGAAATGGTATCAGCCCATAATAAGAAAAACCACCACAAAAATACATGCAGTGAAAAACAACGTGGCCATCGATTCTAGCTGGACAACTGTGGCCTGCCCTAAGCAGCAGGAGGGGGCTTCCCTCTTGTTAAAAATGGAGATATGGCCGAGTGCAGTGGCTCACGCCTGTCATCCCAGCACCTTGGGAGGCTGAGGTGGGTGGATCACTTGAGGTCAGGAGTTCGAGACCAGTCTGGCCAACATGGCAAAACCCCGTCTCTACTAAAATTACAAAAATTAGCCAGGCGTGGTGGTGCACGCCTATAATCCCAGCTACTCGGGAGGCTGAAGCAGGAGAATCACTTGAACCTGGGAGGTGGGGGTTGCAGTGAGCTGAGATCCTGCTACTGCACTCCAGCCTGGGTGACAGAGTGAGATCCTGTCTCAAAAAAAAAAAAAAAAAAAAAAAAGATTGAGAAGTGTCAGGGAAGGCCTAGTGAGTGCAGCCAGCATGTGGAGCAACAGGAGCAAAACACCCCACAGAAGTGGTCAGTGTTTCTGAGGATCAAGAGGGCAAACACAGACTGGGTGCGGTGACTCACAACCATAATCTCAGCAGTTTGGGAGGTGGAGGCCAGAGGATCGCTTGAGGCCAGGAGTTCAAGACCAACCTGGGCAACATGGCAAGACCTTGTCTCCACAACAAAATTTTTTAAATTTTTTAAAAAATTAACAAATTAGCCAAGCATGGTGGTGCACATCTGTGGTCCCAGCTCCTTGGGAGGCTGAGGTGGGAGGGTCACTTGAGCCAGGGAGATTGAGGCTACAGTGAGCTGTGATTGCACCACTACACTCCAGCCTGGGTGACAGAATGGGACTCTGTCTCAAAAAAAAAAAAAAAAAAAAAAAAAGATGGCAGACACAAGTGGGAGAGGTCATCTGGGCCAGATGAGGCCAGATATGGAGGCTGAGTGGAGAAGCTTGGACTTTATGCTAAGAATGAGGGGAATCCCGTGAAAGCTTTGAGCCAGGGAGTGAGATGATCCATTTATCATTTTGAAAGGGCTGTCTGACAGCTGTGTGGAGAGTGGATTGGAGGAGGCAAGGCAGGAAGGAAACGGTGAAGGAGATGTTAGATTTGGGGGCAGTGGCGCCTGGGCGGGGTGGAACTGGGGAGGGGGGGATGGGGTGAGTTGGGCCATATTGGAAGGTAGGACTGAAAAAACTGGGAGGTGGATTCAAGGCCTGGTGTTTGCTCCGCCACCCCCAGATGTGGGTCCAGGGGCCAATGGATAAGGAGTGAAACAGACCCATCCCGCCCTCTAATAGAGGAAAGGAAGTAGAAAGGGAGCTGTACTTTAAGAGTGGCCCAGACAGGGTGCTGTGGGGCCCTCTGGGAAAGGGTGAGAGCTTTGACACTGCAGATAAGGCTGGATCAACTACCATTTGGTTCAGTCCCTGAAACATCACTTATTTCAGAAAATCCGGGGATGTCAGGTGAGCATGCTCCTAGGACAACCCTTTCGTTTCTGTTGTGGGTTGAATTATGTTCCCTGTAAATATATGTTCAAACCCTAACCCTTGCTACATGTGATATGACCTTATTAGGAAATAGGGTCTTCGAAGATGTCACCAAGTTCAAATGAGGTCATACTGGCTTGGAGTGGGTCCTAATCCAGTGACTGGTATTTTTATTAGAAGGGAGGAATTTGCTAGGCGTGGAATTTGCTAGGCATGGTGGCTCATGCCTGTAATCCCAGCTACTCAGGGGGATCGCTTGAGCCAGGAGTTCAAGACTAGCTTTGGCAACATAGCCAGACACTTATCTCTAAAAAAAAAAAAAAAAAAAAATCAGAGGGCGATTCGGGCACAGAAGCACACAGAAGAGAGAAGGCCATGTGAAGACAGAGGCAGAGACAGGAGTGAAGCAGCTACAGAGCGAGGAACGCCAAGTTTTGCTGGAAGCTGCCAGAGGCCAGGTGAGAGGCGTGGAACAGATTCTTCCCTAAAACATCAGAGGGAGCATGGCCCCACCAACACCTAGATTTCAGACACCTAGTCTCCAGACCTTGCTTACACCTCTCAGTTTGTGTTTGTTACCACAGCCCCAGGAAACATACAATCTACAAGTAGAGAAATGGAGCCCCCAATAAGTGGAGGGACTGGCCCAAGTGCAGCCAGTGCTCCAGTTCATCTAAACCCTGTGGAATGAAATCAGGGAGGGATGTCCTCCTGAAGAAGAATAACCAGCTGCTATTTCCAGTAAGAGCCAGGCAGGAAAAACCCAGAGACACCTAATGCATGACTCGCGGTTCAGTGCTCCCTCCCGGGCGCCTCTGGCTCCTCCCCACCTGGGGAATGCTCTGGAGCATCTCATCACACCTGTAGACCAACCCCTGCAGCCTGCCCATAGCCCCGGAGTAAAGAGGCTGCAAAGACACAGGGGAAAATCTGTCTTGGCGAGGGCTGCTCTGCCGAAAGCCTGCTACACAAGGGCTGTGCAGTGAGGTGCAGGGAGAGGAGTCATGAGAGATGACCCCCAAGGAAAACAGCCAAGGGTCTCAGTGGACCCTCCTGCTAAACATGGTGATGCTGTATAGAAGTGGGGTCCTGAAATCTCATGACTGGATGATTTCATCCCAATGACTCCAAGACTTTTTTTTTTTGAGACAGGGTCTTGCTTTGTCACCCAGGCTGCAGTGCAGTGGCACAATCATAGCTCACTGCAGCCTCGAACTCCTGGGCTCAAGTGATCCTCCCACCTCAGCCTCCCAATTATCTGGGACTATAGGCATGCATCACCATGCCCAGCTAATTTTTTAATTTTTTGTAGAGATGGCATCTCACTATGTTGCCCAGGCTGGTCTTGAATTCCTGACCTCCAGGGATCCTCCCACCTCAGCTTCCCAAAGTGCTGGAAATTACAGACATGAGCCATGGTACCTGGCCTCCACATGCGTCATTTTGAAAAATTCATGTTTAAAAAAGAAATCAGGTTTACACCTTTCTTTTGGGGTGCATGCTTTTGTTTCTAAACACTTGGAATAGGAAAACAACCCTAGAGGCAAGAGGTAGGAGAGCTGAGTTCAAGTCTTTGCTCTTCTACTCATTCCTTCTGTGGCTCTGAGGCTCTTTTTCCATCAGCAAAACCATCCCAGTGGCTCCCAAATGGTGCTCCATCAAAGCCTAGGGGTGCCCTCGATAGGCCTAAGGCAGAGCTCCCTTGCTTCCCAGCTAGAAAAACTTGGCTTTGGCCTCTTTTACATGTTGAGTTTCTGTATCAAATTCCATTTGAAGAAAAGACTCTGTGGCTTAAAAAAAAGTCTGTACCTTGCACTGCAGCAGCTCTGTAATCCCTTCCAACCCAAATATCCCAAGATTCTCCATCAGAATGACAAATGTTCTTCCAACAGCCTTCGTCCTGTTTAGAGGTTGTCATTAAGTGTTCTTTCTGCTGACTGCTTCCTGGAGAGTGGCCTCATGTTTATCCACAGGAGCCTTCATCTTCTGGGGCATGATGCTGCTGAGCACGATCTTCATGCTGGGGCCCTGGGGGACCCTGGGAGAGAGGAGAAAGCAAGCATGGGGACGAGGTGGCGCTCTTTTGAGAGCCCAGAGGCTTGGCATCCCAAGGCTGGGGAAGAGGCTTCAAGGAGAGCAGGCTGGGATGGGTGGGCAGGGTGGCACAGTGGGTAAAGCACAGGCTCTGAAGTCAGATCCCAGCTCTGTCTCTTACAAGCCATGTGACTGTGGGCTAAGCTCTTGTTTTCAGTCCTTTCACCTTAAAATGGGGGCAGTAATAAGGCCTACCTCATAGGGCCACTGTAAGGGTTAAGTGGGCCAAGTTCATAAGGTACTAAGCCAGGGCCTGGCATGAGTGCCCTCCACATACAAGGCATGGGTAATTGGTGGCTATATTTATGTGGAGGCTGCTTGGAGTCTCAGAGCGAATCCAGGGAAGGCAGGAGCATTGGATGGACTGGTGCTGATCACTTCCTATCCCAGACAGGTCCTTTCAGGAACCCTGTGCCAACACATCCCCAGATCTCACTACTGTCTACAGACAATGTATCAGCTAGCTATTCCTACATAACAAACAGCCCCAAAACAACAATAACATCTGATTTGAGTTCACAAAACACATGGCTGAGAATTGGCTGATCTTGGCTGAGTTCACCCACATGTCGGAGTGGGCTGGCGTCAACGGATCTCAGCTGCCCTTGGCTCAGATCCATGTGTCACCTCATCCTGTGTCTCCAGCCGGATACCCTGGGCATTTTCTTCTCATGACAACAACAGAAGCTCAAGGGGGCAAGTGAAATGCACGAGGTCTCTTGAGGCCAAGGCTTGGAGCTGGCACACTGTCCCTTCTGCCACATGACATGGGCCGAAGCCAGTGTCCAGGACAGCCCGGACTCAAAGGGGAGGGAAATTAACCGTGCTTGTTTAGTGACAAGAACTGCAAATGTGTGTGGCAAATGGCATGGAGACGAGGGATGAAGACCCAGGCCATCCCTGCAATTCACCACACACTAGTATGTTAAGGAGGTGCCTGTGAGGAACTTTTGGCCCCCTAGCTGGTTGCTATTCCTGATTCTTTCCTTAGGGAATCTGGGGCTTTGGGGTCAGAACACTGTGCTCGCCTCAGGCTCAAACTCTAGCTCTGTCTGACTGCTATCATACTTGGTGCCTAATAAATATTGACTTTATATTTGCTGCCCCAATTTATTCTTTTATTAACATATTTATATTTTTAAATTTTAACATTTTGTTTTTGTTTTCTGTTGTTTTTTGGTTTGTTTTTTGTTTTTTTGAGACAGAATCTCACTCTGTTGCCCAGGCTGCAGGGCCTTGGCACGATCTCGACTCACTGCAACCTCTGCCTCCTGAGTTCAAGAAATTCTCCTGCTTCAGCCTCTCAGGTAGCTGGGATTACAGGCTCCCACCACTACACCCAGCTAATTTTTGTATTTTTAGTAGAGGCAGGGTTTCACCATGTTGGCCTGGCTGGTCTCAAACTCCTGACTTTAGGTGATCCGTCCGCCTCGGCCTCCCAAAGTGCTGGGATTACAGGCATGAGCCTCCGCACTCGGCCAATTTTAACATTTTTAAATTTTAATTTCTTTTTGTAGAGACAGGGTCTCACTATGTTGGCCAGGCTGGTCTCAAACTCCTGGCCTCAAGTGATCCTCTCACCTCAGCCACCCAAAGTGCCGGGATTACAGGTGTGAGTTGCTGCACCCAGCCTATTAAGATATTCTTATTGTGAAATAGAACACACGGAGAAAAGTGCATAAAAGTGTACAGCTTAACAAATTATTACTAAGCAAATACTTTTACAACCATCACCCTAGAGTAAGAACTGAGACTCCTCACTGTCCCCATCCCAGTCAAAACCTCCTCACCCCCTCGAAGTGATAACCACCATCTCAACTTTTATAGTAACCCTTTCTGCTTTTTTTAATTTCAGGAGTTGTGATGGTTAATTTTATGTCAGCTTAACCGGGCCATGGGATGCCCGGATGTCTGCTTAAACATTATTTCTGGGTATGTCTGCTAGGATAGATTAGCATTGGAGTTGATGCCCTGAGTGTGACAGACGGTCTTCCCCCATGTGAACGGGCATCTTCCAACTCACTGAAGGCCTGTTCGGAACAAAAAAGGCAGAGGACCGTTGGATTTGCCTCCTCTCTGATCGCCAAGCTGGAGCCTGGATCTCCTGCTCTTAGCATTCTTGGTTCCCAGGCCTGCAGACCTGGACTAGAGTCTACACTGTCAGCTCGCTGGCTCTCAGGCCTTCAAACTGCACCACCGGCCTTCCTGGGTCTCCAGCTTGCAGATGGCAGATGCTGGGACTTCTCAGCCGCCATAATTCTAGGAGCTCATCGCTTATACTAAATCTCATTATATGCAAATATATAGACATATACTATATGTCCATATCCATATCTATCTCTGCTCTTGGTTCTTTTTCTCCGGAGAACCCTAGTACAGGAGTTTTGCCATCTAAGCAAGCATGCTTCAGCCCTCTGGTTGAGTCCGACCTGCCCTTGGCCTTCAGGAAATGGAACCACACAGGCTGCATCCGTCTGTGTCTGGCTTCTTTCATGCAGTCTCTTGTGAGGTTCATCCACTTCCTTGTGTCCAAGCATAGCTTGTTTCATAACTGCCTCATGTTCCACATAAGAATACCCCAAGTCCCTTCTCTGTTTTATGGTTCGCAGACACTTGGGTTGTTTCCAGCTGGGGGACAGTATCAGGAGCTGTTCCTGCTGTGCAGTTGTGGTACATGTCTTTTGGTGAGCATGCTTGCCTATCTGTCTATAGGGTATATTCCTAAGGGCGGCATTGCTGGGTACTTACAGGACAGTTTACGTTCAGCTTTGAGGAATGGTGCCAAATGGTTTTCTTAAGTGGTTGTACCATTTATACTCTAACAAGCAGGGAACGTCATTTCTCTTTTCTTTTCCTCCCAGCCTCCTTCCATTTTCCTTTCTTATACTTATTTATCCAACCCACATTACTCACAGTCTCTATAGCCTTGTGTGTCTACTGGTGAATTAAAAGGTCACTAGTGGTGTCCTCTGGGAGTCCTCTTCTCACTCCCCCAGTTCAGTAGGCAGATGGGTGGGGAGTCCCCCACGCCATCTGGGTCCTGAAAAGGTGGGAGATGGGATCTGGGAGGAGCAGGTTATTCAATCTCTCCCCCTGGAAAGCGACGTGGCGCGGGCCTTACTGGGGAAGGGCCTCTCCCCCCAGACCGAGAGAGGCGCAGTTAGGCCCGTTCTCGGAAGCCATGGCCGATCCTGCTCCTGGGGGCGCTGATACTGGCTATTTGCAGCGCCCTCTCTTGTGAAACCCTGCGGATTCCGCTTGCGGGAAGTGGAGGGCGGTGGCCTCCGCCTTTTGGGGCTTCTGGGCTGAGGGAAGAGGATGGAGGGGCAGAAAGGGAGTGAGGTCCCAAACCCCAAGTGGAGGTCGCCCGGGGACCCCCCATCAAAACACTTGCTGGGGAGAGGTTATAGAGGCAGCAAAGCTCTTTCCAGCATGATTTCAAATCCCGTCTAAGGGCTTTCAGAAGCCTGGAGAAAGTTTCGGTTTCCCAGCTGTTTCAGCTTTTTCCGCCCGCACCGCGGCGATGCGTTCGGAGCCGCCGAGGCGGCAGCGCCATCTGCTGTCTACTTTTTAAATTGCAGGATCAGATCCTCTCGGTCTCTCCAGACCTGCCCCGTGGAAAGGGAATAAGATTAAACCAGTAAAAATAGCTTAGATCACCTGAGGTCAGGAATTCGAGACCAGCCTGGCCAACATGGCGAAACCCCGTCTCTACTAAAAAAAGTACAAAAATTAGCCGGGCGTGGTGGCGGGCGCCTGTAATCCCAGCTACTCAGGAGGCTGAGACAGGAGAATCGCTTGAACCCAGGAGGCGGAGTTTGCAGTGAGCCTATATCACGCCACTGCACTCCAGGCTGGGAGACAAGAACGAGACTCTGTCTCAAAAAGAAAAAAATAGTTTAAAGGCCAGGAGCGGTGGCTCATAGCTGTAATCCCATCACTTTGGGAGGCCGAGGTGAGTGGATCACAATGTCAGGAGTTCGAGACCAGCCTGGCCAACATGGTAAAACCCCTGTCTCTACTAAAAATACAAAAATTAGCCAGGCGTGGTGGCGGGCGCCTGTAATCTCAGCTGCTTGGGAGGCTGAGGCAGGAGAATCAGTTGAACCCAGGAGGCAGAAGTTGCAGTGAGCCAAGATCGTGCCACCGCACTCCAGCCTGGCCACAGAGCAAGACTCCATCTAAAAAAAAAAAAATTTAAAATGCCGACAGCCACTGTTATGCAAAGTTCAAGGGCCTCTCTCACACTTAGCTGGGGGAGGAGTGAATACAGCCTTTCTGAAGAAAGAAAAATTAAGTAATAGCAAAATCATTAAGTGTTTATGATTCATAAATACAGTTTTTGTCAACTAAAAAAATAAAATATGTAGAAGTCAAAAAAGTGTCTATGATTCAGAAATGCCACCGTTAGAAGTTGCCATAAGAGTGCACACAAAAAGGACATATGGGTCAAAGTGTTTGCAGCAGTGTTGTCCCAAATAAGGACATTTTGCAACATTGTGGGGTGGTTAAAATAACTATAGAATATGCATTAGAATACAATGAAACCATTAAACATAATGTGGAAGAATATTGTATATTATAGGGAAATGCTCATAATATATAGTGACAATTTAAAAAGCAGATTACAAAACAATATGCCAAGACATGATTTCTGCCCAAGTCTGCCCTGATGGGTGAGCTAACCAAGGTTGCTGCACTGTGAGGGCATAGGGGCTGCCCCTCAGCCCCCACCCCAGCCACTGGGCTCCTCAGGAAAGGACACGTGAGTGTTTACTGCACATCCTACAGATGAGGAGCTCACAAGGACCCTGGATGGGGGAGTCCTCTGAGGTTGCTGGAGCTGCTGCAGCCATCTTGTCACTGCCAGGGGAGAGCTCTCTCTGAGAGCGAAGGCACAGTGGAGGAAAGCAGAACTAAGAAGAGACAGAGAAAGCGAAAGTGGGAGAGAGAGAGAGATATGAGGTGACAAGTGTGGGTCCTTGGATCCTGCTTGGTGTAAAGCTAGCCTGCTCCTGGACTTTACAGATAATAAATTCCTTCCTCATCAGATTAACCTGGGTTTTTGTGGCTTGTAACCAAAAGGGTCTGCACGGCCCACACACAGGCTCCCAGCTCATTTCCTTTGCAATGAGTGGTAACTGGAGGCGGGCGGTGCATGGACCTGCCTTGCAAGGCTTCTCTGTTAGTGGTGCCTGGAGCCCACTCTCTCAGCTGGCACAGCCAGTGTGACACATCAGTCCGGGTGTGTCCTGGACCTACCCCCTTTCTGGGTGCAAACCAGAACTGAGGATGCCGAGGGTGGTGGGGGGGTAGTTTCCTGCCTCAGGGCTGTGCTCCTGCTACCTCTTTGCCTAAAATTCTCCCCTCTCTGTGCTCCCAGGGCCAGCTCCTTTGTATGCTCTGTGATTCTTTGAACAGCGCCCCCTCTGAGAAGCCTTCCCTGACCACCTGGCTGAGGACATCATTCTGTCCCAGCTTCCATTTGCTTTGGGAGTGGCCTCCTGACACTTCACTTCCGTGAGGCAGGGACCAGTTCTGTCCTGGTCACTGCTGTATCCCCAGCTCTAGATAAGGCCTGAGACATCGTAGGAGTGCCAGGGATCTTTGGTTACTGAGAAAACGAGCAGCTAGATCAAGGTTCCCAACACCAACACGCTGGGGACATGTTGGGAGTCAACTTAGCCCTACCAGCAGGTGGAACTAGTTTTGCTGCTCCAAAACAGAGTTCTAGCTATGGGGACAGCCACTAGAGAGCAGAGCTAAGTCCATGCTATGCTGAGGGGCCACAGTCTGCCCTGAACTGTGCCTCCCAGCCTGGAGCTAGTGAGGGGGCCGAGCCTGGGAGCTGACAGATGAGGGCTCGGCGTGGGGACTTTTGGAGGGGAGGGCATTTTCTTGATCTTACCATGGGGGCAACAGCTAGATGGGTAGGGGGGGACCCACTCAAGGACATACTGCGGCTTCAGGCTTCGACCAGCCCAGAACGCTCGCTCCATCTGAGGGTCTTGATATCAGGGTGTGGCGTCAGGAGCCGGAGCCTACGGGTTGAAAGCCAAGAGTGGGCAATCAAAGCTGAAACCAGGCCCACGACTTAGGAGCTGGAGAGCACA
The DNA here is from genome assembly GCF_000001405.40 of Homo sapiens. Taxonomy (NCBI): domain Eukaryota; kingdom Metazoa; phylum Chordata; class Mammalia; order Primates; family Hominidae; genus Homo; species Homo sapiens. Next base: position 50,668,114 of record NC_000016.10, read on the forward strand.
CAGGGCTGAACACTCGAGTTGGTGACCAGGAAACCAGGGAGCAAAGTCTCCAGGGTGCTTGGGCAAGACCCCAGATGGTCTGCAGCAACGCACGGGCAACACGGGATGATCAGCGCTACGTGGTGAGAAACTTACCTCCTTTTGCAGGACAACATTTTCCAGTCCTTCTGAGTAAATCAAAGAGAAGTCTCAGCTTGGTGATTGCAGGTCTCTAATGCTTATTTCTCTGTCTCTGTCTCTCTCTCTTTTAACAAAAGTCTACCAGCGGCCTCAGGCTCAGGGCCTGTCTCAGGTAAAAGCGGGTTAGGGTGTAATAACAGTGATCGGTTTCATTGTGTTTATTTTTGTAGCTACTTTCTAATTATAGCAAGTGATTCTGAGTTTCCATTTAGGATAGTAATAGGAAGTTTCTTTTTCAAGTAAATGTGCATAAGTAAAAGGAGACTGCTCAAAGGAAAACAGCTGGTGATTGATAGAACAGGCTGTGGCATTGTTGGGCCCCAGAGGGAAGGGCTGTGTGAGCATGCAGGAAATTCTGGGAAGGCAGCTAAATGCAGTTGCTGCATGGGGGCCAGGAAGCATTTGGAGACGTGGCTGGGCACAGCTTGGCTTTTGAGCCCAAGAGAGGCCTGCTGGGGATGTGTTGGGAGCCAACCTACCCCTACCAGCAGGTGGAACTGGTTTTGCCACTCCAAAACAGAGTTCCAGCTATGGGGACAGCCACTAGAGAGCAGAGCTAAGGGCATTCTAGGCCAAGGGGTCACAGTCCACCCTGAACTGTGCCTCCCAGCCTGAAGCCAGAAAGCTCAGGGAGGCTAGCGGCCCTGCCCAGGCCTCAGCACTGACCCTGCACCCCTAGGCCCAGCTGGATGACCCCTAAGAGCTTCCTGGAATTTGGATGCAGGGTTATTCTGTGTGTGCTGCCTCTCAGAGCATGTCACTTTGACGTGGACATCTCGGGTCTGGTTCTGGTGCTGTCCCTGTCTCGCCACGTGACCCTGGATAAGTCATCTCTCCAGGCCTTGATTTCCCCATCTGTAAACAGAGGTGAGTGAAATGATCTTTAAAGGCGTGTCAGTCCATTTTGCATTGCTATAAAGGAATACCTGAGGTTGGGTAGCTTATAAAGAAAAGAGGGTTATTTGGCTCACAGTTGTGCAGGTTGTACAGAAGCATGGCACCAGCATTGCTTCTTGTGAAGCTTCAGGAAGCTTCCACTTATGGTGGAAGGGGAAGGGGGAGTTCGTGACTTACATGGCAAGAGAGGGAGCAAGAGCCATGTCAGGCTCTTCTAAACAACCAGCTCTCATGTAAACTAACAGAGTGAGAACTCATTCATTACCACGGGGAGGGCACCAAGCCATCCATGAGGGACCTGCCCCCATGAGCCAAACATCTCCCACCAGGCCACACCTTCAACACTGGGAGTCACATTCAGCATGAGATTTGGAGGTGACCACCATGCATCCAAACCATATCAAGGACCCATTTCGGTGAGGGGACCAGGAACATATCCCTTCCCCTCTCCTCCACATCCTTTAATGTGGAGTTCAGCAAGGAAAGTAGGGCTTGGGTCAAATTAAAGCCTGGTCTTAATTTCCTGGTCCAGTTATTAGCTGTGTAACCCTGGGCAAGTCACTTAACCCCCTCAGGTTACAATGTTACAAATGATCACATTTTCCTCAACTGAAAAATGGGATAGGAACATGTCCCAAGCAGAGCTGGAGTGACGGTGCTATCAATGGCCCGGCAGTGCCTGGTCACACAGTAGGCCTGGGGAGCCCTGACTTTTACCGCACAGGGAGCTGCTTGCAGAGCTTGTTTTCAATTGTGGGCTTGGCAGGGAACTGCCGGCATCCCAGGGGACAGGGTCTCATGAGGATGCCTAATCCCAGCTCAAAGTGGAGACCCCAGGACTCCATCACAGCCAGTGGGGGGGAGTGGCTGCTGCAGCAGGGAGGGCTTCATTGGAATGAACCCCTTTAAGCTCCAGTCCAAATGCCCAGAGTGGTTTTGCAGGTATGGTTGTGAGGCTGGCATGGTAGTCCCATCTGCAGTCCCCTGGGATGAGGCACCTGTATGGTAGAGGGCCCGGGTGGAGAGAAGAGAAGGATGGGGATGAACCCAGGACCACAGATGGCCCAGTTCCATGGATGATTTTCATTGAGGTGCCTTCAAGTCAGTTCAACACTGGGCTTCTCAACCTTTGAGGTATGCAGGTAAGAGTCACCTGCGGCAGTGGGGGATGCTCTTGTTAAAGTGCAGACTCCGATTAAGCAGGTCTAGGGTGGGGCCTGAAATTCTGTGTTCCTAACAAGGCTCCATCCTGGGTATGGAGGTCAGGTACCCCCTCACCTCTCCTGTGGACCCAGCTTTTGAGGGGTCAGGAGAAGAATGTTCAGTCCCAGCTGCCACCACTCTAAAGTCCCCTAGAAACAAGGACTAATACAGGTGGCGTGGGAGAGGGCCCAGGCAAACAGGGAGGTGGGGTACCCCGGTGGGGCTGCAGTGGGCCCTGCGGAAAGCTTGCTGGAGGTGGGGGCCTAAGGAATTCAAGGACTTGTTCCAGGAACCCAAGGAACGAGTGGGCTCTAACTGCTGCAGCATATGGGAGATGCCAGGAGGAGCTGGCTGTGGCAGGCCATCCCAGTCCATCAGACAACTTGTAGTGGATGAAGATGCAGTGTCCATGGCCAGAAGAAACTCCCGTGGATGCTCAGGCCAAGGCTGCCAGAAGCACGAGGAGGGGCAGCATTGAGTGTCATCGGGAAAAGGCAAAGTGATGGTCCTGAAGCTGCCCCATGTGGCCAGTCCCTTTTTGGGAAGCCTGAATAAATCCATTTCCTGTGCACTGTGTGGGAAGCCAACCCCTCTTCAGAGGTACTTATGGGGAACCCCCCATGTGATTCTATAGGCTCCTTTACTCCCATATAAGTATTTTCTCTCTGTGTGCACCCCCCGCCCCACCCCCCCAACACCCCACACATATCATCTATCTGTGATTTTGAGATGACTTTTTTTTTTCACATTTCAGCACCTCTGAACTCAACAGGATCCTACACTTCTTATAGGCCTGGCTTGATGCTGACATCCTTCAGCCCCAGGGAAGACCTAAAGATCTCCAGGTCTTGAGGCACCTGGAACACCTCCACCTGAGACCACTTTAACATGATTTCTCTGCTTGAGGGATTTTGGACCATGCTGTGTGTATTCAGCCCTAAAACATGGGCGAGTGCCCGCTTGCAGTTCAAATTCTCAGAGGAAGTTCCCTGTACTCCACCCAGTGCCAAGTTTAGTTTGTGCAAATTTCCTTAATGTCCCCTCCTGTACAACAGGCTTATTTGGTGTTAACCCTCATATCGGGGGTCTAACTCTTTGCTTTTCCAGCTTTTGTGCTGGAATATCCCATTAAACTGTCCATGTTGGGTATTTTTTCTTTGTTAGTAAACATTTGTTGCATATTGTTGATAGCATTTTAGATTTGAAGAAATAACTGACAAAATCAATATCATCTGTTTCATCATTACAAATAGACTCATAGCTCTTTAATTTTTCCATTTAACACTTTAATTTTCCATAGGCCTAGATTTTCAAGAAGTCCAATATCTCTCACTTGAAGTGTCTTTTCCCTGGAGTAGATTGGGAGATTTGAGGGATATCTGTCCAAAGATGAGACAGTCTGTTTCTAGTTTCCCATCCAGCCTGATGGGGCGTCTACAGTTTTTACCACAAGGTGTCGCTGTTGAACAGATTCTGGTGCAGTCTAGTGCATAGCTGTCCACTTCTAGAGTGATCACTTGCTGGGCCAAGTTCCTCTCCTTAAGTGGTGTCTCACATTAAGGTTCCCAAATTACAGACTCATTAATTCACCCTAATAAGCTCATCCAGGCAGTTTAGGTCTTCAGGGGCTTCCAGCCTCCAACACACATTGGGCCAAAACCAGCCTGTACCACCAGCTCCAAGCCCTGTGTTGAATCTAGGTCATTGGTCCAGATGCCCCTTCATTCTGGGCCTGTGGTGTCCTTTCCAGACAGCAGACCTCAGTTAAGGGCATCCCAGTCCATCAGAGAAGTTCCAGGATCACAGACCCTCAAAAGGGGCAGTGTTGAGGATTCAGTCTGTTTTCTGCCCAGAGGCCCCATTAAGTATGTTGTATCACCTCCTCCCCAGGCTGTTTCTACATAACCCAGGGAAGCCATTCAGGGAACAGCTGCCTTATGAATGAAAATCCACCCCTAGACAATGTGCTATGCCATCCCAGCCAGAAAAATTGTTGGCAACTTCCCTTGCCAAAAATGCCTGGTATCACAGAATCTTATGCCATTATTGCTTTCTGGTCCAGGGTCCTCCCACCCTTCAAAAGGATGGCATACAACTCCCACCGTGTGTGTGTGTGTGTGTGTGTGTGTGTGTGTGTGTGTGTGTGTAGAGGCTGTTCTTGAGGGCAATAGGTGAGCTTTTGTTTTGCTTTGTCAGGTCTACATGGTAAGGGGGAAGGGCTAGAATACTAAGATAGTATTAGGATAATGGATGGAAATATTTTAAAGCAATTCCAAGGTGGAAGGAACAGAGAGAAAAGCCTTGGAGCAGCTGGAGAGAACTGTCTTCAAGGAAATGGACTAAGTTTTGTCTAGAATGTGTGAGGTAAACTTCTTCTCCAGCTTCCCACAAAGACACTGGTGGGGTGGACACTGCTCTGGACGGTTTTGGCAGTTGGTTTTGTGTTTTGGAGATGAAGTGGCCCTGGCATCAAGAGGACGTGGGACACAAGCAGAGGCTTCCAAGGGGTCCCAGGAGCACCTCTGTCCAATACAGATGGAGAAATTGAGGACCAGAGGAGGGGCTTGTCCAAAGTCACCCAGCGAGTTAGAGCCCCCAGTGGCTTTTCCCATTAAAAATGAACCCCAGGCCAGGGGTGGTGGCTCACACTTGTAACCCCAGTGTTTTGGGAAGCTGAGGCAGGAAGATCATTTAAGGTCAGAAGTTAGAGACCAGCCTGGGCAACAGAGAGACCCTGTCTCTACTAAAAAATTAAAAATTAGCCTGGTGTGGTGGTGTGCACCTGTAATCCCAGCTACTTGGGAGGCTGAGGTGGGAGGATTGCTTGTGCCCAGGAGTTTGAGGCTGCAGTGAGACATAATTGAGCCACTGCACTTCAGTCTGGGTGACAGAGCAAGACTGTCTCAAATAACAAAAAAGAAAAGGAAAAATAAAAAAAAAGAACCCCAAACAGCCCACTGTGAGCCATGGTGACCCCAAATCTCCAGCGTCCCTGCGGGGTCCCAGGCCGGCTCAGTGCAGGTATTCTCGCACAGTGAGCTCCTTCAGGGTGATGCCTCGGGGCGTGGGCCTCCGGAGCTGGCTCTCCTCCAGCCTCTCCTGCAGAGTCACGAAGTCCTTGCCCAGCGCGTAGGCCAGGCGGACCATGGCGTCCAGCAGAGGCGCATAGTAGCGATGGCCCTCCCGGGCCTGCAGGCGCTGCAGGGCCCTCTCTCCGGCCGCGAAGGCCTCGGCGGGGCGGTCGAGGTCGCGGTGGCACAGCAGCACGGCGCACAGGGCCGGGACGGCGGCCGCAGGGCAGTGGGCGGTGAGCTTCTCCTGCAGCGGCAGCACGCGCAGCAGCAGCTCCAGGGCGCGCGGGTACTGGCCGGCCCGCAGGCAGCCGAAAGCCTCGCGCAGCTCCGGCCGCGTGAGGAAGTCCAGGAACTCCCGGGAGCGGCGCACGCAGCGGATGGCGTAGAGCAGGCCCAGGTACTCCTGCAGGGCGCGCCGACGCTCACAGATCATCTCCTCAGCGAAGTTCCCAGTCAGGTGCTTCCTGGGAAACTCCACGTCTTCGATCTCCTCCCTGAACGTCTTCAGCAGCGCTTTCTGGAGCTTCGCGAAGTCGGAATAGCGCCGTTCCAGGACGGCCTTGTTGTTGTCAAAGCTCCCAGTCTGGATGACGATGATTTGGTACACCTAGGGCGCAACCAGAGAGAGCTGTGGCCACCTCCCGGCGGGGGCTGCGGCGGACGGAGCACACCCAGAGTAAAGTTAACCAGGCCGGTGTAAAGCATGCCCTGAAAACGGGCGATCCTTATATGCAATTGTTTGTTTGTTTGTTTGTTTGTTTGTTTATTTATTTATTTATTTATTTATTTATTTATTTTTAGAGACAGGGTCTCGCACTGTTACCCAGGCTGGAGTACAGTGATGCGATCATACCTCACTGCAACCTTGAACTTATGGGCTCAATTGACCTGCCCACCTGAGCCTCCTGAGTAGCTGGGACTACAGGCACACCCACTACCTGGCAGATTTTTTGATTTTTTTTAAAAGATGGGGTCTGGCTGTGTTGCCCAGGCTGGTCTCCAACTCCTGGGCTCAAGCGATCCTCCTACCTGGGCCTCCCAAAGTGCTGGGATTACAGGCATGAGCCACTGCACCTGGCCCAATTCTGTTTTAAATTGCTATTGGCATCAGCTGAGTCAACCCTGGAACAACAACACAGCAAGGTGGGGACATCTGGGAGGAGAAAGGGCAGAGGGTCCTGCCCTGCAGGCTGCTGGGGTCCCTCTTGGCTTTACTTGCTAAAACTGGGCCTCTGTTTTCTGAACTGAGATGCTGTGTTTTCCAAATGTTTCACACTTGGGAATTAGTTTTACGTACAATATAACATCATTTAGGTACACTGGTGATGCCGTTATATGGTAAGAAAATCAATCCTTTTCAATCATCTTTCAAGAGAATCCTGATTACGGGCAATTATATATTAAGGGCAATTATAACCCATGCATCTGACTCCAGAGCCAGATTGCATGGGTTGTAATTATAGCCCTACCATGGTCTAGCTGTGTGGTTTTAGATGAGTAATTTAACCTCTCCGAGTCTCACTTTTCTCATTCATAAAACAAGGATAGGCATAGTGCCTACCTCACCCAGTGAGGATTAAATGAGTTAATGCACTGAAACCACATGGAGCTGTGCCCGGCATGCCATTGGCATTCAGTGGTAGCTATGTTATTTATCCCGGTCCCAGGTAAGTGAAGGAGAAGGATGAAGTGTGGCTCTTAGGCAGTCTTTAACATCCCTTAACACAAGCTAAAATTCCATTCTAACAGGGAGAGGAGCAGCTCCCAGGCACAGGGCTTTCCCGAAGCCACAGTAACCAGCTAGAATTTAATAACAGCACATAGCTTTCCTTGTATTGACTTTCCTTGTATCGACTTTTCTAGTATGTTACTTTTGCTTTGTGCCATGTGATATTGGTTTTCCATTTAAGGTATTTCTCTTTGAAATAAATGTGCTTCATGTTTTTAAAAAGTGATCCAATTTAAAGAAAAAAATAAGTAATAATAATTAGAACAGATACAGTGATATGGCAAAATTGGTGAAGAAAGGACACAGGTGACTGACACCTGATAAGATGGGATTAAACTGGGCTATTTCCTTCTTGGGACCAAGAAATATGACTTATATGGTTCGAATCCTCACAGACCCTAGCAGGTGCTGAGCCTGAAATCTTGCTCTTTGGCCATTTTCTCCAGAAGAAAGCTGTGAGTTAGTGTGTTGACCCATTTCATAGTTGGGAAACCTGAGGCTCTACAAGACTTATTCAGGGCCAGGAAGGAAGCAGAGTGAAAGAGGCTCCACCATTTCCCAATCTCTGCTTACCACAAACTTAGAGACTTTTCTCTCCTCGATGCGAGCTGAAGCGATCTCAAAGAGCAGTTTGACGTGCTTCCAGCGGCATTTCTGGTTCTGCCAGTACTGCTGAAGCTCCCGCGTGGTCATGCTGGAGTTGGAGCTCAGGCCACTGTGTGTGTCTGGAAGGACAACACCCTTAAGGATCTGCACCCTGTCAGTGCACTTCCGAGGCATGGGCTTGGGGAGATGGCTGGGTCTATCTGAGATGGCATATCAGAACTCCTGAAGAGTATTGAATATCCCTCTCTCCCACCCCGCCATTTATAGGCCCAATTGGGGCATCAGACAGACCTCTGTGCCCAGCCTGGCAGAATCCACCCTACCACCGACAATCCCAAATAGCCCATCACCCCCAAGTGGTTTCACAGCTTTGGAATGCGGTGCGGGCACTTTGCATCGTCCACTTCTGGTCTGTAGATTGGCCATGGTGAAATCCCTGCTCTGGACAAGCAGAGACGGTGGCTTGTGTGTTTCTGTGCTCCCTGCAGCCCTGACTTCGTGACTGTTGCCACGACTCCTTGAGCACACATCAGTGGGCAGGGGAGGCAGTGAGGAGGATGTTATGTTCCAGCCTCAGCGGGCTGGCCCTTCCTAACCTTCTCATCTAACTGCCCACATGCCGGGCTCTTCTCGGACGTGCACTGCTCTGCCTTGCATCCAACCCTCTATTTCCACGCCTGGAAAACGAACACAGTGTTTCTTAAACCCCACTTGAGCCCTGCGCCACTCTGAGGTTCTTAAGAAGCACAAATAATTGTGCATTTTATTGCAAAGGGCATGGGTCCCAGCCCTTTTCCAGTCTACCCTTCAAGACCCAGCCCCCACATCACTGCAAATGCCCCTTGGCATTAGAGTAAGAGCTTCCCACCTTGTTCCTACAGGTTTTTCATTTTATTTATTTATTTCTCGTGGCACGTGTAACTGTTTCTCACTGATCTGTTTCTCTACCAAACCTCAGGACTAGTGCAGTGTTTGATTTCTTCCTGTTTCTGTTTCTCCAGTGCCCTGCATAGGGCCAGGAACAGAGCAGGTATTGAATAGGGCATCTCGAAGGACTGTAAGAAAAGATCTGTTCCAGGAGATGGCACTACAGCAGATGCTGTCCATGCCCCAGGCTGGACCGTGCCCTCTTGGCACCCACTTTTCCAGAACATGCCACTGGCTTCCCTGAGGGCTTTCTAGGGCCATAGCAGCAGGCCCAGGAGCGTCCCTTCTCCTATGCAGGGCAGGACTGGTAGATAACAGCCCGGCTTCCTCACCCCTAGGATAGGACAACCCAGAGATATGTTCCAGGGTCTCCCAGAAGACCCCCGCTGGGGTTGAGCTTCAGCCACCTACCGTGCCTATCTGTTCACTGATGTCCTGCCCTGGCCTCTTGCCCTTTCCTTCCATTCCCACTCCCCTGCCATGACTCCTAGGACCGTCTCCCGGATAAACAGCTTGCACTAGATCTGTGTCTCAGTGTCTGTTTTGGGATAACCCAAGTTACAAGAGCTGCCCGGGCCTCTTGCTGCATCCCCCAAAGTGACCCACATTTGTACTTTGAATGTCTTCAGACCTCTCCCCCAGACCGAGTCTCAAGCCTCAAGCCCACCTAAGTGCCCGTCAGGTCCTGGGTGCGGGAGGTCGGGGCCAGTGGCTGGTGCTTCCTGCTGGGTCCTTGCCGTGCACTGGGTTATGGGTCCCATGCAGCCAGGGCTCCCAGGGTGCTCTGGACTTGCCATGCTCCAAGGCTGCCAGAGGAAAAAGAGAACAGTGAGGACCCACTCCAGTTGGGGTTCCCGGTGGCTCCTGGGGTGCCTAGGAGCTGTGTCATGCCCCCTCCTGGCAGGCAGAGGGAATGACAAGGGCCCCACGGCTCAACCTTCCCCACTCTCCCAGCTGCCAGATCCCAAATCTGGGTCTGCCCCTTTGCTGGGCAGGTTACTCCAAGGCAGAGAAGACCCTTCACCTATTGCGATGATCCATATGTTATTGAGGTGATCCTTACGTATTGCTCAGAGTTTTAAATGAGATGATTTCAAGTAAAAGTATTGGCTTTAGTGATTACTTGAAAGAAAGATGCTGGCTTGTCTAGATACTCAGTTTTATGTTACACATGCGAATGAAGTCTCAGTGTTCAAGTTGAACATGGCCACTCATGCCTGTAATCCCAGCGCTTTGGGAGGCTGGGTTAGAAGGATCACTTGAGCCCAGGAATTTGAGACCAGCCTGGCCAATGTAGTGAGACCCCGTCTCTAGAAAAAATAAAAAAAAATTATCCAGGATGCACGCCTGTGGTCCCAGCTACTTGGGAGGCTGAGACAGGAGGATCCCTTAAGCCCAAGAGACTGAGGCTGCAGTGAGCTATGATGATGCCACTGCACTCCAGTCTGGGTGACAGAACAAGACCATCTCAAAAAGAAAAAAAGAAAGGTCAGTGTTCAGAGCAGGTAGATACTGGTATGAATCTTCTATCGATCAATCAATCAATAATCTATCTATCAGCAAAATTAACTGATAGCTTATTATACCCACTTCATACCCATCTAGGTTCTCCATAGCCCCTAATCTAGTTTAATGCTCACAAAAGTCTATCATTACCACCACATAACAGATGAGAAAACTGAGGTCTAAAGTCACGCAGCTGGTGAGTGTGCGCAACAAGCAAAGCTGAATTTGTCTCCAGTGCTTGTGACGTGCTGGCTGTGCACTTCACACCCAGCACACACTCTTGCACTAACCTGAACACTGTCTGCACTCAGGACTGTTTACATCTCCCTTTTATGATAAGGGAACTGAGACTTAGAGTTGCCAAAGATGAGGAGCTGGTGAGTGGTGGGCAGGATACAGACCCAGGCTGGGCTGACTTCAGAATTCTCTCCACCTTACTCAGGGAGGGAGAACAGGCAGCTGGGATCTGGTTTACATAATAACTCTGTCTGTGACCCGGATAAGTGGAAGGGATGACCTGGTAGCTGGCAAGTGACTCAACTTCTCTGTGCTTCTGTTTCCTATAAATTGGGGATAATAACAGAACCCACGTTCACAAGGCTGGGGTGAGGATTCAGTCAGGCAGACTCTGAAGCCTCAGCTCAGGGCCCTGTCCATCCCAGGGACTGTGTAGTACCCCCGCTTTTAGTGTCTGTTAAGTGCTAGATGTTTCCAGAAATATTTGTGAAATAAATGACTAAATTAAGGTGGATTGGAATAGAATTACAAATGTTTGAGACAACTTAGAGAAAGGGACAATTAAAACATTAGATCGGCTGGAGGGAGTAGCTGGTATACTGACTGGTTAGGCATGGAAATTCAAGACAAGGAAGGTGCAAATGACCTGAGGAAGCTGCCAGTGGAACATAGAGGTAGAGCTGGGACTTGAACTCTGATCTGTTGGATTCTGGGCTCTTGGTCTGAACCCCTGGGCTGACTACGGCCTAGAGAAAGATAGAGCCAGTGCCTCCCTGGCACCCCCTGAGCACAGATGGGGGCGGGAGTCATGCATGTCCCTGAGCACAGCCAGCGCCTGTCCCTTGCTCCAGGGGTGAGAGCCGCTGGCCTGGGAGAGGGGAGGTCAGCTGGGGCCTGGAGCCTGCACTTCAGGGGGAAGTGCTTGCTGTGTCGGGTGAAAGGAACCCTGGGGCCTTCTCCGTTTGGCTCTGCACAGCCATCCAGTGGGCGGCCCTCAGGGACCCTCGATCCAACCTCACCTTTTACAGATGGGCAAACAGAGGCACGGAGCAGGGGCCTGGCTGGCCCAGGGCTGCACGTTCTTGAGCATGCCGTCACGGGCACCTCTCGCTTGTCTCTTGTGCCTGTCAGGGAGTCAGGAGACATCGCCTTCCATCCTGACCAACCGTGTGTCCTTAAGCAAGTGCTTTAATATCTCTAGGCTTCAGTTTCCCTACCTGATAAATGTGGCTACAAGCCCCGTCCTGTTGATAAGATGATGGATGACTAGGGGTGGGTTCCCTACATTCTGACTGGTGCCTAAGTGAGACAGTGGATGGTTTACGTGATTCTTGGTGGCTGGGATTCTTGGGGGCCCAGGGCACTCCTATGCTCAGCACTTCTGTAAAATGGGTGATGGCGAGTGGCCTTGGCCTCAGGGGCCCCAGCCTTTGCAGATCTGCTTTCATGACCAGGCAGCTGGCTCCAGGTCAGAAGCAGGGCACTATTGGCCCAGAGACCCTGTAAGACCCTAGAAATGATGCCTCGGCTTGACACTCCAGTAAAGACTGAGAAAGCTGATTATAAAACCAGGCCTTAGAATAAAATCAAATTCAGCAGCCACAGTCAGCTCCCTTATGGTTGTCTCTTACAGGTTTCATTGGGAGTCACCCATTTAAAGAGGAGGGGGAAGGAAAGAGTTGTGCACTGGTGTATCCATGGGGCCTTGGGTAGCTTCCCATCCCTCTCCAGGCCTCAGTTTCCTCATCTGTGAAATGGGAAAGCAATCCTGTCACTCTAAAAGCTCTCTGGGGATAGCCACATAGACGGTTCCATGGCCCTTTCCTTCCCTCTCCTCACCCTCTGTAGCAAAGATTTCTTGACTTTATAACAAAATACTAAAAGTGTTGTTGCTGTTGGCCTGGGGGCCTGTAGTTGGCCCAGGGGACAGAGCAGCTTCCCAGCCTCCTCTGCCTTCCAGCCGTGTGTGCACAGACAGTCATTCTCCTCCTCCTGTCCCCAGGTGTCCTAACCACCCCCTCTCCAAGAGCTGACTGCCAAGTCCAGTCCTTCTTCTGCTGGGCACACAGAGGCCACACTATCTTTCTGAGGGCCTGCGGAGGACTTTTCATGGGGGATGAGCCTCTAGGGGGTGAAATAAAGCACATGGCCCACGCTGGGAGACAGAGATCCCAGGATGTTGGATGTGTGGCTGCCTCTCTTGGGGAAAGGGTGGGTACCCTCCAACAACTGGACGCTCACCTGAGAAGCCTTGCCAAAGCCAGGGGCTCCCAACCCAGTGTGTGTAAGAATCCCCTGGTGGGGTGGGGGTGGGATCCCAGGGGCTTGTCCAAGAGCAGGTTTCCTGGCTGCTAACATAGGAAGGTGCCATTGAACAGGCCTGGATTCTGCATTTTCCATGAGTCCTCTAAGGCTGTGCTGAGGCAGGGGTTCCCTGACACTGTTCTTTTGAGAAACACAGGTGTGGTGACTTATTCTCCAGGCCCAAGATGGGTTGTACAAGCGCCTAGCATTTCAAAAGGAATGGAGGTGATGGAAGGTCCAGGAGCTGTCCCTTCCTCTGCCTCAGTGTGCTAAGGAGAGCTCCAGACACAGTGGCTGTCACTAACTCTTCCCCCTCCCACCCTGCCCCCAGCAGGTGCCAGGCAGGGCCCCAGGAGAAGGGGACTCAGGCCACAGCAGGCAGAGGACAGCTGAGCTTGGGATCAAATACTGACCTCCAGTCTCCAGGGCTGTGTGTGTCCAGGGGTCCGGGAGGAGTGTCATATGGCCCCTTCGAGCTCTTGGTTCTCAGCTCCGGCGACAAGCCGAGGGGCTGCCACTTTCTAAGTTCCCCGTTTGAAAACAGGAAACAGGCTGTGTGACCTGCTTCTGATCGCCCCAGCCCATTGGCTGGTGAAACATGGTATATTGAACTCAACTGCCAGCCTGCCAGCTGTACCCACCTCTTCTTCCGGGTAGCGCAGGGAAGGGCAAGGCGGTGTGGGGCCAGCCCTGTGGGATTTAGCTCAGCCTCACTTTCCCTGCCGCCTTGCAGAGGTCTGGCTGTCCTTCGAGTCCCCGTTGATCTCTGGAATTCAGGCATTAGCTCCCAGAGCCCTTTAACATTCATTATTCTACTCTATGAGCTAGGCATGATGGGGGCCGTCATGCCCCTTGAACAGATGGGAAAACCGAGGCTTGGATCACAGAGCTGGTGGGACACAGAGCCAGTGACTGACATAGAAGAGCAGTGGGGTAGAATTACAGTTCCATCTGGTGCCTTTTCTCTGAGCAAAGCTGTATCCATCACCACCAACAGAAAGTCCCAGGGAAGCGAAACCCCAGGGCAGTGTGGTGTGATTCATGCCCACCCATCTTTGTGGCCTTGAAGGCAAGAAACAGAAATCAGACAAAAAAAAAAAAAATAGAACTTTGCTGGCTCGCCCAGAAGTTTGCCATGTGTTTTTTTTTGAGCCATGATTCCCTTCCTCCCTATTAGAGGCAGTCACAGTCCTGATTCAGATGGGGGTTACTTCTTGGCTTTTCCTTAGAAATTTACCACCTATGAGATCCCCAAACAATTCAGTTTCATTTTACTCATCTGTGAATCTTATATAAATTGAACCATGCATACTGTGTGTATTCTCCAGTGCCTTGCTTCTTTCATGCAACATTTATGGGTATAAGATTCACTGATGCATTTCTGTGTAGATACTTTTTTTCATTTCCATTGTTGTGTTGCTACATTATTATTATTATTTATTTTACTTTAAGTTCTGGGATACCAGTGTAGAACCTGCAGGTTTGTTACATAGGTATATATGTGCCGTGGTGGTTTGCTGTACCTATCAACCCATCATCTAGGTTTTAAGCCCTGCATGCATTAGGTATTTGTCTTAATGCTCTCCTTCCCCCTGGCCCCCACCCCTGACAGGCCCCAGCGTGTGATGTTCCCCTCCCTGTGTCCATGTGTTCTCACTGTTCAACTCCCACTTATGAGTGAGAACATGCTGTGTTTGGTTTTCTGTTGCTTCATTATTTAAATACATCACCATTTGTCATTTTTTGTTTTGTCTTTTGATGCACACTTGGGTTGTTCCTAGGGTGGCCATCATGATCAATGCCACTGATGATATTCTTACACATTTATCCAAGTCCATGTACTTATCTGAGGTGAAATTGCTGGGTCTCAGAGTATAGATAGCTTCAACTGTGCTAGATTACGCCAAATATTTTCCACAGTGGCTGTGCCATTTTGTATTCCCACCAGCAGTATATGAGAATTCCAGGTGCTCCACCTTCTTACCTGCACTTGATATGGTCATTATTATAATTATTTTAAAGATGGGGTCTTGCTCTATCACCCAGGCTGGAGTGCAATGGTACCATCATAGCTGACTGCAACCTAGAACTCCTGGGCTCAAATGATCCTCCCACCTCAGCCTCCTGAGTGGCTAAGACTACAGTTACGTCACCATGCTTGGCTAATAAATTTTTTTTGTTTCTGGAGGGATAGACCATCATGGCCACTATGTTGCCCAGGCTGGTCTTGAACTCCTGGCCCCAAGCAATCCTCCTGCCTTGGGCTCCCAAAGTACTGAGATTACCAATGTGAGCCACTGTGTCTGGTTTGGTCAGTGTTTTTCAGTGTACCACTGCATTAATGTGCAGTGGTCTCTCATCAAGGTTTTAAGTTGCATTTCCCTAAGGACTAATGATGTTGAGCATCTTTTCATGGGCTTATTTGCCATCCTTATACCTTCTCCAATGAAGTGTCTGTTCAAGGTCATTGCTCATTATTGACTTGATTATTTTTAATGGTTTGTAGGTGTTCTTTATGTATTCATTTGGGTTTATGTGCTTCTCAATATCCTTTTCCATCCTGCAGTTTGCATTTTGTACTCTCTTAATGGAGTTTTGTGACGAATAGAAGTTGTCAACTTTAAAGAACCATATTAGTCCTTTGATATGGTTGAATTTCAACTTTCCTAATTGCAACATGAAATTTAATGAAGTCCTCCTAGTGCCAAAACATTCCGCCTTGAGCCAGTGTCATCCTTGGAGGGCATGAAGGTTTCTCCTGTATTTGCTTCTGCAACAAGCTCATAGGCTTGTGAACCTCAAGAGGAGTTCAGATGAGCCAAACACTTAGAACAACACTGTTCCGAGCTGTACAAGTGCTGGCAGTTCTTACTATTCTAAAACCGTTGCTGCTTGTCTTTTTCATTGGAGGCTCTATAATGTCCCTGTTTACCTATTGACCTTGCTTATTGACATGGCCCTGCAATTCCACCTCTCTGCAGTGCCGTCACTGTCATTAAGAACCTCCACATCTGCAAAGGTCTGTCTCTGGGCAGAGCTCACGAGGAGTGCCATGAGTGGTGTGCCTCTGGCCTGCTAGCTGGGGCACCCCGTAAGTGCAGGGGCCATAGGTCGGTCATCTCCGCCTCCCCCTGCCCAGCAGAGGGCCTGGTGGTGTGGCTCCCTGCATACAGTGAGGCTGGAATGCCCTCTCCTCCCTGGGTTGTGTCCCGTAACTTTCCAGTTTTCTCGCCTACTCTCTGCCCAGGCCTGGAATCTGCAAGACACCAGGGTGGACTCTAAGCCTTTCTCTGCAGCCCTGTGAGCCTCTCATGCTGCAGAAGGCAACCACAGGGGAAAAATGTGTGGTTGCCGCCACTTCCTCTTATGGGGAAAGGAGACGTTTCTTGGAAACCCCCTGATGGAGAGGGGCCTGGCCTATGTCGGTAGGACCCAGCTGAGCCAGAGTGACCGGAAGATGCCACGCATGGCCACCTGTTGGATGTTGCTTTTTCTCTGCAGCCAGAGTTCTCTGTGGTGGAGGCAGAAGGCATAGGTAGTGTCTTAGCTTGGGCTGCTGTAGCAACACACCGCAGACTGGGCGGCCTAAACAACAGACATCTCTTTCCCACAGTTTTGGAGGCTGGGAAGGCCAAGATCAACGTGTTAACAGATTCAGTATATGGGGAGGGTTTGATTCCTGGTTTGCAGATGGCTGCCTTCTTGTTCTATCCTCCCATGGCAGAATGAGGGCTAGAGAGTGCTCAGGGATCTCTAACCTCATGGCCTAATTACCTCTTAAAGGCCTCACCTTTTTCATTAGGAATTCAATATATGAACTATATGAACTTGGAGGCCACATACTCAGTTCATAACAGGCAGACAAGGTCCCATCGTCATGCGGGGGACACAGGAGTGGGCATCCTCCATTGCAGCGCTGAAGCCAGATGGCGAGGAGGGTCACCACGAGGCACCAGGAGTGAGAAAGGGGAAATACTAGTAGTGTCTCAGAATCTGATGCCTCTCCTAGAATTCAAAATCAGAGCACCTCTCCATCTTATTTGGACCCTTCAGTGGCCTCCCACCACATTCAGAGTAAATCCGAACTCTCTGCTGAGGCTTCCATGATCTGCCGCTTACCGTTTGTCACTCGGTCCACTCCCAGTGTCACCTACCACACACCAGCCAACCCAGACTGCTCTCTGTTGCTCAAACGTGCCTTTGTTTTCGCAGTTCCTTCAGCTGGAAATACCCTCCGCTTGGTTTTTCCATCTCTGGCTTATCTCATCTCATCTCATCTCATCTCATCTCATCTCATCTCATCTCATCTCATCTCATCATCTCATCTCATCTCATGAAGCAGCAGCTTCACTTTCGCTCCTCCATGCAGCCTTCTTCTGACCCCTCTGTCGAGATCTGTCCTTGTTTTGCTTATTTGTATACTTGTGCAGTTCCTGTCTCAAATGCCACAATGGCAGGGACTTTGTCTGTATCATTATCTGTGTCTCTAGCACCCAGCACAGTGCCTGCCACATAGTGGGTGCTCAGTAAGTCATTGTGTGCATGAATGAATGGCGGGGTGAATGCAGAGAAGTGGTCACCGAGGCTGTGGCTGCAGCTCAGCCCTGACTCATTGTGTGATTCTGGGCAGGCCACCACCCTGTCTGATTTTTGGCTTCCCTAATTGCAACATGAAATTAAATGATGTCCTTTTACCACCAAAGCATTCTACATTGAGCAAACAATTGAGTACTAGAAGCTACCCCTCACTACCGCTCTGGATGCCTGACATGCTTGGAACTGCAACACTGGTACGCCTTCTTTGAGAAATTCAACAAGAGTGTATCGGTCCCAGGTGTGCCTCTCAGCGCTGGTAGAGCAAACCACAACTGGCCAGGTGTTTTTCGCAGGTGACACAAAATTTGATCTTGTCAATCTTGTTTTTCTGCAGCTGGATGTGCCTGTATAGCTTTTTATTAAATTTCAAAGGTTCTTAATATTGCAGGATTTAAAAACTGGGGTTGCAGACAGAATGCACTGTGGGGCACCGCTGTGGTTATATTGAGACATGGCAGGGTGGGGCTGGGTACAGGCCCATTTATTTCTACATTGCAGGCCGCGGGAGCTTCAGTCACCATTACTGAACTTCCTGGTCTTTGTCAACCTCAGGACTGTCAGAACTGCTGATTGTGTAAAGATTCATGGCTAAGATTAGGAGAAAATCCAACTTTTCTGATCAGGAGAACATACACCTCCCATTCTTGGGACATCTGTTTGGGCAAAGGTGCTGATGAGCAGTTTGGGTGGGGTTAAGGGCCATCAGGTCCATTGTAAATCATTTTAAGGTATGTGCCTTGCACAGAGGACCTAAAAAAGGGCAGCAGTGGGCCGGGCACGGTGGCGGATCACGAGGTCAGGTGATCGAGACCATCCTGGCCAACATGGTGAAACCCGGTCTCTACTAAAAATGCAAAAATTAGCTGGGCATGATGATGCATGCCTGTAGTCCCAGCTGCTCAGGAGGCTGAGACAGGAGAATTGCTTGAACCCAGGAGGTAGAGGTTGCAGTGAGCTGAGATCATACCACTGCACTCCAGCCTGGGCGACAGAGTGAGACTCTACCTCAAAAAAAAAAAAAAAAGGCAGCAGTAATGCTAAAAATCCAGCCCTGGCTCTTCTGTTCCAACCCGGCACTTCTGACCATGCAGATGAAGTTGGCACTTGTGTCCACACATTGGAAAAGAAGAATGATATGGTCTTCTGTGAGTTAATTAATAATGGAGGAGTGAGAAACTGATTTTCAAAGACAACACCCTCAGCCAATGGAACATTTTATTTTGCTGAAGTGGGGTTTGTAAGCTTGGGGCTAGAATGGCAGGGTTTGAGAACAGAGGGGTGATTCTAGAAACAATAAGGCGGAAGGGAAGGAGAGAGAGGAGGCACAGCACGGGGTCTCAGGAGGAGGCTTAGGCAGGGGAGCTGGATTGTGTTTTCAGGTGTCTGATCTTCCTGCCCAATGTACTGATGAGCTTGGAATTGGGTTAGGACCTGAGGTGGGGAAGTGACAGAATGCTGGGTCTGGTCTTGAGGTAGGAATGGGGCAACCTCAGAGGCTGCCCAAGAGATGCAGGCACGTCAGGTTCCCAGGCTGGAGGCTGCTCTGTGGAGAGCTGCCTGCTCCAATGTGTCCTTCTTTCAAGCATTGTCCCTCTGTCAGTAAGTCACCCATGGATAGGGCGCAGTGGCTTACGCCTGTAATCCTAGCCTGGGAGGCTAAGGCAGGCAGATCACCTGAGGTCAAGGGTTTGAGACCAACCTGGCTAACATGCTGAAACCTTGTCTCTACTAAAAATACAAAAATTAGCTGGGCATGATGGCATATGCCTGTAGTCCCAGCTACCTGGGAGGCTGAGACAGGACAATCGCTTGAGCCCAGGGGGCGGAGGTTGCAGTGAGCTGAGATGGCGCCACTGCACTCCAGCCTAGGCAACAGAGTGAGACTCCACCTCGGAAAAAAAAAAAAAGTCACTCTGAAAACAGACTTGGCCAAGCACTGGGCCAGAGGCTGAGGTCCAGCAACAAGGAAGGGACAAGGAAGGGATACCTTGAACCCTCAGAGACTGGTGATACACAGGACGGACACATGGAACTTGGGCCAACAGTGTTGGACCGTCTCGGCTGATGGCCAACAGGAGAACAGGCAGGCTGATCTTTGCAGCTGAGAGGACTGGGAGAGCCCACAGGGACTGTGGGGTCTGGAGAGCTTCCTTGCAGGAGGTGGGCATGGAAGGTCCAGATAAAAGCAGGTAGAGAAGGACGTGGACTTGACTCATAGTCCCACCATTCCATAGCTGGGTCATCTTAGGAAATTCATGATCCTCTTGAAACCTCCGTTTCTTCCTGTCAAAGATGGGGATGAGGAATGGAACCTATTCCATAGAGGTGTTGTGAGAGTACACGGCGTGGCATATGGCAAGTGTTCAATAACATATTCACACTGTGGTGTGCTCACTGTTTACCAGGCACCGAGTCCTAGTGTATGCATCCCTCATGACAAGATCTAAGTGGACTGTCATCCTCACTTAACTGTGAGGGAGACTGAGGTCAAGAGAAATGAAATGACTGGCCAAGAGCATACAGCCGCTAAGGAGCAGGGCTGGAATTCAAATCCAAGTTCGCTGGGGCCAGAGTCCTTGCAGTTGCCACCTGTTGCCTCTGCCTGGGGCACAGAGTGAGCAGAAGCTCACAGGTGGGAGTACTGAGAGCTGCGGGAAGTTGGTGAAGCTAGGGGTGCAGAGATGTGGGGAGGGAAAGCCATTCCTGTCTTCATCCATTTGGGCCAGCTTGTGGAAGTGTTTGGACTTTGGTGAGTGGGCGGGCTGCTTGGAGCAGAGGACCACCAGCGTGGAGACTGCAGCCCACTATGAGGCCGGGTTACCACCACTGTCAGCAGCAGCAGCCGCCGTCGGTCCTGGGCTGAGCTCCTACTATCCAGGCCTGCTGATGGGGGCAGTCCTCGCTCCTGGGGGAAGTGCTCAGGCACAGGCAGCTTCCCGGCCTGGAAGAATTTTGAATGACACAATCCAAGGATTTCTCTCCTCTGAGGCCCGGGGGATTCTGGAAGCATTTTCCCTCCGCCTCTTCTGAGCACTTCCTGCACGGTGCCCATGTCAGAGCACTCAAGGACAGAAATGTCTCCAGGGCATCCCAATTGCCTGTCTCGGCAGAGGGCCCTGCACACAGGGAGTTTTTAATCAATATCCCTTAACTCATTGGAAAGTTTTAAAAAATTATTATTAAACAAGTAAATTATGCTTATTAGGAAATACAGGTTAACACAGAAGAATTTTAAAAGTCCAGTTAAAATCCGATCCTAACTTGTCTTTTAGATGTTTCAATGCATATATTCACACATATCTATTACAGAATTTTTGTATAAAGTATGAGGTAGTAGTCCAAATTCATTTCTTTTGCACGTGGATATCTAGTTTTCCCAGCACCATGTGTTAAAGAGATCATTTTTCCCCTTTGAATTATCTTGGCATCCTTGTTAAAAAACAACCTACTCTTTAAATTTAGCCTTATATTCTTTCTACACAAAGCATTTGGCAGCCCAACTGTTTTTCATTGAGATATAATTCACATACCATAAAACTCACCCTTTTAAGGTGTGTAATTCACTGGTTTTTAGTCCATTCACAAGGTTGTGTAACCATCACCATGATCTAATTCCGGAATATTTTCATCATGCAAAAACAAAACAAAACAAAACAAAACAAAAACCAAACCTCATGCCCACTAGCAGTCACTCCTCATTCCTCCCTCCTCTCAGTTCCTGGCAACCAACAAATCTACTTTCTGTCTTCATGGGTTTGCCTATTCCGGACATTGCATGTAAACGGACTTACACAATAGATGTCATTTTGTGACTGGCTTCTTTCACTTAGCATAATGTTTTCAAGGTTCATTTATGTTGTAGCATTTATCAGTACTTTGTTTTTTTCACAGCTGAATAATATTCCATTGCACAGATAGATCACATTTTCTTTATCCATTCATCAGCTGAGGGACATTTAGTTTGCTTCCACTTTTTCCTCTTATGAATAATGTTGCTATGAACATTTGTGTACAAGCATTTGTGTGCATATATGCTTCAATTCTGTTGAGTATACCTAGGAGTAGAATTGCTGGATCATATGGTAACACCATGTTTAACTTTATGAAGAACCCACAAACTATTTTCCACAGTGGCTTCACCACTTTACGCTCTAACCACCAATGTATGAGGCTTCCAGTTTCTCCACATTATTTCCAGCACTTGTTTTCTGTCCTTTGGACTAAGGGCACCTTTGTGAGTGTAAAGTGGTATCTTATGGTGGCTTTGATTCACATTTCCCTAACAATTAATGATGTTGAGCGTCTTTTCATGTGCTTGTTGGCTACTTACATACGTTCTCTGAACATTTTCAAATCCTTTGCTCATTTAAAAAGTTGTTTGTTATTGAGTTTCAGGAGTCCTTTATATATTCTGGATATGAGTCGTGACTATTTTCTCCCATTCCGTTGGTTGTCTTTTTACTTTCTTGATCATGTCTTTCAAAGCACAAAAGCTTGGAATTTTGATAAAGTCCAACTTATCTATTTTTTTCTTTGGTTGTTTGTGCTTTAGGTGTCAAATCTGAGAAATCATTGCTTCATCCAAGGTCACAAAGATTTTCACCTATGTTTTCTTCTAAGATTTTTATATTTTAAATCTTGCATTTGGGACTTTGATCCATTTTGGGTTAATTTTTGTATAAGGCCTGAAGGAGGAATCCAAATTCAGTTCTTTTGCATGTGGACATCTAGTTTTCCCAGCACCATTTGTTAAAAAGACCACTTTTTTCCCCCTGAATCATCTTGGCATCCTCGTTCAAAAAAGAGTCTACTTTATAAATTTAGCCTTATATATTCTAGGCAGCTTTCTATCTGATAAACATACTTATAGCATCTTTAAAAAATAAATATCTATTGAAATATGACAAGCATAAAGGAAAATATAAATATCATGTGTTTAACTTGGTCAGTTTCACAATGTATTTGCATCAATGCAACCACTATTCAGAGTAAAAATAGGAGATTACTGGCACCCCAGAAGTCCCCTTCACTCCTCCCCTAGTCACTACCTCCAACTTTCTCCCCAGTGGTAGCCTCTATCTTGGCTCCTACCTGTAATGCAGTTTTGCCTGCTTTTGAACTTTATAGAAAGGATACCATTCCGTATGCACGCTCTTGCACTCAGCCTGTTTCACCCAACATTATGTCTGTGAGGCTGCAGTTCTCGTGGGGGTACAGTGATTCATTTATTTTCATTGGTTATTAGAACCACAGCATTATTTTTAGTATATTCACTCAACAAAGATTTATTGCATGCCAGGTCCTGTTCTAGGCCTTGGGAGAAGGCAAGGGACAAAGCAAAAATTCCCTGTTCCCTTGGAGCTCATGCTGTCTTGGGTGAGAGACCAACAACAAAGACAATAAATAAGTAGAATACATAATGTGTTGTGTGCAGATAAGCGCTATGGAGAAAAATACAAAATAAAGCAGGAGAGAAGGGATTGGAGGGTGTTGCAGCTGTACACCGAATAGTTAGGGAAGGCCTTGCCGAGAAAGTCATATGGAAGCAAAGACCCAAAGGAGAGGAAGGAGGGAGCCAGGTAGATTTCTAAAGAAAGAGCATTCCAGGCACAGCAAAGGCAAAGGCCTGAGTGTAACTGCAGGTTTGGCATATTTGAGGAACAGCCAGGAGGCCAGTGTAGCTGGAGCAGAGTGAGTAAGATGAGAGTGTAAGAGGTGGGCAGAGAGGGTGCCAGAGGCCAAACAGCAATTGTAAGGACCTTGGCTTTTACTTTGGGATGGGAGCCATCAACAGAAGAGTTTCAGCAGAGGAGTGATAGAATTTGACTTAAAACAGCAACAACGACAACAACAGCAAAACCAACAGACTCACTCTGGCTGCTGGATTGAAGAAGGGCTGTAGATGGAGGCGTGGAGAATGGCCAGGAACTCCTGCTATCACCCAGGTGAGAGATGATGGAGATGTGGACCCAGGTGGTAATGGTGCATATGGCAAAAATGGGCTGCAGCTTGGAAATATTTGAAGGCCAAGCTGAAAAATTTGCTCCCAGATTGGATAGTGGGGCTGAGAGAAGATGGGTCGGGTTAAGTGTTCTAGGTTCAGATGTTCTGTCAGTTTTCTTAATTAATTTTCTGTTACTGGGCATTAGGGAGGTTTCTAGCTTCTCACTGCTGTAGGCAAGATGGTGGTGAACATCCTTGTAGATGGTTCTGTGCGCTGCCCAGAATG
Organism: Homo sapiens; assembly: GCF_000001405.40. NCBI lineage: Eukaryota > Metazoa > Chordata > Mammalia > Primates > Hominidae > Homo > Homo sapiens. The sequence continues at coordinate 50,691,602 of NC_000016.10, forward strand.
AATTTTCTAGGGTAGATTCAGTCCTTCTAATGCAGCATTTTCCAACCTTGGCTGACTGTGCACCACCTGCACAGGTATTTACTTGAAAGCGGTATGGGGTAGTGGTTAGAGCATTCATCTGTGCCAGAGGCCTGGGGCAAATCCCCATCTCTGGTGCCAGAGGAAAGGGGGCATCTCGAGGCTGGGGAGGCCCCTGGCAGGAGTGAGAAGTCCTGAGGAGCCCGGGCTTCAGGTCTCAGAGGGGGCCACTGTTTTTTGAGTACCTTCCTCTCTGTGGGACTCAGTTTCCCCATCTTCACCATGCCAGTGAGTGGGTGGGTGTAAGTGAGCGAGTCTGCCTGGAGGATCCTACTGCTGCTCTCTGCACCTCTTAGGGGAATCTCCTGCCTCCTCCTTCTCCCTTGGTGGGCGTGAGATCAAAGTTCAAATGTGTACCTCAGTTTCTGCATCTATAAGTTAGAGGCAATAATAGTCAATACCCTAGAGGTGGAAGTAACTGAGTTACTGTCTGTAAAGACTAGCACATGGTAAACACTTTCTAGATGCCAGTTATTTTCGTTATTTTTAAAAATTGACTTCACATTTTTTAAAACAACCAAATATGAGTTTCAAAAGGAACATTTACATTAACATGTTAAATGGAAAACCGGTGTCATTTGCTCCGGAGAACAGAAGAATGTAAAATAAAATATATTTAATGGAAACAAAAACAATGCTATTAAAGCTAATTAGATAGTTTCAGAGCCAAGTAATCTAGGCAGTGCTAGAAAGGTACTCAAACCCTATTAGTACTAAACTGAGAAATAAACTCCATTCAACATAAACGGAAAAACTGAAAGGAAAATGAAAAAAAAGAACCTTAAATGACCAGTCCACTCTTACCTAACATGTAACCTGTCACACTCTGGAAAAGTTTTCCTAGTTTTGGCTGTGTGTGCGTGTGTGTGTGTGTGTGTGTTGGGAAGTGAGGCGTGTGTTGGGAAGCGATGTGTGTGTTGGGAAGCGATGTGTGTGTGTTGGGAAGTGGGGTGTGTGTATATTGGGAAGCATGTTTGTGTGTGTTGGGAAGCGGTGTGTGTGTTGGGAAGTGGTGTGTGTGGGGTGTGGTGTGTGTGTGTTGGGAAGTGGTGTGTGTGTGGGGTGTGTGTATGTGCACGTGTGTGTTGGGAAGCAGTGTGTGTGGGGTGTGTGTGTGTTGGGAAAGCAGGGAGTGTAGTGTGTGTTTGTGTTGGAAAGTGGTGTGTGTGTGGGGTGTGTGTGTGTGTGCACGTGTGTGTTGGGAAGCGGTGTGTGTGGGGTGTATGTGTTGGGAAAGCAGGGTGTGTGTGTGTTGGGAAGTGGTGTGTGTGTGAGTGTTGGGAAGCAGGGTGTGTGTGTTGGAAGTAGGGGGTGTATGTGTATCGGGAAGCATGTTTGTGGTGGGGGGAAGCAGGGCGTGTGTGTGTGTGTATGTGAGTGTTGGGAAGCAAGGTATGTGTGTTGGGGGAAGCGAGGGCTGTGTGTGTATTGGGAAGCATGTTTGTGTGTGGGGGGAAGCGAGGGCTGTGTGTGTGTATTGGGAAACATGTTTGCGTGTGGGGGGGAAGCAGGGCGTGTGTGTGTGTTGCGAAGCGGTGTGTGTGTGGTGTGTGTGTGTGCGCGTGTGTGCTGGGAAGCGGTGTGTGTGGTGTGTGGTGTGTGTGTGTGTGTATGTGTATGTGTTGGGAAGCGGGTTGTTCCGAGGACTCCCCGATTCCCTCCTGGTTGAAACGTGGCCCAGAAAGAGAGGCACACTGGCTAGGGCACACAGCCAGGGCCGTCCAGCCCCGCAGGAAGCCCCGGTCCTGCCCTGTCCCAGGTAAGCCTGGCCAGCCCTGGAGCCGGCGCTGCGGGGCTGCGGGGCTGCGGGGCTGCGGGGCCACGGGACAGGAGCGGGTGCTGCGGTCCCGGCAGAGCAGGGGCGGGGTCCGGGCGGGGGCGGAGCCGAGCGCCCGCGCACCCGGAGCCGCAGCCCGAGCCGGAGCCGGAGCCGGGAGTCGTGGCCCGGAGTGGGCCTTGGAGTCGGCGCGCAGGCGGCTCGCGGTGAGTGCTGTGCCCAGCGCCTGGGGGTGGGCTGGGGGGAGACTGTGGGCGCCGAGGGTCCCACCCCCGGGACTTGAACACTTGGCTTCTGAGCCGTCCTGGCCGCAGGGCTTGGGCAAGGGTTGCCTCGGTTTCTCCTGGGGGAGTCCCAGAATGTAGATGGGAAGTGAGACGGAAAGGGGGCATCTCGAGGTTGGGGAGGCCCCTGGGCCACTCTTTTGATTTCCTTCCTCTCTGTGGGACTCAGTTTCCCCAGCTTCACCATGCCAGTGAGTGGGTGGGTATAAGTGAGAGAGTCTGCCTGGAGGATCCTGCTGCTGCTCTCTGTACCTCTTATGGGAATCTCCTGCCTCCTCCTTCTCCCTTGTTGGGTGTGAGATCTAAGTTCAAATCCATCCCTTCCCAGACAGCCCACACCAGGACCTGCGAGGCCACATCCCCCAGCTGTTTGCTCTCCTATGCTTCTCAGGTTGATGGAGCAGCCATCTGGTCCTGCTTTCATTCCAACAAACTGAAAAGCCCTCCACCCCAATCCCCCTGGGGAGGACCTCCTGAAGCTGCATGAGGGCTGGGGGCTGGACCCCTGCTTCTGAGTTTGCTCTTTCTGAGCCTCTCCTGCCATGGCCTTGGTTTCCCCATGGGCTGTGACCTAGCCTCCTCCAGGGTCCTTGTTCTACAGAGGGGAAACACCTGCCCTGTCACCCTCCCCTGACCCCTTAGTGAAAAAGACCAGAGTGACATCCCCACCACCTGTACTTGCCTGTCCCGATCACTCAGCCATGGGGCTGCTGGGGCCCCTGAGTTTGTTGGCTGCTCAAGGCCCCTTTGCCTCGCTGCACCCTGGGATCTGAGGCTGGAAGCATCCTCATCCAGCCCACCTCCCTCCTACCCAGTGCAGAGCCCCTCTGTGACACATGCCCAGTGGTGGGGAGCTTATTACTGATGAGGTGGCTTTTTAGTGCCTTGCAGCTCTTGTTTCCTTTAGCTAAAATCTGTGGCTTACAGATTCTACACCTTGGTTCCATGTCTGTCTCCCGGAGCCATGCAGAGCAAGTCAGTTCTTTCATTCTTTCCAGCAGTCATCATTCATGCACTGGATGAGACACGAGACAGAGCAGTAGGAAAATCAGACAAAACCCCCTGCCCTCATGGAGTGCACACTCTAGAAAGGAATGGACAGCAATGAAATAAGTAAATACATGGCGTAGCAGGTGGCGGGAAGTACTACGAGTAAAACAAAGCTGGGAAGCAGGATGGGGTGCTGGGGCTGGGTATTGCATTGTATATAGCACAACCAGGGAAGGCTTCCCCAAGACCACGATAGCTGGGCAAAGTCATAAGGAATTGAGGGGTGAGCCACATGAGTATCTGGGGGGCTGGGAGGCTTTGGTTTTCACTCTGAGCATGATGGGAGCACGGGTTTGGAACAGAGGAGTCACCTGCTTTGACTTGGGGTCTGGCAGGCCCATCTAGCTGTGGGGTGGAGAATGGATCATGGGGGGGGTGGGGTAAGGGCAGAAGGAGAGCCCGTTGAGCGGATCATTGCTGTCATTCTCGGGAGAGACCATGGTGTCTTGCCCATGGCCCAGAGGTGGTTAAAAAAAAGAAAACCAGACATTCAGATTTGGGATATATTTCAAAGGCCGTGTCGATAGGGTTTGGGGTGCAAGAGAAAGGTAGAGTCAAAGATGATTCTGAGTGTTTGGCTCGAGCTTCTGGAGGTTTGAAGCTGCCATGAACTGAAATGGGAGTTGCTTAGCGGAGAGATCAAGAGTTTGGTTTTGTGCTTGTGGAGTTTGAGCTGCCCATTAGGCATCAATGATGAGTAAGCAGTTGGGAAAAGTTAAGGGCGGAGGTTGGAGTTGAAAATAAAACTTTGGGCATCATCACCATATAACTGGTATTTAAAGCCACAAGAGCAGGTGGGCTCATCTAGGGATGGAGTGATATGGAGAAGAGAAGGGGTCTAACCATTGAGTGCTGGGGCCCCCAGTGTTAGGAACCAGCCAAGAAGACAGAAAGAGTGAAAATCAGAGAGTTGGGGTGTCCTGGAGGAAATGAAGAAAATGCCCCAAAGAGGAAGGAGGGAACAAATATGACCAATGCCCCTGGCAGAGCAAGCAGGCTGAGGGCTGAGGATTGAGCAATGGGAGGTCACTGGTGACAGTTTCACTGGAGCTGGATGGGGAACTAGAGGGAATGGGAGGGGATGGGAGGACTTGGGGACAGCAGTACAGGCAACAGACAAGGGGGCCTGCTGTAAAGGGAGCAGATAAATGGGATTGGAGCCAAATGAAGAAGGGGAGTGTCAAGAGAGTGCTTTACTTTTACAATGGAGAATTAGAGTGCATTGTGCACTGGTGGGGGGATTTGATCTCTTAGGGAGAGAACAGTGTTAGGGAGGGAGAATGCAGGATAGCTGGGGGAGGGTGGGGGGCTTGGCCCCAGCAGAGACTCAGGACACTTGGGAAGTTGAGCTTCCCTGGGCTTCCCCTCCTCTCCTGTCTGCAAGGGGTCAGTGGGCTGAGATTTCAGCACTTAAGCAAAGCATTTGCTCTTGGCCCCAGAGAAACCGGGCTGGCTGTGGTCTCAGGAAGGAAGGAGGTGTCCAGGCTCAGGCCTGGGCCTGGGTTTCAGGGAGGGCCCACGTGGGTCGCCCCTTGACCCTCTCTTTCAGCAAGGAAGTGATCCTTTCTCTACATGGGCCTCACCTTGGGGAGGACAATGGTGTCTTTGAAGTTGTAGTAACTGAAGTAGAGATCAAAAGGCAATGCAGATAGACTGACAGATTTCGCCTGAAGAGGGGAAGCCCGACCAGGTAATAAAGGAGTAAGAGGAAGGATGTTAAGGACAATTTTAGGAAACAGATAATGAGTGAATATTTTTTCTCTCTCTTTCCCAATTTAAACTGAAGCAGGAGAAACTGAAGCTAGACATAATGATTAACTTCCCAAGCTGGTGAGCTTCCTGAGCTGGTTAGTGAGAACAGCACTAAGGCCAGGTTCTCCTCCCCAGATGTTTAAGATGAGACAGGACAATGCCTGCTCAGAGACAGGGCCTGGCTGAATTGGCCCTCAGGATTCTCTCTGCTCTGAGGTTTCTGGAAGAAGGCCAGGGCAGAGGTGTGGTGATGTAGCTGCTGGGAGGACAGAGCTCCGAGTCACGTGGCTTGGGCGGGCCTCCCCTTCCTGGTGTCCACAGAAGCCCAACGTCACTAGCTGGGGTGTGTATGGCTCACACGTAGGCCAGGCTGCCCTAGGCTTGGTGTGCAAGGGAGGGGCCCCTACTTACTTGTGGCCTGTCCCCTCGTGAATGTGTCTCATGTCCCCAGTGGGGTTTTTCAGTGAGGGTCATGGTCTCCAGGATGCACAAGGCTTTGTGCCAGAATTGCTTGGAATTGCCTAGTTCTGGAAGGCTGGTTGGCCAACTCTGGCCTCCGGCTTTTCCTTTGGGAATTTCCCTTGAAGGTGGGGTTGGTAGACAGATCCAGGCTCACCAGTCCTGTGCCACTGGGCTTTTGGCGTTCTGCACAAGGCCTACCCGCAGATGCCATGCCTGCTCCCCCAGCCTAATGGGCTTTGATGGGGGAAGAGGGTGGTTCAGCCTCTCACGATGAGGAGGAAAGAGCAAGTGTCCTCCTCGGACATTCTCCGGGTAAGAGGAGCAGGCATTGTCCCGTCCCAGCTTGATCCTCAGCCTTCTTTCATCCTTGGCCGCGACATGCTCCCAGGCCTGGGGTCAGATGGGGAGTGCTGACTCTGTTTCTGGGCTGTTTTCTGGGGAGAATGGGTCGGCGGGTTTTTTTCCCCAGGACCTGGGCAGGGTCAATGGTGGGGGCCGCTGTCGCATCCTTGGCTGGTGTTTCCACAGCTGAGAACCACTCCAGGGCCAAGCCCAGAGCTTATTCTACCCTTTTTTGTCCTCTCTTCCCCTGTCCTCGGCCACCCCACCCTCTTGGCTCCTCTGCTTAGATGTGGGCACAAGGAGGAGAACTCCTTGGCCTGAGAGAACTACCTTAGATCCTGGCTTCCAGTGGCCTCTGCAGGGGGGTACACCCTCTCTCCCAAGCAGCCAGACACACAAGTAACCTCATTGCCTCAGTTTCCCCATCTGACCAGCACAGGGCCCCCTGTGCCCCAGCAGCGTTCTGAGAGATTGGAGCTTTCTCCTTTTGCTTACCTTGGCTACCGTATGAGGACGGATACAGAGTGTTCCCCCCACCCCCAGCCCAGGGGATATTTGATTCATGAACATTCCCTCAGTGTCTTTGTGGGGGACAATGCTGTGCCAGGCTCAGGGATGCCAGGACGAGTAAGACCCAGGCTCCCACGTGGCCCAGGCAGGGAGAGAGACACATAAACAACCATCAGGAAAGAGGTAAAATCCCCAGGCCACTTGGCATCTGCTCCCTTGAGTGTCTGGGAATGTCCCTGATTTATAAAAAGAAGCTGACGGCCCTCTTTGTTGTCCATGCCTACACCCTTTCACTTTCGTTTCTTCGGGGCACTGCAGCAGCCCTTGTCCACAGACCCCATGACAATCGCAGAACTGACCATGCTGAGAGATTTTCTTGGCTGCTCAGGGACCCTGCCAGGGCTTGAAGCTCCTGGAGGGTCACTTGCCCTCAAATTCCCAGAACGCACAGCAGGTCACTGATGATAGCAGTGGCAGCAGTCTGTGCACGGTGGTTTCGAGGGCGTGGGAGGGAGGTGAGGGCCCTAGGGCAAGTGTGTGTGGGAAGTGTTGATGGGGGACAAGGCACCAGAACGCTCGGAAACAACTTAGTTTGCACCGTAATTTTTCACTTCGCCTAGGACAGGACCTTTAGAGCAATATTCTGAGTCTACCCCTTGGAGTAGCAGTGTGCAAAACACACAGCACGGGCTTGGGGCCCCCGTGGGGAACCCAAATGTAAGAGTTAGAGACATGCATTCCGGAGTCATACATGGCTCGTGTTGAAATCCTGACTCTGCCTGTCTAGCTGTGACACATCGTACAAATCACTTAGCTTCTTGGTGCCTCAGTGTCTTCCTCTGTAGAATGGGTAGATCATAGGCACTACTTCAGAGTGGCTGGGAGGGTTCAGTGAATTCCTGCAGGAGAGCACTTAGAATGGCACTTGGTGTGTAGTTTATGCTTAATTAATATTAGCCGTTACTGAAACTGCTGTAGCCTGAATCCAGCCAGCATGAAAGAGCCCCTCTCACCCTGCTTCGAAGAGAATGAATTCCCTGATTGTTTGGAAGATCTCTCTCTCTCTCTCTGTCTTTTTTTTTTTTTTTTGAGAAACGGTCTTGCTCTCTTGCCCAGGCTGGAGCGCAATGGTGCCATCTTGGCTCACTGCAACCTCTGCCTCCCGGGTTCAAGTGATTCTCCTGTCTCAGCCTCCTGAGTAGCTGGGATTACAGGCGCTCGCCACCACGCCTGGCTAATTTTTGTATTTTTAGTAGAGACAGCGTTTCACCGTGTTGGCCGGGCTGGTCTAGCGCTCCTGATCTCAAGTGACCTTGGGAGATCTCTTGCTCCTAATATTACCTCAAGCCTTTTTAAACGTTTTAAGCCGGAGACCAAGCATGGATATGGGAGTTAGGGGTCTTGATTTAATTCTTGGTTGCTTCAAACTCTGTGGAACCTTGAGGTGTTTCTTGCCTTCTCTGGGTCTCAATTTTCACATCTATATGGTGGGGAGCTTGGATTGGGTAATGTCTGAGGCTAGAACCATGGCCAACTCGGGTTCTGCTGGGGCTGACTTGCCCTGGCCTTCCCTGACCACCCTGCATCTGGCTTCTGGAGAAGTCCCGCACTGACCTTGTTCTCCTCCCCAGGTTGTGAAATGTGCTCGCAGGAGGCTTTTCAGGCACAGAGGAGCCAGCTGGTCGAGCTGCTGGTCTCAGGGTCCCTGGAAGGCTTCGAGAGTGTCCTGGACTGGCTGCTGTCCTGGGAGGTCCTCTCCTGGGAGGACTACGAGGGCTTCCACCTCCTGGGCCAGCCTCTCTCCCACTTGGCCAGGCGCCTTCTGGACACCGTCTGGAATAAGGGTACTTGGGCCTGTCAGAAGCTCATCGCGGCTGCCCAAGAAGCCCAGGCCGACAGCCAGTCCCCCAAGCTGCATGGCTGCTGGGACCCCCACTCGCTCCACCCAGCCCGAGACCTGCAGAGTCACCGGCCAGCCATTGTCAGGAGGCTCCACAGCCATGTGGAGAACATGCTGGACCTGGCATGGGAGCGGGGTTTCGTCAGCCAGTATGAATGTGATGAAATCAGGTTGCCGATCTTCACACCGTCCCAGAGGGTGAGGCACTCCTGGTGTGCATCACAGAGTTCTCAGGAAAGGGGTGCTTAGTCACCAAGACTGATTTGTCCTCATGAAGTCAGCCTGTGGGGTAACTTGGTCCATGGGATTTCCCCTAAAAAGGTAGCCAGGCAGGTAAAATTTGCTCTTGACTCTTGGCAGGAAACGTACAACTCTTTCTTTCTTCTTTTCTTTTCTTTTTCTCACTCTGTTACCCTGGCTAGAATGCAGTGGCACAATCATAGCTCACTGTAGCCTTGAATTCCTGCGCTCAAGTGATCTTCTGGCCTTAGAGTAGCTGGGACTACGGCTGCTGTACCACCATGAACAGCTAATTTTTTTTTTTTCTTTTAGAGATGGGGTGTTGCTATGTTGCCCAGGCTGGTCTCCAGCTCCTGGCTTTAAGCAATCCTCCCGCCTTGGCCTCCCAAACTGTTGGGATTGCAGGCATGAGCCACTTTGCCTGGCCAACAGAACACTTCTGCCGAGAGGAAGTGTGTGGTGGCCAGGAACTCAGATTCTGGAGCCAGAATGGTGCAGGCTCAAGGTCAACCCTGTGTGATCTCAGGCTTCCCTATGGAGCCTCTCCAGCCTCAGTCTCCCTTGTTTCAGTTTCCTCATCTACAAAACAATGTTAATAGTCAAATGGTGCCTATCCTATAAGGCTCTTGGGAGGATTCAGTGAGTTAATTTGAGTAATGCTTAGGATAGTGTCTATTACCACTGGCTGCTATTTATTATTTCTGTTATGAGTGATACTCTGTACTTGTACACTTTTATTTCTGTCTGTTTTAAATTAACAGCACAACAGACCATAACACTGCAGTATATTGAATTTATTTTATAATTAACATAGCATATTATAAACTAATATAGCTTAAATGTTTATGTAGGATTTCTGACATGAAATTGCATTAGATCATAGATGTTCAGAGTTGGTATATAACAGCCCCTGAGAATGTAGTAACTCAGCAGAGACCAGAAGGTCAGAGAAATGACCACTGAGTATTTTTGAAACTCTTTTGTTTTCTTCCAAATAGTGATTCTTAGGGCTCCTGAGAGGCAGATGGAACAATCATTAACATTCCACTTTATAAATCGGGAAGTTGAGACCAAGGAAAGTAGTTTGAATAAGCTCACAGTAGTTAATGAGGGGGCCAGTGCTGGACCAATTGGCCAGCACTGGTCATTGACTTATTCATCCATCATTCATTTATTCAGCCAGAATCTATTAGGTGCTTCATACATATTTGCTTAAAGTTTGTTGTGTTCATAGAGCTTTGCACACGGTAGGTACTCCATAAACATTTGTTGATGAAATAAGTGAGTTACTGAATGAATGATTGAATTAGAATGACACTGCAGTGTTAAAATGGGCTGGGTTGGGGAACATTTTAGTTTTTGTTTTTGTCTGTTTTCCAAAAATGTATGTGTTGTTCACATGAGTCTGGATAACCCTAGATTGAGATTGATGACATAAATAAATTTGTCTTCAAGGCTGCACTAAAGCTGGCTCACATGGCTAGGTATTTACAGAGCAGAAGTGGTGCAGTCCTCTCTGATTAGTTGCACGTACAGAAGACATATTCGTTATTGGACTGACCTTAGTTTCTCTTATAATTTGTTAGGGGAATTGAATCAGCCCATCTGAGAAGTTACAAGATTGTGTCTTGTCATCTTTAAAAGTTCAGCAATGTGATGTGGTACAGATGGTCTGAGGGGTTTGGAGAAGGTAGCCTAGATCCCTAGGGCCCAGAGAAGACAGGATGTGAACAGAGGAAGTACATGGATTGGTGAAGAAAAGAAATGGGATAACTCATGGGTCAAAGAAGAAATCATGATGGAAATCAGAAAATATTCAGAACCATACAATAATGAGAATATTATTTATCAAAATCTATTGGATGCAGCTAAAGCAGGACATAGGGGGAAATTTACAACCTTAGGTGCCTAGATTAGGAAAGAAGGAAGGCATTTGTTTATTTATTTGTTTATTTATTTATTTGAGATGGGGGTCTCACTGTGTCACCCAGGCTGCTGGAGTGCAGTAGCACGATCATAAATCACTGAAGTCTCGAACTTCTGGGCTGAAGTGATCCTCCCGCCTCAGCCTTCCAAGTAGGTGGGACACAGGCTAGCACCACCATACCAGGCTAATTTTTTTTTTGTAGACACAGGGTCTTGCTATGTTGAGGTCTCAAACTCCTGGGCTCAAGTAATCCTCCTCCCTCGGCTTCCCAAAGTGCTGGGATTACAGGCATGAGCCACTGCGCCCATCTAAGGCTGAATTTTAATGAGCTAAGAATTCATCTTAAGAAAGGGCTAAATAGACAGCAAAAGCAAACATTGAAGGTTGGGACTGAGCTGAGTGGGTAGCAGGGATGGGAGACAACAGATCTGAGGAGAGCAGGAGATTTTGAAAGGATTGCACTGCCTGAGGTTTAAGCCTTTAGAATCCAGCTCTCTCTGAGCTCCCTTTGAGCTCTGACATTCTGTGACTCTGATTTGGTGGCCTTCCCTTAGTGGCCTTACTGATTTCATTTGGATGGTGCTTGTGGTATATCCAACCAACATGTCTTCCCAAATGGCCTTTTAATTTCCTATAAAGAAGTAGTTGTCATTGATTGCAGGTTAGGGACAGAAAATGCTGTGGAATGAAACAAAATGCAAGTTAAAGAACTAAATTCCAAAAATACCCATTGCTACTATTGACTGAGTGAATTCCTACTGTGTGCCAGACACTGTACCCAGTCCATTCCCTGTATTGTTTTATTTAAGCCTCACAAGGGTATAGTGTGACTACACTGTTTCTTAACAATGAAGAAACTGCCCAAATCGCCCATCTGGGAAGCGGCCCAGCTAGAATTTGAATCCAGGCCTGTTTTCCTCCAGAGCTTGTGCTATTCTCTGTCTGTCATAAAATGTGGGGGCTTTGTGTGGTAAACTTGCTCAGTTGGGCATAGCAGTTGTTAGGAAACCTGAGGCTGGTAACACCAGCTGTAATACCAGCTGTCCGTCTGACTCATGCAACTGTTAAAGTTGATAGGGCTGAGGTGTCAGACTGAGCTCTGAATTGCCTGATTCCTATAACAATATTAACTTAAACATTTTTTAAATTGGGAAATGCACCATGCATACAGAAGAGTGTGTATATTTCATATGTATAGTGTAAACTGTTCCCATCACCCAGGTTAAAAAACAGGATGTTGCCAGTACCTGGGGCCTTCTTTAACTGCAACTGCTAGAGGTAAACACTGGCTTGACTTTTGTGTAAATCATCTCTTTGCCTTTCTTTAATGTTTTAGCATCTTTTAAAATAAATCCCCAAATAATGTATTGTTCTATTTTGAAAAACTGAGTAGCAAGCCAAAAATAGCTGTGTAAAGAAAGGTCACTTAAATTAGGCTGGGTGCAGTGGCTCAAGCCTTTAATCCCAGTACTTTGGGAGGCTGAGGCAGGTGGATCACAAGGTCAGGAGATCGAGACCATCCTGGCCAACATGGAGAAACCCCGTCTCTACTAAAAATACAAAAAATTAGCCAAGAATAGTGGCATGTGCCTGTAGTCCCAGCTACTCGGGAGGCTGAGGCAGGAGAATCGCTTGAACCCGGGAGGCAGATGTTGCAGTGAGCCGAGATCGCACTGCTTGAACCCGGGAGGCAGAGGTTGCAGTGAGCCAAGATCGCACCACTGCACTCTAGCCTGGGTCACAGAGCAAGACTCTGTCTCAAAAAAAAAAAAAAAAAAAAGAAAGGTTACTATTGCCTTTTCTTAGATGAAGGTTCCCAAGGCAGGGAAAGCTAAGTGGAGTCTCAGGGACTTGGTCTGGCTTTTCCTTCCCTGGGAATTTATAAGGACCTCTTCTGGGAAGTCAGTCGGCAATGCCATGAATGAGTCTGGGGAAATATTGGGCTCATTGCAACTGGAGGGTCTGGTAGGACTGATGTGAATTAGGTGCTGTGTCCGGAGGAAAATGGCCAGAGGAAGTGGGCTGCTTTGTACAGTCAGTGGTAAAGTTGCCAAAGGCTATTATAGCTCACAGGAATGGGCCAAGGCTAAACACTCCTGTGGAGTGAAATGAATGTCCTCAGCTGACTGAGGCAGCGGGAGTTGAAAAGAAACGATATTAGTTCATGGTGAAGACAAGTCAAATATAGATAAAGGTTAGGGTCAGGCTTGCCTGGACATCTAGGAGATAACTGCCCTCAACTTGTTTGAATCTTGAGTCACTGCTCCATTTTGTTTGAACTGGTGGCCATCTACTTATAGTATACAGCCATCAACCTGAGATTTCCCTACATGGTCTTCCTGCCTTGGTCTCCTGTATCCTGAATCCTATGGCCTCTTCTTCCCTGGTTTACTACATTTTGCTAGACCGTATCCTCCAGTCAATTCCTTAGAATGAATGTATGAAAGTTAAAATTTCTGAGGTCTCACATGTCTTAAAGTTCCCTCATACTGGATTGATAGTTTGGCTGGGTATAAAATTCTGGGCTGGCCATCATTTTCCTTCAGAATTTTGATTGCATTATTCCATTATCCTCTCTTTTCAATATTGCTTCTAAGAATTCCAAAACCTTTTTTTTTTTTTCTTTTTGAGACAGTGTCTCACTCTGTCACCCAGGCTGGAATGCAGTAGTGTGATCTCAGCTCACTGCAACCTCCACCTCCTGGGTTTAAGTGATTCTTCTTCCTCAGCCTCCTGAGCAGCTGGGATTACAGGCACCCACCACCACACCCTTTAGTAGAGATGGGGTTTTGCTATGTTGGCCAGGCTGGTCTTGAACTTCTGACTTTAGGTGATCTGCCTACTTCGGCCTCCCAAAGTGCTGGGATTAAAGGCGTGAGCCACCACACCCAGCCTCCAAAACCATTTTAAAACTCTTTCTGGAAGCTTTTAAAATTTTCTTTTAGTCCCCAGAATTTTAAAATTTCAATTATGTGCCTTGGTGTTCTTCCATTATGTTAGTCACCCAAGAGGTACTTTCAATCTGGAAACTTCTCTATGTTTTGGGAAATGTTCTTGATTAGTTTACAGGTGATTTCTTCCTCTCCATTTTATCTCTTCTCTTTTCATGAAACTACTATTAATTCAATGTTAGAATTCCTTGACTGATCATTTAATTTTCTTCTATTTTCCATCTCTGTGTCTTTTTGCTCTACTTTTCTATGATAGTCACAGCTCTATCTTTAAACTCTTGAGTTTTTCATTTTTGATGTCATGATTTTAATTTGCAAGGGGTAGGTTTGACTGATTCTTTTTTGTAGTATCTTACTCTTGTTTTATGGATGCAACATCTTCTTTGACTTAAGGATCATAAGATAGGTGGGTTCTTTGTTTGTTTGTTTGACTGTTTTTCACCCTATGTAAACTTTTTCTACAAGTTTCTTTCCCCTTCCCCCCTTTTTGGCTTCTATCTCCCACATTAGATGCTTTCTCTGGGCTCATGATACTCTTTGGTTTTCTTTCTCAAGATTGACAGGTAGGACTTTAAAACTTGTTGAGCATGCGGGTGAAACTTGTCTACCATGAATTTCACTGTAGATATTTTGGAGATTGACAGTGTTTATATCTTTAGATCTCGCCTCCTGGGTTGATCAAGTTATCTGAGTACACCACAGACCTTTTGCCTGGGGATAAACCAGAAATCTGTTTCAGAAACCACTTTGATTCAGTCTTCCTTGTTTTAGTCATTTCCTTCAGTTCCGGAGGTCCCTCATGCTGATCATTCCAGAGCCCTTTACAGATCCTAGGGTACACACTGCATGGTTTTCAACTTTCTTGTTTTGGGGTTAAGATTTGGCTTTCAGGAGTCTCCTCAGTCCGTTACTATTCATTCAATCAGCAAGTCCTTGAGCACCTGATTTGTGCCAGACATTCTTCTAGGTGTTAGGGATACCTCAGTGAACAAAACAGACAAAAATCTTTGTCTTGGAAATACACACACTCCAGTCAGGGGAGAGGGACAATAAGCCAAAGGAAGGAAATTACAGCGTGTGCTAGAAGGTGATAAGTGCTGTAGAAAGTAAGTAAAGTGGGTTTGGGAGTTGAGAGTTTGGGAAGGGGATAAATGATGGCAATTGTAAATAGAGTAGTCAGAGTTCTCACTTAGAAGGTGAAATTCAAGTAAAGACTTGAAGGAGGACAGGGAATTAGCCACATGGATGGCTAGGGGAAGGCTTCCAAGCTGAGAGGACAGCCAGAGCCAAGGCCCAGAGGCAGGAGCATACCTGGTAGTTTTAGGAAACAGGAGGCCAGGATGCTGAGTGGAGTAAGAGGGGGCATGAAAGGAGAAACTTGGGTCCACGTGGTTCTAGACAGGTATTTTTGTCTGTTTTGGGCCCTGAAGGTTACTATTGGACTTGGACTCTTACTCTGAGGAAATAGGGACGCTATTGGGACGTTTGTACAGGAGCAATGTGACCTGAGTTTTGTTTGTAAAGGATTAGACTCTGGCTGTGGCATTAAGGCTAGGCTGTGGGGGCAGGAACAGAAGCAGGGGGACCAGTTTTGCAGCCTGTGCAGCTTTCCAGATAAGCAGGGATTGTGGCTTGGAGGAGGATGGTATAGAGGAGGTGACAAGAAATGACTCTATGTCTGGTATGTAGATATTGGCCACAGATGGCATTTGAGCACTAGAGACCTGGCTGGTCCACATGGAGTTTCCATAAGCACATAATACACATCAGATTTCAAAGACTTAATATGAAAGAAAGAATGAAACGTACCTTGCTATTTCTTTCTTTTTTTTTTTTTTTTGAGACCCAGTCTTGCTCTGTCACCCAGGCTGGAGTGCAGTGGTGTGATCTCGGCTCACTGCAACCTCCGCCTCCCAGGTTCAAGTGATTCTCCTGCCTCAGCCTCCTGAGTACCTGGGACTACAGGCACCTGCCACCACGCCTGGCTAATTTTTTGTATTTTTAGTAGTGATGGGGTTTCACCATGTTGTCCAGGCTGGTCTGGAACTCCGGACCTTAGGGGATCTACCCGCCTTGGCCTCCCAAATTGCTGGGATTACAGGCATGAGCCACCATGCTCAGCCATATCTTGCTATTTTCTACATGGATTACATGTTGAAATGGTAATGTTTTGGCTATTGTGGATTAAATAGAATATATGATTAAAGTTGATTTCATCTATTTCTTTTAACTTTAAAAAATATGTCTGTTAGAGGATTTGAAATTCCACATGCGGCTTGCATTTGTGACCTGCATTTCATTTCTGTGGAACAGTGCCCTTTTTGGGACATGCTTTGAAGGTGGAGTCAACAGGATTTGGCAGATTACAGACGAGAGGCTTCAAGGGTGACTCCAAGACTTCGGGGCAG
The DNA here is from genome assembly GCF_000001405.40 of Homo sapiens. Taxonomy (NCBI): domain Eukaryota; kingdom Metazoa; phylum Chordata; class Mammalia; order Primates; family Hominidae; genus Homo; species Homo sapiens. Next base: position 50,707,283 of record NC_000016.10, read on the forward strand.
AGCACCTGGAAGAAAGGGGTTAATATTAGCCAAGATGAGGAAGGCTGTCGGTTTGGCAGGTGCATGGGCAGGTTAGGAGTTTAGTTTTGAATATGTTGGAGGTGTTTATGAAACTTTTAAGTGGAGATGGAAAATAGGCAGTTGGATGTGCAAGTCCAGGGTTCAGGGAGACAGTTCAGGCTGGAGATGAAGATGTGGGAGTCTGAGGAGAGATTGTATTCAAATATTCAATCCATGAGACTTGATGAAATCACTTCTCTTCCAAATGATTTACAGCCTGCAGAATCATTTTCCCTATCTTTGTAGGTTTATGTCTTCATTTTGTTTCATTTATTTTTCAGTTATTCACTGTTTTAGTGAGTTTTGAGTAGGAGCCAGATTGGATGCATGCGTTCAATTCACCATCCAACACTGTATTAACTACTTGAAACTCATGTGGTTGTTCGGTTGTTTTTTTGACCTTTTATTCTGGATGGAAGAGAGATGCTTATGAAGTTGCAGTAATCAGTAAGCCTTCCCACATTGCTCCATCAGCCTTCCTGGAAGAATAATGTCTTCTGCCTTTCCTGTAGGCAAGAAGGCTGCTTGATCTTGCCACGGTGAAAGCGAATGGATTGGCTGCCTTCCTTCTACAACATGTTCAGGAATTACCAGTCCCATTGGCCCTGCCTTTGGAAGGTAGGTGTATGTTCTCAGTTAATCAGAAAGGGAAGGGCAGTCAGTGCAGATCCATGGTTAAGAGCAGAACACACCTCGGTTAACATCCCATATGCTGGCAGTATAGCCTCCCTATGACTCAATTTCCTTGTTTTAAGGCTAGCACCACCCCGTCTCATTGGGATTTTGGGAGCATTAAAAGGACAAAAGCGTGTAATGTTAGCTATTAGCTTTCATTATCTCCCACACAGTATACTGACAATTGGGCTACCATATATTGAGGGCTAACTAAAGGTGTTACTTACCATCCAAACTCTCATTATCTGTACCGAAAAGATATGGACACATGTTTTGAGTTAGGGCTGGTATCTCTTGATCTCTGAAATTTAGCAGCTCACAATGGGAAACTCAAGAACCAAGTGGATCTAGAGACTCTGGTATCCCTCAGTGCCCAGGGTCACCACCCAAACTCAGGAACAGGAGGGGCTTGGACCGCACCACTTGAACATACCAGGCATCCTGCCAGGTGCTTTATGGACAATGTCTACCCTTTGCAACAACCCTGAGAAGTAGGTGGTGTTTTTTTCCACCTTATAGATGTGGAAACTGGGCAGGGAGGTTAAGTGACGAGGGAGGGGAAGATGGGTCTGATTGTAAATTGTCCCCACCTACACTTTCTCTTTTCTTGGGAGAAGAAATGTCAGTTGTAAAGAGAGAGTGCAAGCCTGGCACTCTTTAGGGCTTGTTCCTACACCACTGTAGGGAAAGCTCATTGGCACTGAAGCCCCCTGAGCTGTGTGTGGTGCTGGCAGATGGGTCTATCACCCTGGGCTGTGTCCTCTGGGCAGCAAGCAAGCCTGTGGGCGGGGTGGCTGGAAGTCTGTGCCTGGCACTCGCGAGTGCACCGTCTCATTGAAGAACAGGATCTAAACATCAGTGCGCCACAGCAGGGTGCGCGGCACGGAGTGCAGGCCCTGGTTTGGCCCTTGGTTGAGGTTTGCTGTTGACATCATCAAGCACAGCTAGTCACTGTAAGACCAGGCCAGGGTGCAAGATTCCCCACACTTCTAAAGGTGACAATTGGTGTGTTTATTTCTCTATAAAATGACATTTTTTTTTTCTGGAGAATTTTAGTATCATTGGTGATGACTGGAAAACCTGCATCAGAAATCAGGTCGGAAGAGGAAGATATATATCTGATATGTACTGGAGAGGAAGATATCTATCTTATGGTCTAAGTTCAGGGATCCTGGTATATTCAGAGGGCAGAAAGCTCAGCAATAATCATCAACTCTGGGAACAGAGGTGACATAAACACAGGGCGTCCCCTTTGTGTGACTGCAGATAGTCATCAGTGAGCTCAGAGCTCTATGAAAATTACTTGCTAGTTTTTGGGTTGAAAATAGTGGGCCAGTGTTTGGTTGGGGGCAGTGAGGCTGTGATGGCGGGGGACCATGCCAAGCTCCTACCAGCCTGGGACGCTAAACCAGCACTTCCCCATTTCCTGAAAGGGGAACTAAACTCTGACACAGGAAATGGTTTGCTTGCATTACTTTCAGGATGAGAAAGGAAGAGCACTGGCCTTCCAAACACACCCCGTGCATGAAAACTCTCCCTGCATGGGGTGCATGGGGAGGATGGGGAAGTGGAGGCAGGATCACAGACTCTTGTTCGAGTGCTCAGCTGGGGCACCCCGGTGACCCCGAGGCCTTCCCTTGCTAGGTCCACCCAGATCAATCAGGATCATCTCCCCATCTCGAAGTTTAACTTTATCACATCTCAGAGTTCCTTTTGCCACGTAAGGTAACATATTCACAGGTTCTGAGAATCCGGACATGGACATCTTTGAGGGTCTATTGTTGTGCCTACTATATCCATGAATAATAATGATAATAAGCACCATTTTTTGAGAGTTTGCCATGTCAGATATTCTTTTAAACTGTATTTTATCTCGCTGCCTCCTGAAAAAATCCTTCCAGGTGTATATTGTCCCCATTTTTACAGATGAGAGAACTGAGGCCCAGAAAGGCTAAATGGCTTGCCCAAGTGTATGGTGGACCCAGGTTTTCAAACTCAGGTGTGTCTGGCTTCAGAGACTGGGCTCCTGAGCCCTTAAGCCCTTTGTTCCCCTTTAGAAAAAGTCACCTGAGGCTGAGTGGTGAAGGGATTTATCCAAAGCCACCCGGCCACTATGGCAGGACAGATATCAGAATACAGGTCTTCCGATCCCAGCCCAGAGCCCCTTCCCGTCATCTAGAACTCCTCCTGGTGTCAGTAATGATAACGGCAGTCACTGATGTCTTTTGAGCACTTACTTTGTGTTGAGCACTTACACTGTGCTAAGCACTTGACATAGGTCATCTTAGTTGATCCGTGTAAAACTCTGTGAGGTAGTGACCAACATTTCTCCCACCTTACAGAGGTGGAAACTGAGGGTTAGGAAGTTTCCTTGACTGTCCTCAAAGTGCACAGCTTGTGAATGGAGGAGCCAGGATGGGCGCCCGCTGGCTCTCCTATCCCTTCAGTTATGTCAGCGTCCCCCGCAGCAGCCCATTGTCTGGTTAGGTCCCGTCTTCACCATGGTGCCACCTTCATCTGCCTCTTCTTCTGCCTTCCAGCTGCCACATGCAAGAAGTATATGGCCAAGCTGAGGACCACGGTGTCTGCTCAGTCTCGCTTCCTCAGTACCTATGATGGAGCAGAGACGCTCTGCCTGGAGGACATATACACAGAGAATGTCCTGGAGGTCTGGGCAGATGTGGGCATGGCTGGACCCCCGCAGAAGAGCCCAGCCACCCTGGGCCTGGAGGAGCTCTTCAGCACCCCTGGCCACCTCAATGACGATGCGGACACTGTGCTGGTGGTGGGTGAGGCGGGCAGTGGCAAGAGCACGCTCCTGCAGCGGCTGCACTTGCTGTGGGCTGCAGGGCAAGACTTCCAGGAATTTCTCTTTGTCTTCCCATTCAGCTGCCGGCAGCTGCAGTGCATGGCCAAACCACTCTCTGTGCGGACTCTACTCTTTGAGCACTGCTGTTGGCCTGATGTTGGTCAAGAAGACATCTTCCAGTTACTCCTTGACCACCCTGACCGTGTCCTGTTAACCTTTGATGGCTTTGACGAGTTCAAGTTCAGGTTCACGGATCGTGAACGCCACTGCTCCCCGACCGACCCCACCTCTGTCCAGACCCTGCTCTTCAACCTTCTGCAGGGCAACCTGCTGAAGAATGCCCGCAAGGTGGTGACCAGCCGTCCGGCCGCTGTGTCGGCGTTCCTCAGGAAGTACATCCGCACCGAGTTCAACCTCAAGGGCTTCTCTGAACAGGGCATCGAGCTGTACCTGAGGAAGCGCCATCATGAGCCCGGGGTGGCGGACCGCCTCATCCGCCTGCTCCAAGAGACCTCAGCCCTGCACGGTTTGTGCCACCTGCCTGTCTTCTCATGGATGGTGTCCAAATGCCACCAGGAACTGTTGCTGCAGGAGGGGGGGTCCCCAAAGACCACTACAGATATGTACCTGCTGATTCTGCAGCATTTTCTGCTGCATGCCACCCCCCCAGACTCAGCTTCCCAAGGTCTGGGACCCAGTCTTCTTCGGGGCCGCCTCCCCACCCTCCTGCACCTGGGCAGACTGGCTCTGTGGGGCCTGGGCATGTGCTGCTACGTGTTCTCAGCCCAGCAGCTCCAGGCAGCACAGGTCAGCCCTGATGACATTTCTCTTGGCTTCCTGGTGCGTGCCAAAGGTGTCGTGCCAGGGAGTACGGCGCCCCTGGAATTCCTTCACATCACTTTCCAGTGCTTCTTTGCCGCGTTCTACCTGGCACTCAGTGCTGATGTGCCACCAGCTTTGCTCAGACACCTCTTCAATTGTGGCAGGCCAGGCAACTCACCAATGGCCAGGCTCCTGCCCACGATGTGCATCCAGGCCTCGGAGGGAAAGGACAGCAGCGTGGCAGCTTTGCTGCAGAAGGCCGAGCCGCACAACCTTCAGATCACAGCAGCCTTCCTGGCAGGGCTGTTGTCCCGGGAGCACTGGGGCCTGCTGGCTGAGTGCCAGACATCTGAGAAGGCCCTGCTCCGGCGCCAGGCCTGTGCCCGCTGGTGTCTGGCCCGCAGCCTCCGCAAGCACTTCCACTCCATCCCGCCAGCTGCACCGGGTGAGGCCAAGAGCGTGCATGCCATGCCCGGGTTCATCTGGCTCATCCGGAGCCTGTACGAGATGCAGGAGGAGCGGCTGGCTCGGAAGGCTGCACGTGGCCTGAATGTTGGGCACCTCAAGTTGACATTTTGCAGTGTGGGCCCCACTGAGTGTGCTGCCCTGGCCTTTGTGCTGCAGCACCTCCGGCGGCCCGTGGCCCTGCAGCTGGACTACAACTCTGTGGGTGACATTGGCGTGGAGCAGCTGCTGCCTTGCCTTGGTGTCTGCAAGGCTCTGTAGTGAGTGTTACTGGGCATTGCTGTTCAGGTATGGGGGAGCACCATCAAGGCTAAGTGTGGGAGCACCGAGCTGGGCTCTAGAAGTCTGGGCCCAGCTTCGCCTCTGCCACCCTGCTTTGCAACACTGCCCAGATCCCTTCCCTTCTGGGCCTTAATTTCAATATGTGATGATGACAGCCACACTTTATTGACTGGCCTATGTGCTGGGTCTGGTGCTATGCTTTCCGGAATGACCTCATCTAATCTCTACAACCACCCTGGCGGGTAGGCAGGAATGTTATTATCTCCATTATCCTTGACTTGAGGCTCAGAGAAGTGAAGTAACTTGTCCAGGAAATGGCAGAGCTGGGGTTCACAAATTGCATCATTCTGATTACAGGTTTTCTGCCTCCCACCAGTCTATGGATACACTTCAGAGGCTCCCTGAAAACCTTGAGGTCACTTGCAGAAAGTTTTGTGTAGTATGTGTCCGTATCAGGAACAACACCAAATCAGAGGTGACTTGTGCCCCATCAGAGACTTTAACACCCCAACCAGATGGGAATTTCAGGACCCAAGAAATAGAAAGTGGCTGCAGGGTTACAACTACTGTTGGATTCCTGAGGTAGCACAGTGTCCAAACAGGATTTCAGCACTACCCGTATTGCTTAGAGCCCCAGCCAAAGATGTGAGGTTTTGCCCTTTGGAGAATCTGTGCCCCTGAACTCGGGGGCCTCTTTCCACATCTTGGGGGCAGGCAAGGGCAGAGGGTGTGCCTAGGCCTGCGGATCAGCATGCGACAGATTCCCCAACATCCTTCCAGCTTGAAAGGGGATTGCCCTGCTTCTATTTAGAACCTATAGGAAAGCAGAAGTTCTAGATTGAAGTTAAAATTGATTCCCAGCCTCCAGGGGCTTTGGGCTACACCTGGATGACCTTAATTGACCCTAAGCATGGGACAAACCACTTCCTGAGAGTATTAGGATGGTATACATCTTCTCTGGGGGCAAAGCAACAAGATTTATTTTTCATCATGGACCAAACACATGGATACCCACTAGAAACTGTGTAGTGAATTTTGTTAACCCTGACATAGGGACCATGGTCTTTAGGTTAAAGCATAATAACAACATAATACATAACATATATAGCGAATATATATATGTATTATATGCAATGAATGTAAATATGATTATACCCATCATGGTCTTGGAGGAAACAGATGACACACTTAAAATGGGTGTTTTGAGGAGAGTTTGAAAAACAGATTGTTTACAAGCCATGGGCAGGAGTTAGGAAGAGTGAGAGGGTTGGTGCAGGGGCCTGGGGTTAGTAACAGCTGGGGGAGGGTAGACTTGAAGGGGGAAGGGGAGGGAGACTAATTAGCTGGGGGGAAGGTATGGAGACGGCTGCCTGAGCTTCTGCAAAGTGGAAGAATACCGCTTGGCCCTAACTCCTCACCCCAACTCTTGCTCCTGGCCAGCGCCTTCCACCAGCTGGACCCATCAGGGAGGCCGAGTGGGCTGTCTGCTGGAGTAGTCCCCAGGCATCAGCCTCCCAGGAGCCAGGGACGGGTAGAGAAGGGGGAGAGTGGATCTGGCCAGGCAAATGGAAAACAGCCAGCACCAAACTCTATTTCCCTAGGAGGGAGGATCATGATACTTTGAGTGGGAATTTGGAAACCTGTCTGTTGGAGCAATTTCCCTGATAGAAATAAGAATGTGCATTTTCCTGGGTAGTAGACTCAGTTTTTACCCCAAGAGGCCAGGCATCACTGGCCTGTGTGATCCTCATAGGCCAGTCCATCTCTGGAATTCTTGAATGGATCATCCATCCTTGATTAGGGATGTCCCCGTGATTACCAGGGTGTGCAGAAGGGCTCTGGGAAACCTGTGGGTCTGTCTCTGTGTTCAGAGAAAGGTGAGGGTGGCCTGGTTCTAGCTCATGGTGCTCAGACTGTGGTGTGTAAAGGCACTCGTGGCAATGCAGATTCCTGGGCCTGCCTCTAGTGATTCCCATTCAGTAGGTTTGGGGTGGGGCCCAGGAAATCTATATTTTTCACAGACACCCCTGGTGATTCTGATACAAGTGGTCTCGCCCTGGGAGAACTACTGGTCTGCAGCAACCAGCTTGGTTTTCCATTAGCAATTACTGTCCTTGAGCGAGTTTTACTGCTCTTCACCTTACACACACTAAAACTGCCAAGGCCGTAGGGGAGGGGAAGCAACCATGAGGTTGCTGTGAGTGCACTGTGTGTGTGTGTGTGTGTGTGTGTGTGTGTGTGTGTGTGTATGAGAGAGAGAGAGAGATTGAGAAAGAGAGGAAGGGAGGAAGGGGGAGGGCACAGGCTCCTCTCCCACAGTGCCAACCTGCCTCTCTCCCACTTGAAGTGTTTCCATGCCAACTGAAATCCTCAGCCTCTAGGAAACCCTATATACACAGTGCCCCTATATAGGTTTCTTTAGACTCTGGCTCTCTCAGACTCTAGAGTGATGGCTTTAAAAGTTTTTTGAATGTTACCCACAATGATTGAGAAAGAGAGAGAGAGAGCACGCACCACCATGTAAACATGGAACCTAAGTTTCACAAAATGACTTCGCTTTATGAACTCTGAGACACTCTGCTCTCTTCTGTTCTGTTCTATTTCCATTTTAGAAATGCTGCTCAGGACCTTCAAAATGATTTGCATGACCTGCAACCTGCAGTCTGAAAAATCACTGCACTACAGAAGTGGCCATAAGAGGCCCTGAGGGAGAAGCTGCACAATGTCATGGTTAAGAGTGGGGTTTGGAGCCAAGCCGCCTAGGCTCAAAGCCTTTATGTGCCGTACAACCTTGGCAAAGTCACTTCGCTTGTCTGTGCCTCAGTTTCTTTCTCACGAATGCTCATAATAATGGTTCCCATTTCACTGGCTTGTTGTGAGGATGAAATAGTGTTATTATTGAGAAGTGGTAAGGGTAGTGATCAGTGCTAGCGATCATGATTCTAGGTGACTTTTACTGTGTACCGGGTGCTCACAAGGCTTTATGTGCACAGCCTGGTGAGGCTGATAATACTATTGTTCCCTCTTTTTTTTTTTTTGAGACGGAGTCTCGTTCTGTTGCCCAGGCAGGGGGTACAGTGGCACAATCTCGGCTCATGCAAGCTCTGCCTCCCGGGTTCACGCCATTCTCCTGCCTCAGCCTCCCAAGTAGCTGGGACTACAGGCGCCTGCCACCACGCCCGGCTAATTTTTTTGTATTTTTGGTAGCGACAGGGTTTCACTGTGTTAACCAGGATGGTCTCGATCTCCTGACCTCGTGATCCGCCCGCCTCGGCCTCCCAAAGTGCTGGGATTACAGGCGTGAGCCACCGTGCCCGGCCTGTTCCCTCTTTTATAGATGAAGAGACCAGCAAATAACTAGTAAGTCGCTGATCAGGATCACAATATCCAGCTGAGGCACTCCAGAGCCTGAGCTGTTAACCATTCAGTCAGGGCCTCCCAAGTTTGCCTAAAGATAAAGAATCATGTGCACAGTTGTTAAAATATACAGATTCCTGGGCCCCACCCCGCAGATACTTGATTGCCAGCTCCAGGGTATGGGCCTGAGAATCTGTCTTTTAGGGAAGCTTTCAGATGATGTTGTGATCAGGTGAGTTTTGGGAATGGTGCCCCAAGAGGAGTGGCAGACAGGGCTTGCTCGGCAGGGACTAGCCTGTTGGAGTGGTGCCATTGGGGTTAAGGACTGGGCAGCAGGGCCTCACTAACCACAGCCTATATGCCTGTTTCTGAAGTTTTGGCCACTCTCATCCAGCTGGTCTACTGTCTGCTGACCTAGATGATGGTAAATTGTCCCCAGGGGTAGCCTGTCTAGTTCAGGCTGCACCTTTCGCATATATCAGCTCCTTTCCACCATCATCCCCTTTGTGAGGCTGCTGTGATTATCATGTTCCTTTTGCAGAGATGGAAACATTGCCTCAAATTAGCTCTGTCATTTCCTAAGGATTCCAGGGTTCTTTAGTAGGGGGTCTGGATCCTACGTCCTGGGCCATCCCCATCATAGTGCACCACGTCACCTCCCTGGCCAGGGACCGTGGGGTCTCCACTTTTTTGGGGTGCTCCATCTATGCAGGGTTTCCTGGAAGCACAGATGCTGGCACTTCAGGGATGAATGAAAGTCTTTTTGGGGGATTTGTAGATTTTTTTCTTGTCTTACTAGCTCCATTTTCAAATGTATTTATTTTGTCTCTTTAGTTTGCGCGATAACAATATCTCAGACCGAGGCATCTGCAAGCTCATTGAATGTGCTCTTCACTGCGAGCAATTGCAGAAGTTAGCGTAAGTCAGCCTGGGCTGTGGACAATGGGCTCCAAGTGCCCTGGTCTCACCCCAGGTCGTGCAGCCTGGGAAGCTGTGAGTGATGGGCTGGGGCAGGGGCTGTTTGCATGATGGGGGGTGCAGGTGATTCCTGCCCAGAGGGGAAGGGCAACCCTGGGATTTGGTGCTCACTGTCCAATGTGCTTTGCTTCTGTGTCTCCTCTCTTCTGGAACTGAACAGTCTATTCAACAACAAATTGACTGACGGCTGTGCACACTCCATGGCTAAGCTCCTTGCATGCAGGCAGAACTTCTTGGCATTGAGGTGAGCCCAGGTTTTCCTTATTCCCTGGAAACTATTTTTTGCCCCATTCCTGAGTCAGTCTGATCTGGTCTTGGCCTGGCACTGCCCACACTGGCTCCTGACCTCCTGATTGAATGCAGGGACAGTGTCTCATTTTAAGCAGGGGTTCTCTAATGCTGTGATCTCCCCAGTAAACTCTGGACTAGCTCTGCTGAGGACTTCCTGTCTTTTGACCTTTAGCCCGTAGGGCAAGAAAGCTTTTCTAGGCCCCTTTCCTTTTCTGTGTCTAAGAGTGTCACAGCTTTCTGGGTTTACTGAGTTCCACGATGCATGTTGAGCTCGTCCTGGTGGGGGAGGCATACACAGTTACTTGCCACCCCAGCTGTGGCAGCGAGTTGCTGCAACACTCCCAGGAGGTCCTTTCACCACTCAGAGCATGCAAGGTTTGCAGTCCATCTGGTTCTGCATTTCTGCTACTCCAGTGTCTCCCAGTTTCAACAGGAGTCTCTCTCTCTCCTACCTGATGCCTTTAAATTGCCCCTCTAGCTGGCCGCTGGGTTGGCCTGGCTTCTCTCTCCTTCTCTCTCTCTCAGATATTCTTGCCTCCTGTGATTTGTGAGGCAGTAAAAAAAGACAAAGTAAAGAATTGCTTCCATCTATTCTTTTACCTCTTGGGCTGGGTTTGTGGATGGGAGCCGCCATTTTAAAATGGCGGGCCACATAGCTCAGTCTCGGCAAGGGCTACTGAGATCAGAACCACAGGTGCCAATTTGTACAAAGGACTCAGTCCTGCTACCACTGCCTGATCCCTCAGACTCACAAGCCTGGAATAGGCTGTGGCCAGACCTGGCTGGCCCATCCCTGAGAAGGGTGCTAGTTTCAGAAATGGAGGCTGAGTTTGTGGCCAACACAGTAGTCCTCCGGTATGTGCAGGAGAGATGTTCTAAGACCCCAGTGGATGCCTGAAACCATGGAGAGTATCAAGCCCTACACATACCATGCTTTTCCCAATACCTACACACCTGCAATAAAGTGTAGTTTATAAATTAGGCACAGTAAGAGAGTAATAGCAACTCATAATAAAATAGAACAATTATAACAATCAATGTACTATAATAACACTATGTGAATGTGGACTCTCTCCATCTCCCTCAAAATATCTTCTTGTACTGTACTCACCCTTCTTCTTGGGAAGATGTGTGGTGGTAAAATGCCTGTGTGATGGGAGGAAGTGAGGTGGATGACGCATGCAGCACTGTGCTCTAGCGCTGGGCTGCTGTTGACCTGACCACACTTCAGGAGGAGAATCATCTGCTCCCAGAGATCCCTAATCTTTGAGCAACAATGAGGTCGGCAGCTGGATGTCAGGAGCAGACGATCTTGATGATTACCAAATGGGAGCGTATAGAGCGTGGATGCGCTGGACGGGGGGCTGATTCACGTCCTGGGTGGGATGGAGCTGGATGGCACGTGATCAGAATAGCATGCAATTTAAAATGTATGAATTGTTTATCTCTAGAATTTTCCATTTAATATTTTTGGACTGCAGTTGATTTCAGATAACTGAAACCATAGAAGGCGAAGCTGCGGATAAGCAGGGGGCAGGGATTACCGTATATCATTGTAATAGAGAGCACAGGCTCTGGAGCCAGACTGCCCGAGGTTTGAACCCTCATTAGCTGCGTGACCTCAGGTCAGCCCAATGTCTGTGTGCCTCCGTTTCCCCTTCTGTAGAATGGAGGTAATAACCCTGGCTACCTCACAGGCTGTAGTGATGAGCAAGCAAGTTAATCCACATGAAGGGCTGCACCGTCTGGCAGGGGCTTTATATAGTAAGCGAGTGGCTGAAAGATGATGGGTAAATCACACAAGCACTCAGCTTGTTTCTCCTTATGTGAGTCCGGTCCTCCAAGCAGGGATTCAATGTGCCACCCATTTATTGGGGAAAAGTCCTAAAAGGGGAAGTGGGGAAGGGAGCTGGGGGAGGCTGGGAGGTGTGTCCCTGAGTGAAGGAGAGAGGGAAGGAAGGAAGGTTGAGACTGGGCACCTTGGACTTCAGTGCAGTCCTAAGACATCTTGGCAAGGCTGATGAGGAGTTCTTGAACCAAATTCACCAGGCAGGGGAGCCTGATGTCTCAGGCAGGGGCTGGCAAGTGCAGATGCGAGGATGTTAGATTTTGGAGCACAGCAGCTGGGGCCCTTGGCTACCTCCAAGGAGCTGAGGCTGGAGACCTGAAAGGCGAGTTCTCCTAGCTGCCACACCCCTTCTCCAAGGATACAATAATATCTGCCTTATAGGATTGTTGTGAGCTGAGTGGCTTGACGTTCCTTGAAAGAATGAAAGCGTATAGTTATCCCAGGAAGCCTAGGGTTGCAGGTGAGAGCTCTGGGGCTTCTCCGAAGCTCTCCGAGGTGTCTGGATTCAGTTGCAGCAGGAGCCTTCCTTGCTGGGATCTTCCCCCACCCCTAGCCTTGGCCCTCCCTCTCTCCTTCCTTTCTGGAAGGCTCAGTGGGCCCCACCCCTCCCTCCAGCCACCTGGACCTGCCCAGCGCTCTTGTGCAACAGGTAAAGCCTACCTGTAGCAACAACAGATCTGGGAAGGCTGCAGAGGGCACGATGGGGTCTGGATCGAGGGCGGCTGAGACCAGAGGGAAAGGTGTGACCCTGAGTCACCCTCGCTGTCCCGGGGAAACCACCTCCCAGGACAGCTGCCTACTGTGGCTCCTGCCTGGAATTGTCACACTGCTGTGCAAACAGCGTCCCGCTGCCCCTTTCCCTTTGCTGGGGGAAAATGAAGTTGTGGGAGCCGCTGAGTAAACTAGACCTAGCAGCGAGGGCACCTGATGTGGCTGCTGCCTCCCGGGCAGGTCTTCAATGCTTTCTTCCTGTGTTTCCCTGGCCAGGGCACAGACGGCCCTCCTTTTCTGCCTGCCGCTGTGTTCTCTCAGCCTCCTCTGTCTTCCCTTCCAGGCTGGGGAATAACTACATCACTGCCGCGGGAGCCCAAGTGCTGGCCGAGGGGCTCCGAGGCAACACCTCCTTGCAGTTCCTGGGGTAGGTTGGATTCCAGGAAGAGGGACCTGCATGGAGGGGCTTGGGACTTTTGAGGATTTAGGGGCAGGTGAAACTCTTCAGCCAGGAGGCCCCAGAGGCAGCCCAGCTCCAGTGGGGAGGACAAGCCAGGGAGAGAGTGGGCGGCCCTTGACTGCCACCTTCATACTTGGTCTATGCCTGACAAACAGGAAGTTTGGGATGTTGGGGCTAGGGGAGGACAGTGCCCACGAGCTGGTGACAGGAAGCCCTCTGATCCTCAGGGGGCGCTAGGGCTGTACTTTAGCTGCATATTAAAACCACCTGGAAGCTTCTAAACACTATTGCCAGGCCTCCCACCCCAGACTGATGAAATGCAAATATCTAGGTGCAAGGCCCAGGTATCAGGAGTTTTAAAAAGCTTCCCAGGGGATGTACAGCCAGGGGTGAGGACCCCTGACCTAAGAAAGAGAAGGAAATGGGGAAGGATAGGAAGGCACCCAGGATAAGAGGGGCTGTGCTAGGTCCCTCGGAGCTCTTGCTCCCTGTAGGACCATGCTAGGGCCTGCCAGGGAGGGGAGTACCCCAACCTGCAGCCCCAGGGTGGGCTTCCTCTGTTTGCTAGGCACCCAGGCTTGCACCTGTGCTGTTTCCAGCAGCCTCTCTCCTATCCTGTCATGCCCTAGTGTGAACTGGAGTCCATTTGACAAGAACTGGGAGTTTTAGAACCTGGGACTGTAGGAAGAGAGAATAACCTTAGGGCCTAGGTGTTCCAGCCCATTTCACAGGGAGGCAAGTTGCCCCCAAGCTCAGTTTTTTGTTTTGTTTTGTTTTGTTTGAGATGTAGTCTCACTCTGTTGCCCAGGCTAGAGTGCAGTGGCACGATCTTGGCTCACTGCAACCTCCGCCTCCTTGGTTCAAGCGATTCACCTGCCTCAGCTTCTCAAGTAGCTGGGATTATAGGCACCCACCACCACGCCCAGCTAATTTTTGTATTTTTAGTAGAGACAGGGTTTCACCATGTTGGCCCGGCTGGTCTTGAACTCCTGATCTCAGATGATCCGCCCGCCTCGGCCTCCCAAAGTGCTGGGATTACAGGTGTGAGCCACCGCACCCGGCCCCCAAGCTCAGTTTGAGCCACAAATGGGACTATGTTGCTCTAGAAATCAACATCTTTTCCACACTGCATTAGTAGCAACAGAGTCTAGAACAAAGGAGGCCACAGCCCCACTGAACTCTCTTCTGCTTGAGGTCACATCTGCCACATCAGGGGTATTTACCTCTTTCAACACATATTTATTAGGGCACCTGTCTGGGCCAGGCGTTGTGCTAAAACCCCCAAACGCTGTCATATGATACAAAGTGTTCTGTAACTTGCTTGGTTTTTTTTTTTGTTTGTTTGTTTGTTTTGTTTTGTTTTTGTTGTTGTTTTTTTTTGCTTCGCCATATATTATAGGAATTTTTTTAGGTCATTATGACCTCTTTATTTACTTAATTATCTATTTATTTATTTTACTAATATTTACAGAAAGGGTCTCACTCTGTCACCCAGGCTGGAGTGCAGTGGTTGCAATCATAGCTCATTGTAGCCTTGAACTCCTGAGCTCAAGTGATCTTCCTACCTCGGCCTCCTGAGTAGCTGGGACTACAGGCACAAGCCACCATGCCTGGCCGATATTTTTATGTTTTGTAGAGACGGGGTCTCACTATGTTGCCCAGGCTGGTCTCAAACTCCTGGGCTCAGGTGATCCTCCCTCCTTTGCCTCCCAAAGTATTGGGATTACACAAGTGAGCCACCTTGCTCAGCCTGACCTCATTTTTCAAAGAGCTGCAGAGTGTTACATAATGTATTTAACTGGTCACTTTTTGATGACTATTAAGTTGTTTTCAGGTTTTTTGTTATTACAGTGTCATATCCCTGGGGCACAGAGCAGTGCTGGCACATAGCCAGAGCTCAATCGATACATACCTAATGAATGAAAGTACAGTGGACATCCTAATTCAGCCATTCTTTGCTAACTTGTGTACATACCTGTCCAGGGTAGGTCCCTAGAATACAGTCAATAAGTCAGAAGGTGTGAGTTGGGATCTACCTTTTGGAAAGGGATGTTTTCAAACTACAGTGAGTCAGAGGAGGATGGCCCAGAAGCTGGGGGAGTTGAAGCTGATGGCGTGAAGGAATTAGGGGTGTTAGGAAGAAGCAGGAGATAAAGAGCTAGCTTGCAGAAGAAGTGTTAGACTTGTTATGGGCAGGTACTGGAGGGTAGCTAAGGACTTGTGGGTGGCAGTTACCAGGAAGCGTATCTGAACTAAGTGTCAGAAAAAGTGTCACAACTGTAAATTACTCTTGTCAGTGAGTTCCTGTCCTTAAGGGTTAGGGCTGGGTAGCCCTCTACTATTCTCTAAGTCTGTAATGTAAAGCCACTGAAAACTCTTGGGTTAAGTTTGGCCATCCCACCCAAAAGATGGAGGCAGGTCCACTTTGCTGGGACCAGGAGCCCCAGTGAGGCCACTCTGGGATTGAGTGGTCCTGCCCCTCTGGCTGGGACTGCAGAGGGAGGAGGACTGTTAGTTCATGTCTAGAACACATATCAGGTACTCACTGACACTGTCTGTTGACTCTTTTGGCCTTTTCAGATTCTGGGGCAACAGAGTGGGTGACGAGGGGGCCCAGGCCCTGGCTGAAGCCTTGGGTGATCACCAGAGCTTGAGGTGGCTCAGGTAAGCTTCAGAGTCTATCCTGCAGTTTTCTTGGGGAGATCAGGTGAAGAGGGAGGAGCTGGGGCCAGTTCTGAAGGTCTTTGAACTTTATTTCTACCCCACAATGTTAGGCAATGGAGTAAGGAAAAAAGACCATTGGATTTCAAGAGAGGACACTCGAGTCTTTCTGGGTGACTTGGAAATGTCCCTTGTCCTCTCAGGGTTTTGATACAGTATCTGTAAATTGAAGATATTGGGCTGGATCAGGTACATTTTATCTTAAGGACCAATTCCAATCCATTGGTAGTGGGTGCCCAGTGCACCACATTAAAAAGAATTCTAAGGCTGCACCTGGGCTTAAAGAAGAGCACTATAATCAATTAGTGATGTCTAAAAAAGCTAAAAAAAAAAAAAAAAGAGCACTGCATTCAATTAGTGATGTCTAAAAAGGGTAGAAAAAAAAAAAAAAAGAAAAAAGAAAGAGCACCGCAATCAATTAGTGATGTCTGAAATGGAGCAGACCAGGAGAGCACCACGAATTTTGCCCTCCATAGGTTAGCTCATCTCTGAGGTCTTTCCCTGCTCTGACATACTTTTGTTCCATGATTACCTCCAGCCTGGTGGGGAACAACATTGGCAGTGTGGGTGCCCAAGCCTTGGCACTGATGCTGGCAAAGAACGTCATGCTAGAAGAACTCTGGTGAGTTTGGGGGATTCTCTGCTCTGGGGAAGTGGATCACAATCTCTGTTGATCCCCTGGCCTCATCCATAGGAGCGGTTGTGTGGACAGACAAAGGTGGATGATTGAGTGATTGACTGATTGATTGATTGTGTTTGTCTTTATATGTACTGAGTGGTATGAAGCTTATAGAGCCTGGTATGTACATGCTAATTTTTTTATTTAATAAAATATATGGGTTTGCTGGTTTGGTGACTGCCTCCACATGGCATAAGTGTTAAGAGCACAGACTCTGTAATCAAGCAGGCCGTGATCTTAGGCAAGTTAAATAACAATTTCAGAATCTCAAGTTTCATGTCTGTAAAATGAGGGTAAGAATACTTCCAACCATAAAGGATTTTTGCAAGAATTAGATAAAGTAGTGCCTGTGAAGACCTTAATATAGTGCCTGGCATATTTGTAAGTGCTCCATAAATGTTAAATTAGAATAATGGCAGGGTTACTACTACTATTACTGCTGCTGCTGCTGCTGCTGCTGCTACAACTACTATAGTACTGTGACTACTACTACTAATAAAGTTTTGTTATTTTAAAGTGATTTTGAGTTCCTAGGAGCACTGGGTATTCAAGTCTTAGGTCATTTTGGAAGGTGTAATGGAGTTTTGATAGTTGAAAGAGGAACCATGAATCATGCTTATACTGTTGACCTGAAGCAGATTCTAAGTTTCTCATCCTTTAGATGCCACTAGTATAGTTTTCTGACATGTTCTGGGCAGCTTCAGATTATGTCAGGGAGATAAAATACTGAATGTTTGATTTTCCCGGGAAGCAGAAAGGCACTGCAACATATGGGCATTGCCATAAACAGATTTTATGGATGGACCTTGGCTGTTGCAGGGCTTACTAGCTCTACTCAAGTATGATTGATTCTATCCTGACTGGATTTTGCCACTTGGAATTTCTTAGTAGAGGAGAACCTTGTTATGAGAGCATCAGTTATGATTACTGTTAAAAGAAAAACTTTAGGCAAATTAAATTTAGCAGAACTGGTTTGAACATACAGCAATTTATGAATTGGGCAGCATTCAGAACTGGGAGTGCTCCACCCAGCAAGGTAGGCAAGCAGTATCTATAGACAGGAAAAGGAAGTGATGTACAAAACAGCTTGATTGGTTGCAGCTGGGCATTTGCCTTATATGGGCATGGTGTGATGAGGCATTTTCTTTATATGGATATAGACTGATCAGCTGGTAGACTGTGACTGACTGAAGCCTGGCTGCTGTGATTGGCTAAGACTTAGCTGTTTGTTATAAGGATATGTTGTTAGGTTGCAGTTTGCTACATAGGAACTCAAAGTACAGAGGCAGTCTCAGGCCAAATTTAGTTTAACTATATGTTAAGCTGCAGGTGACAGAATACCTCCATCTATAGAGGTTTAAACAAGGAAAGGGTTTATTTTTTCCTGTATAGGCAGCTGGATGTAGGCAGTGTAGGGTTTGTACAGTGGCTACAAGAGGCCAGGAGGGGTCTCAGCTCTGTCTCATTCTCTTCCTGTTCCATCATTCTTAGCCTGTGACTTCATTCACATGGTTGGTTGTCTCATGATCACAGGATGGCTGCTCCAGGTGCAGCACTACTTCTGTATTCCCGGATTCGATCTATATACCCAGGAAAGCCATCTGGGTTCTCTCCTTTAAAAAGCATTCCTGGAAGCCCCACCTGTCGACTTCCCCTTATGTATCAACCATGTGTATGTCACTTGACCAACCCACTTGTATGTTGTTTGACCAGCCCTGGCTGCAATGGAGAGTGGGAAATACAGTTTTTTCACCAAGTGCATGGCTGTCCAAATGAAATGAGACTTCCATTAATAAGGAAGAAAGGAAAGATGGAGATCAGGAAGCTGGGGGATCAGGGAACTTATTACATTGAGAGCCCTTGGAGTGAATTCTCTTGCAAATATGTCCCTGGAATTGAGAATCCCCACAACGTACTTTATCTGTTCTTTCTTTATCCATGAGTTTGGGTTTTCAGATGTTGGATTTCCTATATGGGGGGCATGTGAGTTCATCATCTTCCATAATCAATGTTGTATCAACTGGATTTTCTCTCTTCTTCTCACCAGCCTGGAGGAGAACCATCTCCAGGATGAAGGTGTATGTTCTCTCGCAGAAGGACTGAAGAAAAATTCAAGTTTGAAAATCCTGAAGTAAGGAACCCATAAGCAGGAAACAGGACAATAATTGCTGGCCTTTGGAAGGGGCATTTCTGAATAAGATCTGGGCCGCTCTCCGCTGGGCTAACTCATGTGAGGTGGCCTGGTAGAACAGCTTGCCTTGGTCTAGGTGGACAAGGATTCCAGTGCAAGTTGTTTATCTGGGAGGTGGTCCCAGTAAATGCTGATAGGAGAGTGGTGAAGTGAGATGGGGAAGTGAAGGTAACCAATAAAGGGGAGTTATCAAGCCAGTTATCAATGAGGGAAATTGGAGCTCAGTACTCTGGGGCACTCCTGGAGCCAGTGCAGAACACACATGGTCACCTACCCAACCAATGGGCAAGAAAGCCATGGCATTTATCCACCAACCCTCTGTCCTTCCTATGTTGATGTGCGCTCATGGGGCACTGATTCTCCAGCACTTCCAGCTCACCCTCACCCAGCTGAACATGCTTCTGGGGTCAGGAGAATGGCCTCAGGCAGAGAGTGGAAGGTCTTCTCTGCAAGCAGTGGCTGGGGAGGTGATGTGATGGGGAGTACTGTGGCCTCCTCCAGTGGCTGACTCAGTGGCTTGGGACTTGTGCCACAAAGAGATGGACAGCTCAGGTGAACATGAACCCACCTAGTGACCATCATGGGTTTGTCAGGGTGCTCTCTGAGGCTGATGCCAAAATTCTTATTTCAAGTAGACCTCAGGAACCCCATCAGATGGCTCCTTTTGCTGGAGGAAAGTGGCATCTGCCTAGGCAAATGTGGTCCTAGGAAAACGCTTGCCTTTAGAGACAGACAGACAGACAGCTGCCTCTGTGAGTGCCAGCTTTGCTGCCAGGCTGCTACCCACTCTGGCGACACTCATTTGTGTTGCTTTCACAAGCTAGGAAGTTTCCAAATATTTGGAGAAAACACTTCCACTAATTATTTGGGTGGAAATGGGCTGGGAAGTTGGGGTGAAGCCCGGATGTGTCTGAGCCAGATGCCAGCTTTGCACTGAGGGTCGGCCTTTGGGAATACCAAGCCCATTATCAACCAGGTGTGGATATGGCAGGTTTGTCTTCCCTCCTTGTCACAGCCTTACTCCACTTGACTCCCATGGATGCCAGGCAATGAGGCTGGGGTTGGTCCCATGCCACCCTGTCATCAGCCTTATTTTTCAGCATCCTAAACTATATCATCCCCCACAAAAATTGAACTTCTGATATATCTTTTATAAAAAAGAGAAATGCCTACATCTTTCTTTTCCAGGCTTAGTTTCTGCCAAGAGTTGGTTGAGAGCCCAGGCTTGCTGGGTGCAGTGGCTCACACCTGTAATCCCAGCACTTTGGGAGGCTGAGGCGGGTGGATCACCTGAAGTGGGGAGTTCCATACCAGCCTGACCAACATGGAGAAACCCCATCTCTACTAAAAATACAAAATTAGCCGGGCGTGGTGGCATACACCTGTAATCCCATCTACTCAGGAAGCTGAGGCAGGAGAATCACTTGAACCTGGGAGGTGGAGGTTGCCATGAGCCAAGATCACACCATTGCACCCTAGACTGGACAAGAGAGAAACTTCCATCTCAAAAAAAAAAAAAAAAAGGATGAGAAAAATAATAATTTAAAAAAAAGAGTCCAGGCTCTGGAACCAGACAGCCTGGGTCTTACCCCTGCTCCACCATTACCAGCCAGTTCTTCTTGGATGAGTGCCTCAGTTGCCTCAAGTGTAAATGGAGATAATGGCTGGACCTTCATTATAGGCCATGAGCATTCACTGAGAGAATGTAGCTAACAAAAGTGAGTTGTAGGTTGGAGCAAAAGTAATTGTGGTTTCAGACCATGAACTTTAAATTATTATAACTAGGCTAAAATACATCTTTATTAATCAAAATAGGAACCATTAAAATCAACACATTTTTGCCAATAAGAAATAAGTTTGTTTATTCCTGTAGCATAAAAATTCATGCTTCGGGATTCAACAAACTCTTGGAAAGCATTTTCTGCATCCTCCTGGTTGTGGAAGCATTTTTCCTGCAGAAAGTTGTCAAGATTCTTGAAGAAATGGTAGTCAGTTGGCTAGAGGTCAGGTAAATATGGCGGATGAGGCAAAACTTCATAGTCCAATTCATTCAACTTTTGAAGCTTTGGTTGTGTGACATGCAGTCGGGTGTTGTCGTGGAGAATTGGACCCTTTCTGTTGACGAATGCCGGCTGCAGGTGTTGCAGTTTTCAGTGCATCTCATTGACTTGCCGAGCATACTTCTCATATGTAATGGTTTCGCAGGGATTCAGAAAGCTGTAGGGGATCAGACTAGCAGCAGACCACCAGTGACCATGACCTTTTTTTTTTGGTGCGAATTTGCCTTTGGGAAGTGCTTTGGAGCTTCTTCTCGGTCCAACCACTGAGCTAGTCATTGCCAGTTGTATAAAATCCACTTTTCATCGCACGTCACAATCAGATCAAGAAATGGTTCGCTGTTGTTGTGTAGAATAAGAGAAGATGACACTTCAAAATGACGATTTTCTTGGTTTTCACTCAGCTCATGAGGCACACACTTATCGAGGTTTTTCACCTTTCCAATTTGCTTCAAATGCTGAATGACCATGGAATGGTCGATGTTGAGTTCTCAAGTAGTTGTAAGAAAATCAGCTTTGATGATTGCTCTCAATTGGTCATTGTCAGCTTCTGATGGCCTGCCAGTACACTCCTCATCTTCAAGGCTCTTATCTCCTTCGCAAAACTTCTTGAACCACCACTGCACTATACGTTAGTTAGCAGTTCCTGGGCCAAATGCATTGCTGATGTTGTGAGTTGTCTCCGCTGCTTTACAACCCATTTTGAATTCAAATAAGAAAATTGCTTGAATTTGCTTTTTGTCTAACATCATTTTCATAGTCTAAAATAAATATAAAATAAACAGAAAGTATTAAGTCATTAGCAAAAAATCATAAAGTGAGAATTGTGCATTAAAATGATGTATAGCATAACCACATTTATTTAAGAATGTATTCCAATATCAAATGGCAAATTTCAACAATGCAAAAACTGCAATTACTTTTGCACCAATCTAATAGAAGTTCAATAAATACTGGCAATTACAATTGGCATTGCCTTAGGGTCAACTTGTAAGACATTCCTGAAATTGTGGGAAAGGGGGAGGACCTGGAGTGGACATTATTGGAAGGCAAAGCTGTAACCAAAAGAGCAACCTGGGAAACACATGACTCCTCTGTTGCTGTCCCTGGCCCTATCCTGTCTCCCCTCCCTGTTGTCAGCTACCTCATATGTTCTCTAATCTCTGTCTCTGTGCCCTCAAAGACCCCCCTGAAAATAGAAATATTACTGCTCATTGGTTATTTTCTATCAATTAAGTACTGTATTAGTCCGTTTTCATGCTGATGATAAAGATATACCCAAGACTGGGCACTTTATGAAAGAAAGAGTTTTATTGAACTTACAGTTCCACGTGGCTGGGGAGGTCTCACAATCATGGCTGAAGGTGAAAGGCACATCTCACATGGCAGCAGACAGGAGAAGAGGGCTTGTTCAGGGAAACTCCCCTTTTTAAAACCATCAGATATCATGAAACTTATTTACTGTAATGAGAACAGGATGGGATTCAATTACCTTCCACTGGGTCGCTCCCACAACACGTGGGAATTCAAGAGATTTGGGTGGGGACACAGCCAAACCATATCAAGTACTGTGCAAGTGTTTTAGGCATGCAGAGAGTGGTGGGTCTTCCCAGCAAGCAGAGTGTGGGGAGGTAATGGGGGACTGGTGGCTGACTTAATGGCCCAGGACCCATGCCACAAGGAGATGGATGGTGGATGTGAATAGGAGCCTGCTTACACCCATCACAATTTAGATTCTTATGCTCGATGGCACGGGTACTCTTTTAGGCCCATTTTACCAATGAGGAGATTGGGACTAATTTGCTCGAGATCAAAAAAGAAGTGGTGTAGGTGGGATTTAAACCCAGGATGTCTAGCACTAAAATGCAGGTACTTAACCACTATCCTAAGGGAGTGGCTACTTAATTTGATAAACTCATCTAGTGAATGGAAGAGAGACGGTTACATTTCACTGATGGTACTGAGCCTTTGTTGATGAGCTCATTGGGAATCTCAGACATGAGCAGGATGTGTCTAAGGGACAGGTGGGCTTCAGTAGACTGGCTAACTCCTGCAGTCTCTTTAACTGGACAGTTTCAAGAGGAAAACCAAGAATCCTTGAAGCTCACCATTGTATCTTCTTTTCCAGGTTGTCCAATAACTGCATCACCTACCTAGGGGCAGAAGCCCTCCTGCAGGCCCTTGAAAGGAATGACACCATCCTGGAAGTCTGGTAAGGCCCCTGGGCAGGCCTGTTTTAGCTCTCCGAACCTCAGTTTTTCTATCTGTAAAATGGGGTGACGGGAGAGAGGAATGGCAGAATTTTGAGGATCCCTTCTGATTCTGACATTCAGTGAGAATGATTCTGCATGTGAAGGATCTGATTCTCTGTCTAAGAAAGAAGTCTTTACCTCTTTAAGTAGGGAGCAATGATTTCATTTTTAAACCTTGACTATTTATTCAGCAACTTCTCTGCTCTATGAGATAGTGTAGGAATGGGGATGTGGTTGAAGAATGAAAAGAAAAGTCAGCTCCCGCCCTCCTAGAAATTGCATCTGCCTTCACAGGTCAAGGATATTGGATCAGACCTTCTGCGGTTCTGAATGGAGATTACACAGGTTAGGAGCAGGTTGCACAGTGTTTCCAATTCTCTATAATTAAAGCCATAGACTTTCATGTATTGAAAAAAGCAAGAATTGCATTCTTGACAGATTCTTTCATTGCCTTAAAAAGAATGACTAGCCTTGGGAGTCTGGGCAGCTGGGTCCAGTGTTGTAGACTTTCTCTCTGCTGAGCCACAGCTTCAAAGATTTGTCCTTCTTGTTTCCAGGGATCTATTTCTCAGACAATAAGTAAAGGCTTTCCCTGGCCTAATGTGCTGTAAGTGAATGCTACTATATATGTTCCAGGCACTGGGCTAGAGACTAATATTTAAAAGCCAGGAAATTTCCTATAGAAAATCTATATCTCAGGGTTTTCTCAAAAGAGCTGGGAACTCTGGATGCCCATTCATGATTCCAGTAGTTAACCAGAGTACAAGAAGGGCTGAGTCTTCTCAGATGGGCAAACCCACTCTGGCTGACTGCAGATCCACCAAGCCTATTGTCTTAGACCAGGACCCTTTGGCAACTCATTCCCATAAGCCTGTGACCCTTGCTTTAAATATGCAGGCCTTGTCTTCTCTCAAAAAGCACATCAAGGCTGCAGCGAATGCAGATATCAAATGATGAAGTTAAAAACAAAAGCTTTGCTGGGCGTGGCAGCTCACACCTGTAATCCTAGCACTTTGGGAGGCTGAGGCAGGAGGATCACTTTAGGCCAGAGGTTCAACACCAGACCTTGTCTCTCAAAAAATAAAAAATTCAGCTGGGTGCGGTGTAGTTCCTAGCCACTTGGGAGGCTGGGATGGAAGGATCCCTTGAACCCAGGAGTTCAAGGCTGCAGTGGGCCATGATTGCATCACTGCACAGGCGACAGAATTAGATCCCATCTCTTAAAAAAATAAAAAATTTAAAAGTGACTTCAAAAATCTATGCTGTGATGGAGAGATTTTTCCTTCTGTATGATTGTGATAGCTCTGTGGCCTATGACGTCATCAGGTTCTGGGCAAAGTGTAGGTTTTCTGTTTCTTTGTTTTTGAAACCATTGCACAGTCCTAAGAAACATCACATTCTGGGTCCTGGGCACCAGCCAACATGAGGTTGATATTTTAAGGGGTCTGATGTTATTTGCTGCCTGTTGATGGAACTTGGGAGGGCACCAGGGTTTGCTCATTGCATTCTTGACAGATTCTCTTATTGCCTTAAAAAGAATCACTGGCCTTGGGGAGTCTGTGGCTGGCTGGGTGCAGTGTTGTGGACTCTCTCTGCAGAGTCATGGAGCCTTGTTCAGAATGCTTCCTGAGCTGCCCTGGTTGGCCAAGGGTAAAAACAGCCCTGACTTCCCTGCAAGAAACACTGCAGCTGGGCCAGAGAGTCAGCCCATCCCAGGCATGGGTTTAAAAAGTGGAGGCTTTTGTTTGAAAGCCCTGCTCTAATTTTGTCCTCACTCAAACCTCTGTTCACTTGATCTGCTTTAGGCTCCGAGGGAACACTTTCTCTCTAGAGGAGGTTGACAAGCTCGGCTGCAGGGACACCAGACTCTTGCTTTGAAGTCTCCGGGAGGATGTTCGTCTCAGTTTGTTTGTGAGCAGGCTGTGAGTTTGGGCCCCAGAGGCTGGGTGACATGTGTTGGCAGCCTCTTCAAAATGAGCCCTGTCCTGCCTAAGGCTGAACTTGTTTTCTGGGAACACCATAGGTCACCTTTATTCTGGCAGAGGAGGGAGCATCAGTGCCCTCCAGGATAGACTTTTCCCAAGCCTACTTTTGCCATTGACTTCTTCCCAAGATTCAATCCCAGGATGTACAAGGACAGCCCCTCCTCCATAGTATGGGACTGGCCTCTGCTGATCCTCCCAGGCTTCCGTGTGGGTCAGTGGGGCCCATGGATGTGCTTGTTAACTGAGTGCCTTTTGGTGGAGAGGCCCGGCCTCTCACAAAAGACCCCTTACCACTGCTCTGATGAAGAGGAGTACACAGAACACATAATTCAGGAAGCAGCTTTCCCCATGTCTCGACTCATCCATCCAGGCCATTCCCCGTCTCTGGTTCCTCCCCTCCTCCTGGACTCCTGCACACGCTCCTTCCTCTGAGGCTGAAATTCAGAATATTAGTGACCTCAGCTTTGATATTTCACTTACAGCACCCCCAACCCTGGCACCCAGGGTGGGAAGGGCTACACCTTAGCCTGCCCTCCTTTCCGGTGTTTAAGACATTTTTGGAAGGGGACACGTGACAGCCGTTTGTTCCCCAAGACATTCTAGGTTTGCAAGAAAAATATGACCACACTCCAGCTGGGATCACATGTGGACTTTTATTTCCAGTGAAATCAGTTACTCTTCAGTTAAGCCTTTGGAAACAGCTCGACTTTAAAAAGCTCCAAATGCAGCTTTAAAAAATTAATCTGGGCCAGAATTTCAAACGGCCTCACTAGGCTTCTGGTTGATGCCTGTGAACTGAACTCTGACAACAGACTTCTGAAATAGACCCACAAGAGGCAGTTCCATTTCATTTGTGCCAGAATGCTTTAGGATGTACAGTTATGGATTGAAAGTTTACAGGAAAAAAAATTAGGCCGTTCCTTCAAAGCAAATGTCTTCCTGGATTATTCAAAATGATGTATGTTGAAGCCTTTGTAAATTGTCAGATGCTGTGCAAATGTTATTATTTTAAACATTATGATGTGTGAAAACTGGTTAATATTTATAGGTCACTTTGTTTTACTGTCTTAAGTTTATACTCTTATAGACAACATGGCCGTGAACTTTATGCTGTAAATAATCAGAGGGGAATAAACTGTTGAGTCAAAACAGCCATCTTCCTTGTGACCAAACATTTAAAAATATTCTGGCTGGGCACAGTGGCTCACGCCTGTAATCCCAGCACTTTGGGAGGCCGAGGTGGGCAGATCACCTGAGGTTGGGGGTTTGAGACCAACCTGACCAACATGGAGAAACCCTGTCTCTACTAAAAATAGTGGAGGTTGCAGTGAGCCAAGATCACACCGTTGTCCTCCAGCCTGGGCAACAAGAGTGGAACTCCATCTCAAATAAATAAAGAAAATAAAAAATAAAAATATTACTAAAACTTGTCAAATTTTAAAGCACAATTTTCTACTTGAAGCGGAGGAAAATGATGTTTTCAACCCGATAATGTATAGCTTAAGGCAAAAGCAATTCTTAGAAAATAGCCAGGCAATCAAAACACTTTTGGCTTCAGTTTAGAAAAGTTTAACCCCGTGAAGTTTTCAGCTGTGCAGGAGCCTCCCCGTACCCAGCCTAAAAGGCTGCAACACATGTGAAAAGGCCCCTTGGCCCCCCTCGATTCCCTCAAAGTGGCTCCAGGAGTCTTTAACAGAAGGATGGAGAAGGTTTACTTATGGCTGGCTCTCCACAGCGAGCAGCCTCTCATGCAGGCCTTGTGTTAAAATAGTGCTTAGCTGCGTTTAATAAGCAAGGGATCAGGTGGTCACCCAGCAAGGTAAAATCCTACTTCCTTGAAAGGTTTTGCGTCTGGCTGACTCGGTGGTGTGGCATCTCCCTGGACCCTGCATGGGAGTGTGTCTATGGGTTTTCTTTGTGATTGGTGCCCTGTTCTGCCCAGACCATTGTTTCTGATACAGCAGATCAGGAGGAAGGTGGTGTTGAGTCTCCTTTCGCTGAGGAGTACACACAGCAGCCCATTTGCATAGCACTGTATTGGGTTGTCAGTTTGTCATCTTTAAATTCATTCAGCAATGAGGCCAGGCATGGTGGCTCATGCCTGTAATCTCAGCACTTTGGGAGGCTGAGGCAGCTGGATCACTTGAGGTCAGAAGTTCAAGACCAGCCTGGCCAACATGGCAAAACCCTGTCTCTAAAAATAGAAGAAGAAAAAAAAAAGTTAGCTGGGTGTGGCAGCGCACGCCTGTAATCCCAGCTACTTGGGAAGCAGAGGCAGGAGAATCGCTTGAATCTTGGAGGAGGAGGTTGCAGTGAGCTGAGATCATGCCACTGCACTCCAGCCTGGGCGACACAGCGAGACTGTCATAAATAAATAAATAAATAAATTCAGCAATGATTTATTAACCAGTTATATTAGGATGACCAGTGGATTGACAAAACAGACATGGTCCTCAAGGTGCTTAGGTGAGGGTGGAGGGAGAGGCAGGCAGAAAACAAGTCAGTTGAAAAAGACATGAAAAAGTCTTCATCCAGGCACTGTGGCTCATGCCTGTAATCTCAGCACTTTGGGAGGCCAAGGTGGGCAGATCACTTGCGGTCGGGAGTTCGAGACCAGCCTGGCCAACATGGTGAAACCCTGTCTCTACTAAAAATACAAAAATTAGCCGGGCATGGTAGCAGGTGCCTGTAATCCCAGCTACTTGGGAGGTTGAAGCAGGAGAACTGCTTGAACCCGGGAGGCAGAGGTTGCAGTGAGCTGAGATCACACTACTGCACTCTAGCCTGGGCAACAGAGCAAGACTCCGTATCAAAAAAAAAAAAAAAAAAGTCTTCAGGCTGTTAAGGGGCTGGTCCGAGACAGGTTGTCTGAGGAGGTGCCAGGTAAGCTGTGTCCCCAAGAATGAGAAAGATATGGCCAAGCAAAGAGTGAGAGGGAAGAAGGGAGCATTCTAGTAATGGGGGACAAGAGGTACAAAGACCCTGGTGAGGGAAGGAGCGTGGTATGCATGGTAGGCTCAATAGTCACTCCCGAACATATGTAGATCCTAATCCCCGGGACCTGGGAATGTTGCCTTACCTGGCAAAAGGGACTTTGGAGGTGGGATTCAGTTAAGGGTCTTGAGATGGGAAGATCATCTTGGATTACCTGGGTGGGTCTTAAATGCAATCGCAGTTTCCTTATAAGAGAAATTTAAAGGACAATGTAAAGCAAAGGGAAATATGACACTGGAGAAGAAAGAAATGTGATCACCAAGTAAGATGCTACACTGCTGGCTCTGAAGGTGGAGGAAGGCGCCATGAGCCAAGGATTGCAGCTCTAGAAGCCAAAGAAGACCAAGAAATAGATTCTCCCCTAGAACCTCTGCAAGCAGCATAGCCCTGCCTGCCTTGGCTCCAGCCCATTTTGGACTTCTGGCTTCCACGACTATAAGGGGATAATTTGTGTCATTTCCTGCAGCAGCCATAGGAAACTAATACACTATGTTGGAGGCAAGCTAAGGGAAAGGTGTCACTAGATGGGTTTGCAGAGGTAGGTAGGACCAGTTCAGGAAAGGTCTCACTGGCCACAGTCAAGAGTTTGGTCTTGATCTTGGAATAATGTCAAGGCCTTGGAAAGTTCTAAGCAGGGGAGATGTGAACCAATTTACAGTTAAAGAAGATCTTGTTTGCTTCTGGGTGGAGATAGGACAGGAATATGTAGGGGTGGGGATGGGAGGCAGAAGAAGTGGGGAGGCTGCCTCAGAGCTATTGCAGGTGAGAGGCGGTTGGCAGTGGAGGTGGAGAGAAGAGGATGGATTCCAGAGACATTTTGGAGGTAGATTCCCAAGAGCCTACGAATGGGTTGGATGGGAGGGATGAGGGAATGGCAAACATCAAGGATGACTCATAGATTTCTGACTTGAGAAACTGGGGGCCTGGGAAAGTTGGGTAGGAAACCAGTTTGGAAGTGGGAGGGAGTTCTGTTTTGAATTGTCAAGTTTGAGACACCGAAATGGGGAAGTTAAGTGGAGACGTCAAAAGATGGTGTGAATTTGGAGCTCGTGGGAAAGGTCACAGCCAGAGATAATAGCGTGGGTGTCCTCAGTGTCAAACTGAGAATGGGGCCCTCGAGTCTGGATGACATGAGCTAGAAAGAGATTATGGAGAAAGAAGAGGTCAAGAGGGTCTAGGTAAGATGGTACTGAGATCTTGATATGTGATTCCTGGTAGAGTTCAGAGTAGGAGAAATTCCCTAATTTTCAAAAGTCCAGCGGATACCACCAAAAGCCTCCTGGGCCTGTGTAGGGAACTAGGGAAGTAGGATTCTTGATTGTAAGCTTCTCTGATAGGGAAGTTACCTGAAAGGTACATGCTCATGGCCAGAAGTTTATCCATGAGCAGACGGATTCCAGTTTTGCAGCTAAGAATACATAATTCTTATGCACAGAAAAACAACGTATTAGAGCAGAATTTTAAAAACAGCCTCAGACTTTCATAATATTCATCATCATCCTGGAAGAAAAAGGATGCCAGTCTGAGGGCCCTTCCCTCCCCATAGCACCAAACAAAAAGCTGAAATGAATACACCCCACAGAAATGTGAGAGTTGGAGTCATATTCCAAGTGGCTGAGCTGAGACTAGCGCTTCATTCCATTGTTGTACCAGGACAGCTTCAAGCCTCCTTATTCACTCCGGTGAGTGGTCCAGCCCAGTGTGTGAAGTGCCCAGTACTCAGGGCAATGCCTGGAAGTGCCCGGGCACGAGAGGATGTGCTGCCTCGGGCCCTAGGTGGAGGGTTCCAGGTGAGCTGTAAGGTCATAAAGGACATTTCCCCTGGAGAATCGCAGGCGGAGATCGCAGCAGGGAAGACTGGCAATCCAGGCTCTTTGATTGGCTTCCCTTGGATCGTTTTTTTCCCTGTAAATTTAATCCCAACCTATTATTATTTCCTGAACAATCCACAGATCCAGTCCCCTAAGCATCACCACTCCCCTGATCACTCACCCTGAAAATGCTTCTTTTCAGGAGTGCTACATCTCTTTCTGCTTTGTAACAACTTCTCGATATCTTCAGTTCCACATCCCCCTGCACCCCTCCCTCTCACCTGCTCTGCCTCCACCCCCAGGAAACAAGGGGGTCCCTTTGGGATCCATCCTTGCCTGGGTTACTGCATCAGTCTCCCTGTTACTGACTTTGACCTGAGGCATGAACCTATTAAAACATAAGTCAGATCAGCTACTGCTCTGATGTAAACCCTCCAGGACTTCTTGTTGGTGCAGGGTAAAAGGTAAGGTCTCATCTGACTTGGACCCCCTGTATCCTCTCTGGCCTCCCCTTTGCCACTCACACCTGTTCTCTGGGCTCCAACCTCACTGGCTTCTTTGCTGTTCCCTGAGCATACCAGGCACATTGCTGAGGACACCAGGCACATTGCTGCTTCCAGACCTCTGCACTCGCCTTTCCCCTCCTATGGGAACACTGTTCCCTGAGACAGTGGTGTGGTTGGCTTCTTCATTTCCTTCCAGTCTTAGTTCAAATGCCACCTACATGAGGTAGTCCTTCCCTGAACAATCTACCTAAATAGCAGTTTCCAGCCACTGCCTGCCTTCCTTTGTATTGTCTTCTCTGCATGAACTACCTGATGCATGGTCATTTTTCCCCTCCCCTAGAATGTCAGCTTCTTGAGAACAGGAACCACGCTCACTGCAGTGTCCTCAGAGTCTACAAAGGTGCCTAGCACATAGTAGGTGCTCAATACATATTTGTTGAATGAAGGAAGGATCCACTTTCTTTATTAAAGGGGGCAGAAAATAGAAGTTGGGGCAGCTTATAAGAATGAGTCACCCTTTTTCTGACATCATTTGTGTCTCCTTGGTAAAGGAGGAAGATTCCCTGGGACATGGAACAATCCCTAATGCATCAACTGCCCAAAATGGGATCCAGATGTAGCAGAAAGTTCCCTTTAATAAAGAGCTTTCTGTGTGTGTTTTAAAAATCAAACATAGAAATTATTTGTCATTGATACCAGCAAATAGCTCAAATGGGAGAGCATGGATTTATAGTTCGGCTGGATTAGTTTAAAGATGATTAAAGTAATCCCCTTTATCTTATCAAAAAGAGCTTTTAGGTGGTCAGAGTAAAAGTCCTCAGACAGAATGTTCAGTTGCACTTGGAATTTCCCTTCCCTAAGAGATAAGCACATCTCAGAGATGGAAGACCTCAGCCCGTTATCCATGGATCAAAACACTGTGCTGGGCTACTGTGGAGAAAGCGCCTGTGACGTATCCTTGCTTGTGCGGATACCTGGTCCAGTTAGCCACTTGGCCTGGTGTTCATTCTGAATGCCCATATTCACAGGATTAGTGGGAAAATGGCTGGAACCATGGGAGGTTGGATGGACATCTGGGAGTTGCCATTTACTAAGATGGGGAGTGCAGAGGGATTGCAGGGGGTGGTGGTGGTGAATATCAGGAGTTCGCTTTTGGCTGTGTTGAGTGGAGATGCTGAGAAGGCAGTAGGATATAAAAGAGACACCAAATTTGGAGAGACTGCAAGTAGGAGGTACCCCGTGGTAGGCACTGGGAAGCATGGAGCAGGGTCTAGTCAATAATCATGACCGGTGCCACTGAGCAGGTTCCCTTGAGTCCTGACGGTGTGTTACTCTATGTCCCATGCCCCTAGCAGGCTACCTGGAGTTCACCGTCCTCCGTGGGGAAAGCTCCATTCAATTCAATAGCTTTATGTTAGGGTCCCGCTGTGTGCAATGAGAGAACTACATAAGACAGCTTAGAATCAGTGTTAGGTCAGGCACAGTGGCTCATGCCTGTAATCCCAGCACTTTGGGAGGCAAAAGCAGGAGGATCACTTGAAGCCAGGAGTTCAAGACCAGCCTGGGCAACATGGTGAGACCCTCATCTCTACTCAAAAGAGAAAAGTTAGCTGGGCATGGTGGTGCGTACCTGTAGTCTCAGCTGCTCAGGAGACTGAGGTGGGAGGATCACTTGAGCCCAGGAGACGGGGGCTGCAGTGAGCTATGATTGTGCCACTGTACTCCAGCCTAGGCAACAGAGTGAGACCCCATCTCAAACAAAAAACAAAAAACAAAAAAAGAACCAGTGTTATGTTCCCTGCAAAACCCTTCACAACTTCCCATTGCTCTTGGGATGGAGAACAACCCCTGTCCTTGGCTCCCAAGGCTCTTTTGTGCCTTCATTGTCTGCGCTCTGCCTCTTCCAGTTTCTTCAACAGGTCATGCACTTTCCTGTTTCCTA
The DNA here is from genome assembly GCF_000001405.40 of Homo sapiens. Classification (NCBI taxonomy): domain Eukaryota; kingdom Metazoa; phylum Chordata; class Mammalia; order Primates; family Hominidae; genus Homo; species Homo sapiens. Next base: position 50,739,180 of record NC_000016.10, read on the forward strand.
TTTCTGGAGTGTTCCCCCTCACTCCTGCCTGCCAGTTATCTTTCCCATCTCATCTCAAAGGTGACTTCCTCAAACAGGCCTTCCCTGAGTGGCCAACCTCCCTTTAGGCATGCTCAGAGAGATTCTTCTTCTGAGGCTTACCACAGCCATAATTAAGTAAGTGATCATCTAATGAGTATTTTAGTTTGCCTTTTTTTTTTTTTTTTTTTTTGCCAGAGGGAGTGTGGCATCTCTCTTGTACACTGCTATGTTTCCTGGAACCTGCTCAGTAACACAACCGCTAGTTCCATGAACCCAGGACCAGGCTGGATGGAAGAGGCTGTGGGGTGGTGGATTGAGAGAGGTCATTAGTGAGGGCTGGAGCCCTCTGTGAAGACATGTCTGTAAAGGACTTTGACTAGGTCCTCCATGAAGGGAGGATTTGGAAGGCAGAGATGATGAGCATTTCAGTTGGGGAATCCATTTTAACAGAGGTGGAAAGAGTCTTGGCTTGGAATCAGGGTCTCGGCCCATCTCCTGAGTGACAGGGGCTTGTAATTTACTGTCTTTGGGCCTTCATCTACTACCTGTAAAATGAGAGGCTGGTTCACCAAGGACTGCAAATAATAGCACCATGACACTATCTCCCCATCTTATCCCCTGGCAGATATCTCTCTTCCCGGTGAGCCTGAATATAAGTTCAGAATTAGCTTTAACGCAATGTTCTAAGCAGCCATTCCCAATTGATAGGAAATGATAATTGAGATAAGCCCCATTTGTCAGGCTTGACTTGGATGAAGATCCCTTAGATGAAGTCAGGCCCCGGCACTGATTCAGTGAACGTATGACAGGACAGAGCCTGGGGACGAAAGCCCTATGGAAGTAGAGACCTCAGCAGCACCAAACACCATCAACAGAAAGGACACAAAAATAGGCCGGGCACATTGGCTCATGCCTGTAATCCCAGCACTTTGGGAGGCTGACGCAGGCAGATCACTTGAGGTCAGGAGTTTGAGACCAGCCTGGTCAATATGGTGAAACCTTGTCTCTACTAAAAATACAAAAATTAGCTGGGTGTGGTGGCAGGCACCTGTAATCCCAGCTACTTGGGAGGCTGAGGCAGGAGAATTGCTTGAACCTGGGAGGCGGAGGTTGCAGTGAGCTGAGATCGCACCATTGCACTCCAGCCTAGGCAACAGAGCAAGACTCTGTCTCAAAACAAAGAAACAAACAAACAAACACCCCAGCAACAACAACAACAAAAACAAAAAGAAGGGACATGAAAATATTCTAGTCCAGAGTGGCAAACTCAGATGCCTTAAGGGACCAGTGGATGTAGATCGTGCAGATAAGAGAAGTGGTCCCAGTGGTAACATGAGAATGTTTGCCTTGCCTAAAAGGACCCCAAATCTCTCTCCTTCACATTCTTTTCTCCTTCCTCCTTATCGTATGGGTTAGGCAAAAACAAATTTCAGCTGAAATTTTCTTCCAGACAGTTGGACTGTGACCTCTGAGTCCTACCAGCTTTGTTGGAGAATCCAGATGTAGATGAGAACGGTGTTGCCTAAGGCCACACTTCAAGCCAGGCCCGTTGATTTCCAACTTATGGCTTCCTACAGCAGTGTGGTCATGAAGCCTGGAAAACAGGAAGATAGGAGTGACAAAAGAGGGACAGGAGTAGAATGAGGCTTAGGTTTTCAAAAGATGCTCATTTCATTTTGGATGACTATGGCAAGGAAGAGTGGTGGCCTGTCTACTGCTACTGTTAGTCATCACTCATGTGACTGTTTTTATGTATTCATTGGTTTAAATTCCCTGGATCTCCAGAAACATGTCACTTTCCACTGGGGGAAATTTGTGTCATGATTAAAAACACACACACACACACACACACACACACACACACCCCTCCTCCTTTCTCAGTGTTAATCACCTTCTCCTATAATTAGCACTTAAAATGTCAAAGGAGAAGAAATTAATTAACAGGAGTATCCAGTGCAGCAAGGCTCTAGGACTGATTATAAAAAGCACTTCCTTAAATATTTTGAGTGCTTTTGGGAATCAGAAGCCTCCCTTCTAATTGAAAGATCCTTAACTACACCCTAAGTCCTGGCTGGTGGCCAGGGGTGCGGGGCTGAGTGAGGCGGCGTGTGGAAATCCCTTCTTCACCATCCTTGGGAAAATTCCCTCCAAACTGGGATAGGTGGCAACAGAGGTTCGGAAACAGCAAGCGTCCCAGGCTGAATCTGCGGAGGAGGAAGAGATGAACCTTTCCTGAGCTGGTACTGCGTGCCAGGAACTTTAGCTCGGTATTTTGCCACAATCCTGTAAGACAACCGATACTATGATCTCCATTTTACAGATGAGGACATTGAGGCTCAGCGTGGTTGTGACTTCCTCAGGTCACGCAGCCACTGAATGAAAGCGCCAAAGATTCAAACTGAGGTCTGATTCTAAAGCTTTGCTCTCTCACGGCATCCTGGAATCCTATTTCAACCTTCATCTGGACTCTTAACCCAGCCCAAACCTAAGCGTCTACAGTTTTGACAGCTGAGGCGGGAGCACGGGAGGCGGAGCTGGTGGCAGCGCAGCGCCCCGCCCCGGCTCCAGCATCAGCCAATGGTGACGCGGCACCCACAGCCTTTCGCCCAATCAGCTTGAGCTTCCCGCCTCCATCCGCCGCTCTTCTCTGCCCCGCCCCTTCGCTTTCCCTTTGGTTCCACCGAGCTTGACAGAGCGGAAAGTCCCTTCGGCCGGCGCCGGGCTGGCAGCCATTGGAGGAAGGTCTGTCACAGGGAGGCCCAATCACGGCCCGCTCAGGAGCGCAGCTCGGCCTACGATTGGCTAGCGCGGCGGCTGCCCCCTCCGCCCCCGCTCCCTCCCTCTTCCCTGTGCGGTTCGGAGGCGGGGCAGGTGGGGGCGGGCCCAGGTAGCAGGTTTGGCTGCGCGGGGGCCGCGCGTCGGAGGTAAATACTAGGGCGGTGGGTGTGGGGAGCCGGGGCCGGCCCGGGACGCGGGCTGGGGAGCCGGGGCGAGGGGCGACGCCCCGCCGCCCGAGGTTAGTGAATGAGCGGGCGGCTGGCGGCCGGCGGGCGGCCGGATCCCCTCGGCGCAGCCGCCTGGCCTCAGGGCGTCCGGAGCCGCCGCGGCGACCATCGGGCCCTCGGCGCCGGCCCGTTAGTTGCCCGGGCCCGAGCCGGCCGGGCCCGCGGGTTGCCGAGCCCGCTGACGTCAGCCCGGGTTTCCCCCCCCCACCGGGGCTTCCCCATCCCCCGAGGCTTCCCGGGAGGGCTGCGAGTCCGGGGAGCGTGCGGGGTCGCCACCATCGGGACCCCCAGAGGAGAGAGGACTTGGGGCGGGAGCCGCGCGGGACGCTGTCCCCCTCCCGCCCCCCACCCCATTTACAGATTGGGAGACTGAGGCACAGGCCGCTGGCGGGCCCCGACGGCCACGGTTGGCCTCAGGAGCCCGGGGCTGTGATTCCTACCGACCGCGCCGCGGGGCGTACGTACCGATCGATTTTGCGGGTGTTGGTGGCTCCCGTCCAGGAATGGCAGTCGGGGTTCTGGCCTTGTTAATGGCGTGTTCTGCTTTTTCTTTCAGTTTCCCCCTTTCTAGGGTGAGGATGGTTCTACACAGCCACCCGGAGTTCCTTAGTTGAAAGGTGCGCCCTGCTGTGACAGGTATTCTTTCTTTATGTTTTTCTTTCATGTTAACAATCGAGGGGGGTGGGGGGCGAATGGGGGGCGGGGGCGAAGTCATGAAATCTTCAGGAGATGGTGTTGAGTTTGGTACTCAGCTGGGTCAGCTGCCGGTTATTCATGTACTTGGCATCGTTTCTCTTCCACCCCTTGGCATTTGAATGTTTTAGGATAGTTGTCATCTTCCAGCCACCAAGCCTGTGGCCTTGCAGTCTCCCAGCCCCCATCATCCCTGCCACCTTCTTCTCCTCAATTTTTCCTGGAAAGTTTTATCCTTAGCTCAGCTAAGGAGCATGCCTACCTTGCTTTTGAATTCGGGCTAATTAGGGATCTTAATAAGATTGTTCATTTTGCAATCATTGGCTCTCAGAGAAGCACCCAGGCCTTGAGAGGGTGTTCGTTTGATTGTTGGCTTTCTACACACCCCCTCACGCCCCAAGTAGACTGAATGGCCTTAAGAATTTAGCCTCCCATTCCCCACTGAGCAGTAGGTGGATTTGAACTAGAACAGTATTAGGAGAAAATGATTTGCTGGAAATTCTTATTGAAGTAACACCCAGAACATTCTCTAATATTCTGCTGCAAAATTGTATAGTATTCTTGCAAATAAACCTTCCTCTGGGTGGTAACTTTTGTGAGAAGCAGATAAGGCTTGTTATATAAAGCACAACTAACATTAAGCAGCAATGATTTTTATAGTCTGGCACACCTAAACTGTGGTTTTGTTTGATTTAAGGAAGTCTCCAACACAGGGAGAGAGAAAGGAATAGTTATGTTGTTTATCAAACTATTAGTATTTTGTTCCTGATTTTCACACTATGATTTAAATTAGTTTTTTTTTCATTGGTTGTACAGAATTTATAAGCATCATACATGCTAGTTGAGGCTGTAGGAAGCTAGTATCAAATAAACCTCAAAACAACTTGGTTTCGTAATTGTGAAATTTTCCGTATTTGTTTCTTCTTATATGTATAACAATGAAGTGGTTTAGCATGATTTCATTTTATCTAGAGAATTACTGAAGTTTTAGGCAAAATTCATTAAATACTCCCAATTCCTGAGTCTTTTTCTCTTCTCTTTCTCTTGGTTTAATCCCTTAAACAGGAGGAGGAAATGCAATTTTGTTTTCACTGTTACCACTTGAGTCTTTCATTCATTTCTCTGTATTCAGTGCCTAGCATATGCCAGGCTCTCGTGTGGGCACTGGATAATATAAAAATGAAGGACTTGGGGAATTCACAGTTTGGCAGTGGAGTGGCTAGGTTTAACACTAGAGAGGCAGCAGTATTCCTTGTTCCAGTGGGAATATGCAGATGTGAGAGGCTCTTCTTTTCTTTTTTTTTTTTAACCTTATAAATCCCACTTGTATTAGGGACTGTGTACTTGTGACACAAATTAGTCATTGAGGAAAATTAAAACGGACTCAGTCTTTTTTCTGGCCACGGAATCTCTGTATCTCTATTCTTTAGCTGTTTAGAAATATAACAACTTTGTCTTTTAGTGAGAGATGTTCTCTTTTAAAAGGATGATCATTCTAGCTATCCAGAAGCTTTTGGAAAAAGGCCCACATGTCTTCTTTCTTTGGTGTTCAAGCTGACCTTCCTACCTCTTTGCCATTTATAATTAGGGGCAGAATTAAGTATTGTAAGTTTTATTCTAATTTAAATAGCTTCCTGTGGTTTTTAGAACAAGCAGGATATCTTTGGAGATGCAAAAAGCTCTTGAATTGGATCTGTCTTTGTGAGATCCTTATGAACAATATAACCTGATAACTTGAGAATCAGAAAAACACTGCATCTTCTGGATAAGTTAACCATTGTTAGTTTTCTGTAGCTACTGATGTTCATTTGTACTATATGTTGCCTTTCAGAATGTGGTAATTGTAATCTTTAACATTTTCATGTAAAACATATTTCCTGATCATCTTTCCATTGTCTTCATGGAAAATTGATAAATATTTGTGCCTTCCAACTCTCGTCTTGGTTGAATGACTTCATCTTAATACAAGTAAGTTCCCCTTTACTCAGAATCCAGACCATCAACAAGCTCAGATAACCAGAAATGTTTTCAAATCTATGTGAACCTGAACTGTTCTCCTTCATCAGCGTCCTTAAAGGAAAGGCCTTCTGTTCAACATGGCTTTAGGGTTAAACATATTATTGTGTTTCAACTCGTTGGTAATTTTCATTCAGTATTTATTACCAAGATATTCATAATCACACAGTTATCCAGCCTGAAGTAAGATAGTATTTAGATGAGTCATTTGTGATATACTCACTCAAAGTGATTCAACCTGCAAAATAATAAGAGAATACAAGTGAAAATTTCTCCCTTCACACTGACCCCTCACCCCCACCTGCCCTACGGTGACTTTGAATTTAGCTGTGCTTCTTTTTCCTTCAGTTGTCTTACTGTTCCCTAGGCCTTTACTTAAAGGCAGAAGCTGAGTGAATGTGGATTGATGTTGGGTTTTTTTTTGTGTGTGTTCTCTCTTTCCTCTTTGTTTTTTTTTTTTTTTTTTTTTTTGAGACCAGGTCTTGCTCTGTCACCCAGGCTGGAGTACAGTGGTGTGATCATAGCTCTCTTCAGCCTGGACCTCCTGGGCTCTAGCGATCTTCCCATCCTCCAGAGTAGCTGGGACCCTGAGTAGCTGGGCCCACAGGCAGACACCACCACACCCGGCTAATTTTCTTTTCTTTTTTTTTCTTCCTTTTGGGACAGGCTCTCATTCTGTCACCCAGGCAGGAGTGCGGTAGTGCTATCACAGCTCACTAAAGCCTTGAACTCCAGGGCTTAGGGGATCCTCCCACTTCAGCCTCCAAAGTGCTGGGATTACAGGAGTGAGCCACTGTGCCTAGCCTAGATGATGTAGTTTTCAGTATCTAACTCTGTACTGAAAGCGTAAAAAATACCAAACTAACAAACCAACCTTCTTGATGATAAATAACTCATTTACAATGTGATTTAGATCTTTCCCTTCATATTGTGTTGAGTCAGTTTTTACTGCTTGGGGTACCTAAGACTTTAACTATTTAACTACTATGCACATCCCAGTGAAAGTAGACTGTTGGTGTTATATTCACTTCTACAGTGGGGAGAAATGTATGTTAGCATATTTTTATTGCAATACTGGTATTTTGAGTACATAAAATAAATATATATATATAATGGAGTGTGTATATATGTGAGAGAGTGTGTGACAGGGTCTTGCTTTTTCACCCAGGCTGAAGTGCGGTGGCGTGATCATGGCTTGCTGCAGTCCCTCCCTCCAGGGCTCAAGCCATCCTCCCACCTCAGCCTCACAAGTAGCTGGGACTACAGGCACATGCCATCACACCTGGCTAACTTTTGTACTTTTTGTAGAAATGAGGTTTCACTGTGTTGCACAGGCTGGTCTCAAACTCCTGGGCTCAAGCTGTCCACTCACCTTGGCTTCCCAAAGTGTTGGGATTACAGGCGTGAGTCACTGTGCCTGGCCGAGAATATTAGTGATCATTCAGTTGATTGCCTTGTATATCTCTAGACTCGAGCCGTAAAGTTTCCCATTCAACTTTCTCTATCAGTTGCAGTGAAGAGAATCAATTTTTAATAAGAGAGTTTCAAACTTGTTCTTAATATATTCTTTCTGAAAGAGGAAAGGCTGTATCCTTTATTTTTGGATAATGCTTTTGAAATATTTGATAACTTGTGCTTGACTATTTTAGTTGTCTAACATGACCCATCCTATTGCTAAGTCTAAGCTCATTTCCACTTGTGCTAATGAAAGTTAGGAAAAAAGTTACCACTCCTTGTAGAGTTCACTTTAAAATATGGTACTTGAAAGCTATAGTTTATTACCCTAAAACATTTTTATAAACCTAGCAGTTATATCAATTTTTACTGTGGATTCTCTTCCTTAAATTATTTCAGAAAGCAAGCTTATAATCAAATTTATTTAACATAATGTCCTAATGCACATATAGTAATTTAGTTTTGTCTTAATAATAGATTATTAGCATTAATGATTTTTATTTTAAATTGTGACATGAATAGTTAAGCTACAGGACCAATAGAGTAGGAGCTGTTGGTATAAAGCAATTATTAAGATTCAGGGAAGTTTCTGATTGTAATATTTGAAGACATTGTTCTTAGGAATTTTAAAAAAGAATTTCTTTTCAAAATAGAATTACTTTACCTTTTTCAAAAAAATTTTGGCCCTAAAAATCTAAATACATTTTAAAGAGAACCAAAACAACAGCTCGTTTTTTTGAAAGTTGCTTTTTGACTGTCTTAACCTTCTGCTAGTGACCAGACTCTCTATTCAATAAAGCCTATGTGCCCTTTGCTCCTAAAGACCCTTTCAGAATGTATGCATTCCTCTTTTCACGATTGTTGCTTTGTGTTTTCAAACACACAAACATATTTCACTACCTGGCTTCTCAGAACTGATTCGAAGCGATAAGTTGGAAAGCAACAAGGCCGTAAAAGGAGTCAAATGCATACAGCAGGAAACCACAGAAAATGGCTGATTGCAAGGGAAAACTCTAGACAGTAGATCTGTAGAAAGCATTCGCGACCTCAGGAAGCATAAGATACAGCCTTTTAACAAAATAACAGCCTTGCAGATCAAGAGTTATGCAAAATAATTTACAGTCATAATGATACATCAATGATCAAGAAAAAAATAAGGACATTTTCTTGTGGAAAGTGTTGACATGTTAAAAGCATTTTGGTCAAAAAGAACCAACACTTCAGTTTGGTCCTTTAAAGGAATCCAACCAAATTGAGGGGTTGGATAGCTGTTTGGGCAGCCCTTATAAGGAGTTTTGTTTATATTGTGTCAAGATAGAGGTTTCCACAGGTGTCTTATATAAGTGGCAAATATAAATTGATCCCATTCTTGCTGAAGTAGACAGTGCCCTCAAGTGGAATTAAAACAAACACACCACAAAAAAGAAGAAAAGAGAACCACTTCATGCTACCTCTGCTTTTACCCTCACTGAGTGTTACACAGATATTTCAGTCATGTTGGTTTGAAGGAGGTGCCTAACCTGTATCCTGTCTTGGCTAAACCACATGTCTCATGCTGGCTTGTAGAGGGAGAGACTTTTAGGAACGTTACCATTATGGAATACTTCATTATCTAGCAGTGCTTTCTAAAAGAAGTGTTCCACTGTGTATAGATTTGCCAGGTTGTTTGATCATTAAGTGATTAAATCTAAAATTTGGTTCTTTAGGAGTATTTATTTTTTAATTGCTAGAATAAAATAAATATGATAGTGCTATCAATTGCAGCCATTACCCAGAATAATGGAAATGGATACCTCTATCTCAAGGAAGGATGAAATGAAAGTACTGTCTTTGGAAACCAGATAGCCACATTCTTATGACAGGGATACCTAGGAAGTATTGTTTTCAGCAGAAAATTAATTAAAATAATGAAGTAAAGTCTCAGTTTAAATTAATGAAATTGTGTAGTTTTTTAACCATCAGTTAAAATAGGTTTGAGAATGAGCCTACTTCATTGGAAAGATTATTATTCTTGTAAAAATTTTAAATGAGGACCAGGTGCAGTTGCTCATGCCTGTAATCCTAGAACCTTGGAAGGCCAAGGTGGGAGGATCATTTGAGTCCAGGAGTTTGAAACTGCAGTGAGCTATGATCGCACCAATGTACCCAAGCCTGGGTGACAGAGCGAGACCCTGTCTTAAAAATAAATAAATAAAATAAAAATAAATGAAAATTTGAAAAAGAAATAATAGAAAGAAATTATAATGCAGTTATATCATGATATTCCCTTGCTATGTAGTACAAGTTTTGATGCTACAAAATTGATTTTTAAAATATTTTTAATATAGTCATATTATAATATCTGATATTTGCGATTTGAGAAATCAGATAACTATGATTAATGTGATGAACATTGCCCATCTTCAGAAAAAATATATGAAATGAAGTTGAGTCAGAGGTAAAATGTTCCATTATCACAATATGGCCATATCATAGCTATCATTTATAGGCATGAGCCACACAGCTCAGCCCGAAACGCTACTTTTAAAAGTTTATTAGTGTCAGAATATGGGACAGGCCTGGTGGCTTACGACTGTAATCCCAGTGCGTTGGGAGGCCAAGACAGGAGGATTGTTTGAGCCCAGGAGTTCAAGACCAGCTTAGGCAACATAGTGAGACCCTGTCTCTACAAAAAATAGAAAGCTTAGCTGTGTGTGGTGATATGCGTCTATAATACCAGTTACTCGGGAGGCTGAGGTAGGAGGATCACTTGAGCCTGGAAGGTCTTGGCCACAGTGAACTGTGATTGTGCCACTGCAGTCCAGCATGGGCAACAAGAGTGAGACCCTGTCTCAAAACAAATAAATAAAAATAAATTAAAAAAAGTTAGAATATGTATATAAGGGTAATCTTTAAAAGTTTTTACTAGAATCTGATTTTATAAATTTCAGTGTCTTGGAAGCAAACATTGTGTTGTCTTTGAAAGTACTTTACAATTGGATTTCATTAATTAAATATGCACAGTTACAGTAGATAAAAGTAATACAGTATGTATGTCTTTTAGCCCTTTTAGATATTTTTTGAAAATATTTCATTTGTGTGTATGTGTTTACTGGTCAAATGAAAATTTTAAAAGTCTTCAGTCTTAATTTTCAGTCATGTAGAATGAAGTCTAAAGTTTATTTTTGCTTTTTCACTAGGCATTTTGATTTCCTTTCTTTTTACAGCATGGACACCACGTTGCTGAAAACATGCTTTGGGACTGCCACTGAATTTATCTTTTGCGGTTTTATGACAAAGTTATTAGTAGTTTCCCTTTTTTGAATTAGTATTTTGAAGTTAATATCACAATGAGTTCAGGCTTATGGAGCCAAGAAAAAGTCACTTCACCCTACTGGGAAGAGCGGATTTTTTACTTGCTTCTTCAAGAATGCAGCGTTACAGACAAACAAACACAAAAGCTCCTTAAAGTACCGAAGGGAAGTATAGGACAGTATATTCAAGATCGTTCTGTGGGGCATTCAAGGATTCCTTCTGCAAAAGGCAAGAAAAATCAGATTGGATTAAAAATTCTAGAGCAACCTCATGCAGTTCTCTTTGTTGATGAAAAGGATGTTGTAGAGATAAATGAAAAGTTCACAGAGTTACTTTTGGCAATTACCAATTGTGAGGAGAGGTTCAGCCTGTTTAAAAACAGAAACAGACTAAGTAAAGGCCTCCAAATAGACGTGGGCTGTCCTGTGAAAGTACAGCTGAGATCTGGGGAAGAAAAATTTCCTGGAGTTGTACGCTTCAGAGGACCCCTGTTAGCAGAGAGGACAGTCTCCGGAATATTCTTTGGAGTTGAATTGCTGGTAAGTTTGATAAACCATTTTAGTAGTGTGTTTGTTTGTGTTCATGTGTGTCTGTGTATTTGTATGCACATACATATTTTTCTCCTTAAATACGAAATAAATTTTCCCAAGAGTCTTCTGTAATTTTTAATATTCATCATCCTTGCTGATGAATCCATGTTGTGGTTGAATCCATAATCCAAAACTTGCTTATAGTTGTCACTGATAATATGTGTGAAAATCACCTTGGCGTTTATTTCTGTTGGAAAGAGACCCAAGAACTCTGTGATATGTTTCCAAGCTTAATATTCATTCTTGAGAACTTAAATGTCAATTATATTTTGACATTCTTGCAAATAGAATTGTATGCCTTCTTTGCTTCTTGATTTAATTTCTTTTGTTTACTTTTTAATGATGAATTGCGAAGATGTAAAGATGATGTCGAAACTTAAAAAACTATGTACTATGGTAGGAACATACAAAGAGATTCACCTGGCTATTGCAGACATATATATTTTAGAAATTTTAACATTGCCTGTATTAAACATGAACGCTACCAGTTGTAAATAGTTACATAAAAAATTGTTAATTACCTTGCGTTATCATCTATAGGTTTCTTAGTTCTTCTTAATGTATGTTATTAAATAACAATTTAGATATAAGATTTTTGAAAAAAAAGTTGCAGAAATTTAAACTTGCTTATAATTGTCCCCGATAATATATGTGAAAATCCTTAGAATTTATTTCTACCGGAAGGAGACCCAAGAATGCTGTGATATGTTTCCAAACTTAATATTCATTCACAAGAACTGAAATGCCAATTACATTTTGACACTCTTGCCAATAGAATTGCATGTCTTCTTTGCTTCTTGATTTAATTTTTTTTAAAAGCAGTGATTGTAAACAATTAGGAATTTGAATCCCAGTTAAGCCATTTACTAGCTGGGTTGCCAGGTTACTTAACAAAGCTACTTAACTTCTCTCATTCTGCATCCTTACCTGTACAATGGTGTTAATAGTACATGACTTGTAGTGTTTTTGTGGTACATTGATGCAGGATTTAAGCACAGTGACTGACAATAAGTGCTTAATGAATGGAGCTAACATTACTGCTATTTTAAAGTAACATTTTCTTTTTATAACCAAATTAATGTTAGAATCACAACGTGGAATTCAGCCTAGCTTTCTCATGATAGAGTTATGAATTGAAATTATCAGATAATATTATTTCAGCATCAGATACAACTTCTTATTTTTTAAAACACTCTAAATCCAACAGAAACTGCTAATAATTGTATTTCTTATTATATGTATCATTTAGAAATTTTCCAGAGTGATTTTCCTGAAATCCCTAGAGTGAACCCCTTTTCCTATGGATCGTCTTTCTATATCTATTTCTTTCCCTTCTCTCTTAAAAACTAGGAAGAAGGTCGTGGTCAAGGTTTCACTGACGGGGTGTACCAAGGGAAACAGCTTTTTCAGTGTGATGAAGATTGTGGCGTGTTTGTTGCATTGGACAAGCTAGAACTCATAGAAGATGATGACACTGCATTGGAAAGTGATTACGCAGGTCCTGGGGACACAATGCAGGTCGAACTTCCTCCTTTGGAAATAAACTCCAGAGTTTCTTTGAAGGTTGGAGAAACAATAGAATCTGGAACAGTTATATTCTGTGATGTTTTGCCAGGAAAAGAAAGCTTAGGATATTTTGTTGGTGTGGACATGGTAAGAAAATTTTGGATTAAATATCTTTGTGATATATATATTAGTTTATATATATATGTATATATATATATAAACATATATATACACACATATATATACACACATATATATGTATAGTTTATATATATATGTATTAGTTTTAGGACCAATTTACTTGCAAATTGAACACTTTGAATATTTAACATGATCTAATTTGGAGTACTTTAAAGAACATGTTCTAATTTATCTTTGGTAAAGGAGCATTGAAATAGAACAGGGGTCTAGATACAGATTACATTTACTTTTTTTTCCCATTTGAATAAACTAGAATAATGTTCTCTATCTTTAAATTTGCCTTATTGTAGCTGACCAGTAGACAAAACAAAACAAGACAAAACACAATTATATTACTTGAAGTCCTATTTTTCTTTATTTTGAAACAGTTTTTTGGGGTACTCCATTTTTTTGTGATATTCTACACAATTTAATGGCTGATCTGATTTTAATAATTAGTATAATAATCATTTATAGAAAATACCTGAGTAGAGGAAAACCACATTGATTTTGAGGAATAGACAATCAGAATATCTCATAGGATTTCATTCATTTTAAAAACCTTTTTTAATTGTGGTAAAATATACATAACAAAATTTATCACTTAAGCATTTTTAAGTGTGCATACAGTGGCATTAAGTGTATTCACATTGTTGTACTGTCACCTGTTCATCTCCAGAACTTTTTCATCATCCCAAACCGAAACTCTGTGCCTGTTTTAACAGTAACTGCCCACTTTCCCCAACCTCTGCTAACCACAATTTCTTCTGATTTCTCTGTCTGAATTTGCCGGTTCTAGGCTCCTCATAAGAGTGGAATCATACAACATTTGACCTTTTGTTTGTGTCACTTATTTTTAATGTTTCCTTACAATCATACTTTTTAATAATGGATCCATTCCAGTGTGGTTCATTGGATTATACCTGTGGCACTGAAAGAATAAGAAGAGAAAGGCTGAGACCATTTTTATCATATATTGAACATATGGGCAAGACTTTGTTATGTATAAAGAAGGAAATTCATATGGAATTACTGAACACTAGAATGAGTTAGGAGGCGATGTGAGTAGTAATCTCTTATACTCACAATGGGGATGCTTTTAGTCATCATTTTTATCTGCTCAGGTATACTTTTTGGTTGGTAAGGTAATGTTCTAGTGTAATGGTTTCCTGTGCTTGAAAATTCCAGGAAATTCTATCTGATACTCATTGGTTAGTTACTAAACAAACGTTTACTCTTAACATGTGAAAAGTTAGAACCAGAGTAAAACATGTATGCCCCTCAGGATAGCTGACAGTAAAGCACTCCTTTTAACCAATATTCTTTAAATAGTAATTCAGTCTTTATTTCAAGGAGAATTGTGGCCTTCATGGAGGGAAGATTGGAGAAAGAGGGCCACTGGTCATTGGGGTTGGTCTCCCCTTGCATCAGGCTCTTTACCTTGGGCCTCAAACTTGGCAGAAGCTGTTTAGGGTTTAGGCCTTGCCTTTTTCAGATGGCGGTCTGGGGTCAGCTTGTTTACCTGAGGCAAGCTGCCTAGAGATTTGCCCTGCCAGCTTCTCTCCTTGCCTCCATCTGTCCCATAGCTGACTTGTGCAGATATTCATTCCAAACACTTCTATTATAGTCCTTAAGAGGAAAGTTCTGGCAAATGCTAGAACTTCTTTCTTTATCTCCTTTTCCTTCTATTCATCCTTTATTTCCAGGGACATTTTAGCATGCCATGCACATTGGTGCCCAGGGCAGTTGTCTGACTGGCCCGTCTACTGATGTAGTTCCCTGTACAGCACAGTGCTAGTTGGCACTATATTAGAATATCAGATAATTAAATATAAACATCTCCATCTTGGAGAAGATTCCTATATGCTCATAAATGACAAAAGAACAATTAGAAAATAGACTTTTTATGTACAGAAAGGCATACAGAAGTTCAGATGGACTATTTAAATGCTCAGGGAATATGAAGAACTTAGGGCTAATTAGAGGCAGGTTTCTGGGTGAAATAATATATTATTAATGAAACTTCCTGTGCAAAATACTGTCTTTTTAAACCTCAAATGGGTGTTATCCTACAGATTAGTATTTATTGTTCAGTAAAGTATGAAAAAAACACTTTCAATTCTTTGCTTATCTGGGGGTTTACTATCACTTGGTTATTCTTGAATCTCATTTCCCTAAAGAAAAAAATGAACAAACCAATGAAAAAAGCAAAACCTTATTACTATGGCAACTATTCCTAATGTATTCTTTCTTTCTTTTAGGTAAAATTGTTAACATTTACCAATGTAAAATATTTTGGAGGATTCTTTATGGAAAATACAGACTTCCACATTTACATTTCATTGAGGAGGATTTTAATGTTTATTATTTAATTTCTAGGATAACCCTATTGGCAACTGGGATGGAAGATTTGATGGAGTGCAGCTTTGTAGTTTTGCGTGTGTTGAAAGTACAATTCTATTGCACATCAATGATATCATCCCAGGTATGTTTTCTTTGTTTTATACATTTATAAGGCAAACTTTATTTTTTAATTTTTTATTTTTTTATATCAATATGTTTTGGGGGAACAGGTGGTGTTTGGTTACATGGATAAGTTCTTTCGTGGTGATTTCTGAGATTTTGGTGCACCCGTCACCCGAGAAGTATACTCCGTACCCCATGTGTAGTCTTTTACCCCTTGCCACCCCCCATTCTTTCCCCCTGAGTCCCCAAAGTCCAATGTATTATTCTTACACCTTTGAATCCTCATAGCTTAGCTCCTACATATAAGTGAGAACATACAGTGTTTGGCTTTCCATTCCTGAGTTATTATACTTCTCTTAGAATAATAGCCTCCAATTCCATCCAGGTTGCTGTGAATGCCATTATTTCATTCCTTTTTACGGCTGAGTAGTATTCCATGGTGTATGTATATATATACACACACACATATGTATATATATATACGCATATATACATATACACACATATATGTATACATATATACACACATATGTATATATACACACATATATACATATACACACATATATGTATACATATATACATATATATGTATATATACATATATATGTATATATACATATATATGTATATATACATATATATGTATATATACATATAGATATGTATACATATACACACATATATACATACATATATACACACATATACACATGTGTATATATACACACGTGTACATATGTGTGTATATACACACGTGTACATATGTGTGTGTATATACACACGTGTACATATGTGTGTGTATATACACACGTGTACATATGTGTGTATATACACACATATGTGTACTACATTTTCTTTATCGACTTGTTCATTGATGGGCATTTGGGCTGGTTCCATATTTTTGCAATTGCAGATTGTGCTGCTGTAAACGTGCATGTGCAAGTATCTTTTTCCTATAATCACTTTTTTTCCTTGGGTAGACTCCTAGTAGTGGGATTGCTGGATCAAACGCTAGAGCTACTTTTATCTTTAAGGAATCCCCACACTGTTTTCCACAGTGGTTGTACTAGTTTATATTTCCACCAACAGTGTAAAAATGTTCCCTTTTCACCACATCCATGCCAACATCTATTCTTTTTTGATTTTTTGATTATGGCCATTCTTGCAAGAGTGAGGTGGTATCACATTGTGGTTTCGATTTGCATTTCCCTGATAATTGATGATGCTGAGCATTTTCCCATATGCTTGTTGGCTATTTGTATATCTTCTTTTGATAATTGTCTAAAAGTGGGCTAATGTCCTTAGCCCATTTTTTGATGGGATTGTTTTTTTCTTGCTGATTTGTTTGAGTTCTTTGTAGATTCTATATATTAGTTCTTTGTAGGATGTATAGATTGTGAAGATTTTCTCCCACTCTACTGATTATTTCTTTTGCTGTGTAGAAGCCTTTTAGTTTAATTAAGTCTCATCTATTTATCATTTTTGTTGCATTTGCTTTCGGGTTCTTGGTCATGAAGTCTTTGCTTAAGCCAATGTCTAGAAGGATTTTTCCAATGTTATCCTCTAGAATCTTTATGGTTTCAGGTCTTAGATTTAAGTCTTTGATCCCTCTATAAGGCAAGCTTTCTAATATATATTTTGAGTACATAAATGTAAGCTTCAAGATATATTTTTAGAACTTGACTTTTATATTATGGAATTGTTATTAAATAGGATATCCTTTACCCTCAAATGAAAATAATTAAGATTTTTGTTTCCAGACGTATATGAGTATAAGGGTGGCATTAATATGTTTTCATTCACTTTTTCATCACCTGTCCATTCTTAGTGGGGGAAAAACCCTTCCTGTTAATTAGAAGGATCGGAAAATGTAATAAACTGCTACCTGAGTGAGAGCTTGGTTTAAACTAGAAGGCTTTACACAGACATTGGTCATCTAATCTAATCTAATGTACTGTGGAGAAGATTCTTGCTGGATAACCTGTGAGATCCCTTTTAGTTTTGAGAAGGTGTGATTGATCAGGGATCAGGACTCTAGTCAGAAATAGATTGCTCAACTTTACATTTAGAAGAAAAATCAAGCAATCTTTTATTTTGCCTCTAACAAGTAGCACCTAGTGTCTGCTGTCAGGTAATTGACAATTTCTGTTGATAACAGCATCAACAGTTTCATCCCCCTGCTGTTAGTGGAACTCTCTGTGATACAGGCTAGTGCAATAAAGCCAACAGTGGCAGTCAGAGATGGTGATTCTCATTGAGCATTATGCAAGTCTGATTAAAATGTCAGAAGGCCTGCAGGCAGACTGTAGCCAGGAATGTACCAGGCCCTGAGTTAGACGACTTAATACTTTTTTACATTCTTAACAAACTTATAATGTAAGTCTTAATGATCCCCATTTCGCTGATAAAAAGCTGGGGCTCGGATGGACAACAATTACCAAAATCAAAGTAAATAGTAGAGCCAGAATTTAAATCCACACCTGTCTGATTAGAAAGCTGTGCTCTTTTCAGTACCTCCCCACCCCAAATCCTATCTGTATATTTAGGATGTGAAGACCTGCATAGAAAACCATACTTCTCAGTCTCACATGTATACTTGGGAATATTGTTTCCATGGAGATATATTTTGTCTCTAATTCTATAAAAGCTGAATTTTGCTATAGCAAGGATCACAATTGAATAAGCAAACTGAATTGTTTTTTTTTCAGGTCATTTCAGGTCCTCAGTTTCTTTTGTTGTAAAAATGAAAGGGCTAATACTAGATGATTCTTAAGGTTCCTTTTAGCGTGCACTGTTTGCGCTTCCTGTTTTCCTGTTGCTGAAGCAAGTAATCAATGCTTGTTTTTCAAGTTAGGGCATGCTTTCTGCTTTAGTTTTTAGCTTTACAGCAACAGCACATTAATTTAGTTGGAGGTATAGGATTCAAATGATAGCTTTATTTCAATTTTACTTCTTCAAAGTGTGACATACTTTGCTTTACTTGATGTTTGTAAAATCAATTTTTAATTTATTGCAAATTGAATTCCTAGCTATTTTTTATTTTGCTTCCCTTTGGGAACAAATGATTTACATTCAGGAAAAAGCATATATGTGCTTGATATTTTACTTGGCAAAATTTAATTTAGTTTTTCATGATTTTTTTTTTTGAGACGGGGTCTCGCTTTGTCGCCCAGGGTGGAGTGCAGTGGCGTGGTCTCTGCTCACTGCAAGCTCCGACTCCTGGGTCCACGCCATTCTCCTGCCTCAGCCTCCCGAGTAGCTGGGACCACAGGCGCCCGCCACCACGCCCGGCTAATGTTTTGTATCTTTAGTAGAGATGGGGTTTCATCGTGTTAGCCAGGATGGTCTCAATCTCCTGACCTCATGATCCACCCGCCTCGGCCTCCCAAAGTGCTGGGACTACAGGCGTGAGCCACTGCGCCCGGCCTAGTTTTTCATGATTGTTAATGGAGATAATACAATTTATTTTATGAATTAAAGTACTTTTAAATATTATAATAAATGCTTATGGTTTACAAAACAGTTTAATAAAAGGCCATTCCTTCATTCAAATATTATTAAGCCCTTACCTAGATGTTGGGGATATAGTAGGAAGCAAAACTGGTAAAAATTCTTCTCGTGTGGAGTTTTCATTCTAGTGAGTGGAGACAGACAGTAAATATGTAATGTGTATGATCAATTACATGATAATAAGATGAAAAATGATAAACACAGTGAGGAGGAAGGGAGCACTAGGTTGTAGGGCGGGATTTTTCGATTTCATGTAGGGTAGTTCTGATAAACCTTCTAATAAGGTGACATTTGAGCTGTTGACATGAAGGAAGTTTGGGAGAGAACATGTGGATTCCGAGGGAGAGCCCAAGGCCGCAGCCAGCGTGGCCAGTTTGAGCAATGTGAAGAGTTGACTGTGGCTGCGGCAGATGGAGTGAGGGAGAAAGTTGTAGGAGCCGCAGTGGGAGCTGGAACAGGTAGTGCTCAGTGGGCTGTTGTGTGGATTCTTGGCTTTCATAGTGACAGAGGTGGGGAGCTATAGGTGGGTTTTGAACAAAGGACAACTCACCCTAATTTGCATTTTTAAATGATCTCTCTGGCTGCCTGTTAAGAATAAACTAGACAGAGGACAGAAACAGGGAGACCAGGAAGGAGACTGTTGTAGTTATCCACGTGAGAGACGGTGGTGGCTGGGACTGGGGTGGTATGAAGAGGATGGTAAGTGAAGGATTTGGATATAATGTAAAGATCCCATCAAGATTTGCAGATGGGTTGGGTGTGAGGTTTGAGAGAGAGAACAGAATCAAGGATGATTCCAAGGTTTGGACTGAGCAACTGGTAGGCTGGAGAGGCAATTTACCCAGGTGGGAAAGACAACAGGAAGAGCATGCGTCGGGGAGTGGGAGTTGGAAGTCAGGATCTTGGTTTTGATCATGTTAAAATTGAGTTAGCTATTAAACAATTTCATTTGAATGTTTATGTTAATATTATACGAATTCATGTTTAATCCTTAAAAATGGGCAATGTGCTCATCATTTTCATATTTAAGAAACTTTTGGCTGGGTGCAGTGGCTTATTCCTGTAATCTCAGCACTTTAGGAAGCCGAAGTGGGCAGATCACGTGAGGTCAGGAGTTCGAGACCAGCTTGGCCAACATGGCGAACCCCCCCGTCTCTACTAAAAATACAAAAATTAGCCAGGCGTGGTGGCGGTCACCTGTAGTCCCAGCTACTCAGGAGGCTGAGGCCAGGAGAATCGCTTGAACCTGGGAGGTGGAGGTTGCAGTGAGCTGAGATTGTGCCATTGCACTCCAACCTGGGTGACAGAGCGAGACTCCATCTCAAAAAAGAAACTTTTTACTGTAGAATGTATTTGCAAAAGTATATATAACAACATATATTAAGAATAATAATGAACACTCATGAAACTGACCATCTAGGTTAAGAAACAGAACATTAGAAGTACCTTGAAAACCACCTGCAATACCTTGTTTTCATTATAATTGCAATCTCTCCCTAGAGGTGACCATTATTCTGATTTTTTCATTAATTATTTCCTTGCTTTTTATAATTTAATTATA
The DNA here is from genome assembly GCF_000001405.40 of Homo sapiens. Taxonomy (NCBI): domain Eukaryota; kingdom Metazoa; phylum Chordata; class Mammalia; order Primates; family Hominidae; genus Homo; species Homo sapiens. Next base: position 50,759,480 of record NC_000016.10, read on the forward strand.
TCTCTGTAGCTAAACAATATACTGTTTAGCCTGCTTTTGAACTTAATGTAGTTAAAATCTTACTGATTTTTAAATTACTTGCATCATTTACTTAAAATGTATTTTGAGATTCTTTTCTGTGGATGAGGGCATTAGTAGTTTGTTCACTCTCACTGCTTCATAGTATATTTCGTCATGTGACTATCCCACAGTTTGGTGCCCATTGTAATATTAATGGACGCTTGGGTTTTAGGTTGTTTCCACCTCCTTTTCCACACTTGGTACTGATTAAAATTTTTGCCAGCCTGACAGCTGAGAAATGGTATCTCAAGGTGGTTTAAAAGTTTGTAGTTCCCTGATTACAAGTAGGATTGAACAGCCTTTTATATGTTTATACAACATTTGTGTCTTCTATTAAACACGTATTTTTTGCCTGTTTTTCTGTTGAGTTGCTCATTTATTGATTCATGAGTTCTCTAGTTTTAGAATTTTAATAAAACATCTTTTAATGTTTTGTTATGACATTTTAAACAGAAAAACTGAAAATTTTATATTGAGCATCCTTATGCATATCATCTAGATCCTACAATCAACATCTTACTTGCTTTATATGTATCTGTCCACCTCTCTATTCACGTACTTATCCGTCACGTTTTCTTGTGCATTTCACATTAAGTTGCAGATACCAGTTCACTTCCTCCTAAATACTTCAGTGTGCATCTAATTAACTAGAGATAAGTATTTAGGGTTTTCTTTTTCATTTCAGATAGAAGTCACACATATAATGACATACATATGGATTTATTTGGGTTCTAACTAATATATATATACCCTTGAATTAGAAACCTCTATCAAGTTATTAAAACAATTTTAAGAAGAAATCATTCATGTATCTCAAATCAAAATTAAAAAGTACAATAAAATATCTCATTTCCATTTTTATCCCCTCTGCCTCAGTTGCCTGCTTACTCCATCCTTCGTTTCTCACTAGTCACAGTTTTTATGAATTTCTTATATATCTTTCCAGTGTTTCTTTATACAATATAAATATTCTTATTCCCCCTTCCCTTTTAATTCAAGAAGTGTAGTAGATACACTATTCTGCTGTTTGCTTTATTCTCTTAATTTTATATGTTAGAACTCTTTGTATATTTGCAAACAGAGGTTCTTGTTTTTTATAGTGTATAATTTTCCATTGTACGGAAAAAAATTTCATAATTTATTTAACCAGTTTCCTATCAATGGACATTTGGGTTGTTTCTGACTTTTTGATATTGCACACAATGTTACCGTAACCTGTACATGTCTGTTTCCCACATGTGCTAGCATATCTGGAGGATATATATATTCCCAGAAGTGGAGTTGCTTGATGAAAGGGCGTATGCGTTGGTATTGTTCTGGATATTGTTAATTGCCTTCAGTCGTAGATATAACAATTTATATTCCTGCCAGTAGAATACAAGGGGGAACTTATAGCTTTCCCATGAGAGTGTGTTACTAACTTTTTTCCCAATCTGATAGATAAAAAATATATTTCAGTGTATATAATACATTTGCAAATAGAAATTTGCATTTCTCTGAGTGATGTTGAACATTTTTGCATATGATTAAGGGCAATTTTTCTTTCTGTGAACTGTTTGCATCTGTTGCCTATTTTTAAATTGGGTTAGGTTATTGGCCTTTTTTCTCACTGATTTCTTCATGTGTTAGGGTGGCAAACTCTTCTGTGATGCGAGATGCAAATGTTGCCCACTCTTCCACCCTCATTTGTCATTTGTCTTTTTTTAAAATTGCTTATTTTTCTGGTCACCCTCATTTGTTTTTATTGTGGTAAAATATACCTAACAGGATGTACCATTTTAACAATTTTTAAGTGTATAATTCAGTGTAAGTATGTTTACAGTTGTGCAACCATCACCACTATCTATTTCCAGAAATCTTGTTCATTATCCCAAATAGAAACTCTATACTCATGAAGAGATAGCTGCCGGTTCCTCTTTCCCTCCAGCCTCTGCTCATCTCTGTTCTCTGCTCTCTGTCCTTATGACTTTGCTTACTCTGGGTATCTCATATTAGTGGAATCATACATATGTCCTTTGGAGCTGGTGCATTTCACTTGGTGTGATGTTTTTGACTTTGGTGCTTTTTGCCTTGCAGGATTTATAAAATTTTTATGCTGTTGTATTCTTTTAGTTTTAATAGATTCTGGATTTTGAGTTACTGTAAGGTTATAAAGGAATTTCCCTGTGTTTTCTTCTAGTACTCTGTGGTTTTAGTACATATCTCTATATCTATCTATCTATCTATCTATCTATCTATATCTTTGACCCATTTCTGTTTTATGTGGTATATGATGTGAAATATAAATCCAATCTAGTTTTTATTTTTGCCCACAGGTAGAAGATACCCTGTTGTCTTAGTATCATTTATTAAAAAGTCCCTCTTTACTGGTTTGAGAGGCCACTTTCATCATACTAAATTTCCACGTGTAGCGTGGTATATTTCTGGACTTTCTATTCTGTCTTCCCACGTTTCAATACCACATTGTTCTTAATGATTTTTAAAAAATTGTATATATTCATGGGGTACAAGTGTAATTGTGCTACACTACTGTATTGCATTGTGGTGAGGTCAGGGCCTTCAGCACATCCATCACTGGAGCAATGCACATTATACCCACCAAGCAACCTCCCATCATCCACCCCCCGCCACCCCAAGCCCCCTTTATTCATCTTTCCACACTCTGCTTCCACGTGTGATTCTTTATGTGTTTTAATATTATTAACACTAGTCTCCTCTCACTGTTCTTTTGAATTTTCCTGTTCTATACTGTTTTCAAAATAGTAGTCTTCTTGATAGTTTTGCGTTTTTACATTTAAGTGTGTTATTCACTTAGATTTGGTTTTGAACAGGATATGAAATATGGGTACAGATATCCAATTTGACCTTCCATGCTTGCTGCGTATAAATCAAGTTTCCAGATGTACACGTGTGGATCTTTCTGAGCCCTGTCATTTCCCTACACTAAAGCCTATCCATAGCTTTAGAAGTCTTGGTAGCTGTGAGAGTACATTTCCATTGTTTGTTTTCTTAATGAATGTCTTGGCTATTGTTAGCCTTTGGGCTTCATTGTAAGTTTAACTATCAGCTTCTCAAATACTATAAGAGAGTTCTGTTAGGATTTTGGAATTGCAATTAATCTGTAGAACAATTGGAGGAGAATTGACATTTCTATGATATTAAAACTTCTAATATATAAACCTTGTGTATCCTTTCATTTATTTAATTTCCTTTTGGTAAAATTTTATAATTTTCTCCATGAAGAGCTTACTTGCATTTTGATGCATTATAAAGCATATTTTCTAACAGTGTCATGCTGATGTAGAAATACAATTGACTTTTTTTTTAGAAAACAGCTTTACTGAGATCTAGTTTATAATTCACTCAGAGTGTACAAATCAGTGCATTTTAGTGCATTTACAGACATGTGCAATTGTCAAGATAATTTTAGAACATTTTCATCACCTCTAAAAGAAACGCTGCACCCCTTAGTGATCATCTCCCAAACCCTTCATCCTTGTTTAGTCCTAAGCAACTACCAGTCTACTTCTGTCTCTGCATATTTGCCTTTTCTGGACATTTCATTTAAATGGAATCACATTATATGTGGTCTTTTGTGATTTACTTTTTTCACTTAGCATAATGTTTTCAAGGTTCCTCCATGTTGTAGCATGTGCCAGAATTTCCGTCCTTCTTAAGGCAGAATAATATTCCATTGTATGGACACATCACATGTTGTTTATTAATCAGTAGATAGATATTTAGGTTTTTTTTTCACCTTTTGGCTAAAATGAATAATGCTGCTACAAACATGCATGTACAAGTTGTTGTGTGGACATATGCTTTTGTTTCTCTTGGGTTTATATCTAGGAGTGGAATTGCTGAGTCATATGATAACTCTATGTTTAACCATTTGTGGAACTGCCAGACTGTTTCCCAAAGCAGCCACACCATTTTACATTCCTACTAGCAGTGTGTAAGCGTTTTGGTTTCTTCATGTCCTTGTCAATACTTGTTATTATCTGACTTTTTTATTCTAGCCATCCTAGTGGGAATGAAGTCATTTTCAATTGACTTTCGTGTGCTGATTTTTCTTACAAACAGACTTACTAAAATATCTTATTCACAATCCATGGATTACTTATAAAATATTCAGTCATTATAGTTTGCACATAATAACAGTTTTGCCTCTTCTGAATTCTTTTATTTTTAAAAATGGTTTCTTACTGTCCTAGCTAGGACCTCTAAATACAATATTGAATAGAAGTAGTGATGGAAGGCATCTTGGCCTTTTTTTCTGATCTTAAAGAAAATGCTTTCAACATTTCATTATTAAATGTGATGTTTGCTATAGAGTTTTATTGTTGTATCTGTCATTTATCAGGTTAGAGAAGTTACCTACTGTTCCTAGTTTTCTAACAGTTTTATCATGAATTGATGTTGAATTTTATCAACCCCTTTTTCTCTATTGAGATAATCCTATTTTCTTTTAATCTGCTAATTTTCTTATATTGAATCAACCTTACATCCATGATGTAAACCCAACCTCCTCATGATTCATACTTTGCTTGGTCCAGTTTGCTAGTATTTGCATCCTGTTTTTAAAATCTCTGTTTATAAGAGATATTGGCCTATACTTTTTCCCTTTTAGCTGTCCTTGTCTGGTTTTGGAATCAAAGTCGTGCTTGTCTCATAAAGTACCTGGGAAAGGTTTCTTTTATTTTGTTATTTGAAAGAGTTTATGTGAGATTAGAATTACCTATTCCTTGACTATTTGACAAAGCTTCTTTTTGTGGAAATGTTTAGCTACTGATGAAATATCCTTTAACATTTGTTTGTTTTTGATTGTCTTTTGCAAGTTTTATTTTTTATGAATGTATCCATTTAATTCATTTTCAAAGCTTTGGGCATAATGTTGTTTATAAAAGCCTCTTAATTTTCTGTTCAACCTCAGCAGCATCTGCCCTTGTGTTCCTATTTTCATCCAAAATGTTAATCATTTGTGCTTTCTTATATTCTTCACCAATCTTACCAGTGGTTTCTGACTTTCATTTTTTCAAAGGACCAACTTTTGGCTTTCTTAATTCTTTCTAGATATACTTGTTATTGTTTAAAATATGCTACTATTTTTACTGTGTAACTAGTGCATTTTTTAGGTCTAAGCCCGTAGTTCTCAGCCTGGGATGCTTTTGTCTCCTGGGGACATTTGGCAGTGTCTGGAGATTTTTGATTGCCACATCTGAGGTGAGAGTACTACTGGCCTCTAATGCATGGAGACCAGTGATGCTTCTAAACTTCCTACAGTGCACAGGGCAGCCCTACACAACACAGAATTATCTGGTTCAGAACCTTAGTAGAACTGAGCTTGAGACACTGTGTCCTAAGCAAATTCTAGGAGTTATGCTCATTTTATAATGTTAACTTGCTGGATAGCTATGGGGGAATCACTTGAAAAACAAATTTTCTTTCATTATTTATGTATTCTTGCAGGGATAACCAATTCTATGCTAATATTGTTTTTCCCAGAGTAACATGGCTAAATGTAATTTCACTTGTCTTACGAAATCAAATACAGGCATACCTAATTTTATAGCGCTTTTCTTTATTGTGCTTCACAGATATGTGTTTTTTATTAATTGAAGGTTTGTGGCAATTCTGCTTTGGGCAAGTCTGTCAATGCCATTTTTCCAATAGCATGTGCACACTTCGTGTCTCTGTGTCACATTTTGGTAATTCCTGCAATATTTCAAACTTTTTCATTATTATTATATCTGTTATGGTGATCTGTAATCAATGATCTTTGAGGTGACTATTGAAATTGTTTTAAGGCACCACAAACCACACCCATATAAGATGACAAACTCCACTGATAAATGTTGTGTGTATTCTGACTGCTCCACTGACTAGTGGGGCCTCTGTCTCTCTCACTCCTTGGGCCTCCCTATTTCCTGATACCCAAAAATATTAAAATTAGGCCAAGTCATAATCCTACAATGGCCTCTAAGTGTTCCAGTGAAAGAGAGAGTTGCATATCTCTCACTTTAAATCAAAAGCTAGAAATGATTAAGCTTAGTGAGGAAGGTATGTTGAAAACCGAGAGAGACTGAAAACTAGGCCTCTTGTGCCAAAGTTAGCTAAGTTGTGAATGCAAAGGAATATTTCCTGAAGGAAATTAAAAGTGCTACTTTAGTGAACACATGAATGATAAAAAAGCAAAACAGCCTTATTGCTGATATGGAGAAAGGTTTAGTTATCTGGATAGAAGATCAAACCAGCACATTCCCTTAAGCCAAAGCCTAATCCAGAGCAAGGCCCTAACTCTCTTCAATTCTGAAAGGCTGAGAGAGGTAAGAAAGCTGCAGAAGAAAAGTTGGAAGCTCGCACAGGTTGGTTCATAAACTTTAAGGAAAGATGTCATCACCATAACAGAAAAGTGCAAGATGAAGCAGCAAGTGCTGATATAGAAACTGCTGCAAGTTATCAGAAGATCTAGCTAAGTTAATTGATGAAAGTGGCTACATTAAATAAAAGATTTTCAGTGTAGGCAAAACAGCCTTCTATTGGAAGAAGATACCATCTAAGACTTTCATAGCTGAGATGAGTAGTCAATGCCTGGCTTCAAAGCTTCAAAGGATAGGCTGACTCTTTTGTTAGGGGTTAATGCAGTTGGTGACTTTAAGTTGAAGCCAGGATTCTGAAAATCCCAAAATCCTTAAGAATTATGCTAAATCTACTCTGCCTGTGCTCTATAAATGGAACAACAAAGACTGGATGACAACACATGTGTTTATAGCATGCTTAACTGAATATTTTAAGTCTACTGTTGAGACCTACTGCTCAGAAAAAGGATTCCTTTCAAAACATTACTGTTCATTGATGATGCAACTGGTCACTCAAAAGCTTTGATGGAGATGCACAAGGAGATTAATGTTGTTTTCATGCTTGCTAGCACAATAACTGTTCTGCAGCATATGGATCAAGGAGTAATTTCTATTTGCAAGTTTTATTTAAGAAATACATTCTGTAAGGCTGCCATAGATCAGGATTCCTCTGACAGACTGGGCAAAGTCAATTGAAAACTGTCTGAAAAGGATTCACCATTCTAGATGCCATCAAGAACATTCATGATTTATGGGAGGAGGTCAAAATATCAACATTAACAGGAGTTTGGGAGAAGTTGATTCCAACCCTCATGGATGACTTTGAGGGACTGAAGATTTCAGTGGAAAAAATAACTGTAGATGTGGTGGAAGTAGCAAAAGAGCTAGAACTAGAGGTGGAGCCTGAAAATGTACTTGACTGAATTGCTATAATCTCATGATCAAACTTGAGCGGATGAAGAAAGGAAAAGTGGTTCATTGAGATGACATCAACTCCTGGTGAGGATATTGTGAACATCGTTGAGATGACAACAAAGGATTTAGAATATTCCATAAACTTAGTAAAGAAGCAGCAGGGCTTGGGAGAGGATTAACTCCAGTTTTGAAAGAACTTCTATTGTGAGTAAAATGCTATCAAGCAGTATCACATGCTACAGAGAAATCTTTTATGAAAGAAAGAGCCAACTTCATTGTTGTCTTATTTTAGGAAATTGCCACGGTCACTCCAACTTTCAGCAACCATCACCGTGATCAGTCAGCACCCATCCACACTGAGGCAAGAGCCTCCACCAGCAAAAAGACTATGACTCCTTGAAGGCTCAGATAATCATTAACATTTTTTAGCAATGAAATATTTTTAAAATTAAGGTATATACATTATTTTCAATAACATAATGGTATTGCACACGTAATGGACTACAGTATAGTGTAAACATAGCTTTCATATGCACTGGGAAACAAAAACACTTGTGTGACTTGCTTTATTGTGATATTTGCTTTATTGTGGTGGTCTGGAACAGAACCTACAATATCTCCAGGGTGTGCCTGTGTGGGTTTGTGGGTTTCAATTTTTTTTTTTTTTAATTTCCATAGAGTACTTTTGAAAGCTCAAAAAATAATTAAAAAAAAAAGCATTTTAGATTGAAAGTAACCGTTCTCTTTACCTACCTTAATTGCATTTCTTTGAATTTTACATTTTACAACTGAATGCAATTCATTATACTGAATAAGTTAGGAGACTAGGGAAATCATTAGTTTAGTATTATAATTTAAGATTGAGATACCTGAACTATGAAGTTGGCTTATGTATAATTGATTGTTTTTCTCAGTTGGCTGTAGAATAAATACTTGAAGTGCTTTCTCCCACACACACACTCTAGAGCTGTATTTCCTTCTGTCTATTTTTTCCACATCTCAATTTGGTTTGAAATGTAAATTATCTTGGGTTCTACAGTAGCACTTAAAAAGCAAAGCAAAGAAAAAAACCACCCTTTCTATTTTTCCTGGAATATAACCTGACAAGGAATTCTTCATTAGTAGTATTTATCTTAAAAACATTTACGGTTTTGTTTTATTAAAATATTGGTGGAGGATTGAGATAATTAAAATTAGTTACATGAATATCTTGGGCGTCACTTGTCAGGCACACTTTGATCTTCTAAATCAGTAGTTATCATTGTCATTATTGCTGGCTCAGAGCAGTGAAGAGAAAGAAAAAGAATGATATTTTTTTTTCTTTTAAAGCTTGATTTTCATAAACCCTCAATAGGAGATAATTAAGAATGATACCAGCATTTATAACATAATACATAAATTACACTTATTTGTCAACAAAATAAAGCTTGCAAATAGACTTTAAAAACTAAAGTTGTTTAAATGAAAATTAATTTAGTTTACTTAAATGAGTCTTCATCTGCCTTTCATGTCATCATTAGGACTCTTTTCTTGAGGGGAAAAAAAAGTCAAAGTGTCTCCTTTAGTTCCTTAGTTTCTTTTTCTTGCCCAATTACCTTCATCCGTGAAACAAAATTAATATTTACAGCATTTAAAAAAGAAAAAAGATTCTTTTCAGAGCAGTTGAATGGCTGGGAAGCTTAGGAAAGAATTCTTTCTAGTCAATTGCTTGTAATAGTTGGCTTCTGAAGGATACCTTTGATTGAAAGATGCAGGAATCTTAAACCTGTTATAAAATTGTTTCTCTCTTATATTTCTGTTCTAAATGGTTAAAAACACTGCTAACATATCTAATTTGACATTATGTTCATGTTCTTGAAGTTGTTATGATGAAGCATATCAATTAGCACCACCCCAAAATTATACATTTCGGTTTTTCTAGTTCAACCTGTGTCTTCTGTTCTAGTTGTGGGGGTTGGGAGTATAATGCTGTTTTTTTGACGATCTCTACGATCAAGATAGTGAACATATCCATCACCCCAAAATATGTCCCTTGGGATCCCTCCCTCTGCCTCTTCCTGTCCTCTCAACCCCCTACATTCAGACAACCACTGGTCTTCTTTACATCAGTATACACTTGTTCACATTTTTAAGGATTTTACAAAAGTGGAATAACTCAGAATGCATTCTTTTTTGTCTGGCTTATTTCACTCGACATAATTATTTTTTATTCATCCATGTTGTCCTTTTTATTGTTGATATGGTTATATTAGTTTCTATATCCATTCACTTGTTGATGGACACTTGAGTTTTTTTCAGTTTTTGGCTATTATGAATAATGCTGCTATGAAAATTTGTGTACGAATCTTTGTATGGACATATGCCTTCATTTCACTTGGGTACTTACCTAGATGTGGAATGGCTGGTAATATCATAGGTGACTGTTAACTTAAATAAAACCCCCAAACCTTCCAAGCTGTGTTTCCAAAGTGGTTGCATTATTTTACATTCCCAGAAGCAGTATATGAGAGATACAGTTCTTCCATATCTTTGCCAACACTTGGTATGATCAGTTTTTTAAATTTTAGTAACATCTAATTGTGGTTTTACTCTGCGCTTCATTGGTGACCAGTGATATCAAACATCTTTCCATGTGCATATTTGTCATCTGTATATCTTCTTTGGTTTAGTATCTGTGAAAGTCTTTGGCCGATTATTAATTGTTTCTTTATGATTGGGTTTTGAGAGTTATTTATAAATTTTGAATACAAACCCTTTTGCAGATATATGCTTTACAGCATTTCAGATTATTATAGATTCACATGCAGAGAGAGGGACCCTGTGTGCCCTTTAGCCAATTTTTCCCAGCGGTAACATTAACATGTTGTAAAACAAGACGTGTGCAACATCACAACCAGAATGTTGACCCTGATACAATCAAGAAGCAGAACATTCCCATCCCACAAAGATCTCTTATCTTGCCCTTTTACTGCCGCACAAATTCCCTCTTCCTCCTGCCCCATCCTTAACCTCTGACAACCACTCATCTGCTGTCGATTTCTGTAATTCAGTCATTTCAAGAATGTTACATAAATGGAGTTGTACAGTATGTAACCTTTTGAGACTGGCTCTTTTTTCACTGAGCATAATTCTCTGGAGATTTATCTACATTATTTTATATATATCCATGGATTGTTCCTGTTTATTCCTGAGTAATATTCCATATTATGGATGTATCAGTTTGTTTAACTGTTTAGCTGTTGAAGGACATCTGGTTTGTTTCCAGTTTTTGGCTATTATGAATAATGCTTTTATAAATATTTGTGTGTAGTTTCCTGAGTGCACATAAATCTTTATTTCTTGACATAATTGTCCAAGTGCGTATTCGGTGATATTTGCAAATTTAGTTTCTTAAGAAACCGCTAAACTGTTTTCCAGAGTGACTGTACTCTTACTTTACCACTGGCAATATATGGGTAATCTGGTTTCTCTGTATCCTTTCCAGCATTTGATGTTGTCCCTATTTTTAATTTTAGCCATTCAGAGAGATTTGTAGTTGTATTTCACTGTGATTTTGATTTGAATTTACCTGATGGCTGCTGATGTTGAACATCGTTCCGTGTACTCACTGTCATCTGTATATATTCTTTTTCTTTCTTTCTTTTTTTTTTTTTTGAGATGGAGTCTTGCTCTGTTCACCCAGGCTGGAGTATAGTGGCGTGATCTCGGCTCACTGTAACCTCCACCTCCTGGGTTCAAGTGATTCTCCTGCCTCAGCCTCCCAAGTAGCTGGGATTACAGGTGTGCGCCCCCGAGCCCAGCTAATTTTTGTGTTCTTAGTAGAGAGAGGGTTTCACCATGTTGGCCAGGCTGGTCTCGAACTCCTGACCTCAAGTGATCCACCTGCCTCGGCTTCCCAAAGTGCTGGGATTACAGGCATGAGCCCCTGCACCCAGCCTTCGTATATATTCTTGAGTGAAAGGTGTCCTCATCTCTTTTGCCCAGGTTCTCATTGGATCCTGTGCTTTTTTACTGTTGAGTTTTGAGAAGTCTTTATGTATTCTAGATACTAATTCTTTGTTCAATATATGGTTTGCACATTTTATTTCCCAATGTGTAGCTTGTCTTTTCATCCTCTTAATAGGGTCTTTCACAGAGTACAAGATTTTTATTTTTATGAAGTCCAATTTATAGTTTTTCTTGTGTGGGTCAAGCTTTTGTGTCAAGTTCGACAACTTTTGTTTAGCTCTACATATGGAAGATTTTCTCCTAAGTTTTTAAAAATTGAAATGTAATATGTTGTGCAACCCTCACCACTATCCAGTTCCAGAACATTTTCATGGGAACCCAGTACCCATTAAGCAGTTACTTCCCATTGTCTCTTACCCTGAGACCCTGACAACCACTGATCTGCTTTCTATCTCTACAGATTTGCCTATTCTGGACATTTCACATAAATAGAATAAAAGATATGTGGCTTTTGTGTCTGGCTTCTTCAGTTAAGCATAATCTTTTCAAGGTTCATCCGTATGATAGCAAAATCAGTACTCTAACCTTCTTTATGGTTGAATAATATTCCAATAAATGGATCTGCCGTATTTTGTTTAGCCATTTTTCAGTCGATGGACGTCAGTTTCTAGTTTTTGACTATTATTAAAAATGCTGCTGTGAACATTCATATACAAGTTATTCTGTGGACATCTGTTTTCAGTTCTGTTGGGTACTCCCTAGGAGTAGAATTGCTGGGTCATGTGGTGACTGTGTGTTTAGTCATTTGTGGAACTGCCAAATGGTTTTCTGAAGGAGCTGCACCATTTACTTTTCCAGCCACAATGTATGAGGGTTCTAATTTCTTTGCATCCTTGTTCTCTGTTTTCCAAAAAGTTTCATAGATTTACTTTTTACATTTAAGTCTATAATCTATTTTGAGTTAATTTGGTATAAGTTGTGAGACTTAAGTAGAATTTTTTTTTAAAAAATCTATGGATATCTAATTGTTCCATCACTATTTGTTGAAAAGACTCTTTCTTCCATTGAATTATTTTTCTACCTTTGTCAAAATTCAGTTGGGTATATTTATGTGGGTCTATTTCTTGGTTCTCCATTCTGTTCCATTGATCTGTGTGTCTGTCCTACTGCCCATACCACAGTCTCGATCACTGCGGCTAACTAGTAAGTCTTGCAATCTATTAAACTAATTCCTCCTACTTTATTCTTTTCCAAAATTATTTTAGTTATTCTAGATCTTTTGCCTTTCCATATGCATTTTAGAGTAATCTTGTGTACATCTATACAAAATCTTCTTGAGATTTTGATAGGAATTACATTAAACCTGTATATAACTTTGGGGAGAATTGATATCCTTTGGCTAGAGAGAGCAAAACTTTGGTTGGGGCCTTCTTTTGTCTATGCCTATTGATGTTTCCAGGGTGCTGATTTTTTTATCTCTAAGTATGGGATAAGAATGTAGTCAAGAAGAAAACCCAGAGGGAAATCTCTGTGATGTTATTTCTTAGGTCTTGAGGTTCCTAGCTGGTCTACCTTCTCATCTCTACCTTTCAAAGTCTTCTTATATTTGTTTTATATATTATGTCTAGAGATTTTAGTTGTACTTAGCAAAAGAAATAGGAAGTACATCTACTTTATCTTCCCAGAAGTAGAAGTTGCACCTTCCTTTTTAACTTAACAATAGATATTAGAGATTATTTCATATTAGTACATAAGTTGTATACTTGGTCTTTTGTTTAAATCATTGAATTATATTTCATTTTATGCATGTACCATAATTTTTGAACCAGCCTCCTACTGATGAGCATTTAGGTTGTTTTCAATCTTTTGCTGTTATAAACAGTGCTTCAGTGAATAACTTTGTATCTGTGTATCAGTTAGCATGTGTGCCAGTATAAAAAGATAACTTCCTAGGAGTAGAATTGCTATGCATTTTACATTTTGATAGACAGTAATACATGGCTTTCATAGAGATTGCTTGTCAATCGGAGTCACCATGAATGTTGCCTGTATAGGCAGTACTCCTGGTCCTATGAGACAGTTAGAGCTGGAGCCCTGAAGAAGGATAATTTGAAGCACCAGATATCAGCATGCAACTTTTGGTGTTATCTATATGGCACCTTCAAGCATTTCTTGAAGAATTTTTCATATACTATTATGGAAAATATTTATTCTGAGCAGGAACCCAACCTTTTAGAGATTTTTGAATAGTTGCTATGTAGGATATTTCTGGCATCGGGTTTAATAATACCTCATTCTACTCAAGTAAACTGTATTTTCTTCACAAGATTTCTGTGGATGTTAAATTCTCATTTGAGTCTGAATTATGCTCTTGTGGCTGCTGATGTTAAGCGGTACATTAATTAAACAATTTCTCTTAATTTACTGGGTCATTCAAATTCATAGACATTTCATTTGATTTGAACAATAACTTGTTCACTAGTTTATTGTTATGATTTCCTGCTCAAGATTCTCCAAGGGATTTTTCTTTTTCTGGTTAAATCAACAAGTGATGGATAAGCTGTGAATTTTATCATTTAAATGCAATCTTGCTGTGTATACATAATGGATACTTTTGGTTTGGTTTCTTTTGCTGAACACAATGTCCATGTTGCCCTGTTTATCAGTAGTTTGTTCCTTTTTTATTGCTATGTAGTATTCCATTGTATGAATAGACCATAATTTGTTTCTCTATTCTTCTGTAGAATAGCTTGTTTCCAGCTTTTGATTAGAATGAATAGGGCTGCTCTGTACATTTTTACTCATGCTGTTTGGTGGAATTATCTTCTATATCTTTTAATATCTTTAATCAGGTTTGTTTTAATCACACAAAATTGCCAGCTGAATTTATCTTACCTTGCTTTCCATCCCATATTTATCTTTTTCTGAGTTGGTAATCACTTATAATTCATTTAACTTTGAAAGCTTTGCTTCATGACCCAAGTAGTTTTGGGCCATGAACACAGTTGTGACAAAGTAATAAGAAATATTTGGTGTGTAATTGCTGGAGGGCAATTAGAGGTGGTTTGTGCCCCTTTGTCTGTATAGAATTCTGATGGAATGTCTTCTTCTTCAGAGCTGATATTTGACCCCCTCTCAGACAGCCTTTGACAGAAGGTAGCCACAGTTTCCAACTCCAGTGCCCCCCTGCTCACATTCCTAATCTTTGGAGCTCCTCCCTAGTGTCACCTGCAGAACTGTCACCACCGGCCATCCAGTTGGCTCTCCAGTCCTGCCAGGCTACCTTCAAAGCCTAACAAAGGGAAGAGCACTTGCTTCATTTGTTATAATGGTTACTAACTATATAATGGATCTATATCGTGGTATACATGTGAACATACTTTAAAAATGTTATATGCAGTTAATTACAGTTAATAGTGGGAGTTGTTTTTCTTTAGGAAATTTATATGCTATAATTTAGGAACTCTTCTCAGTGACTAAGATTTTCCTTCTGAAGTATCTGTCATGGGTGCTATTTAAAGATATCTGAATGACAACATCATAAAAGAACAGTGGTCTCCTCTTTCATCAAGGGATACTTCCAAGACCCCCAGTGGATACCTGAAACTATGGATAGTACTGAACCCTACGTATACTGTGTTTTTCCTCTACATTCATGCCTCTGATAAAGTTTAATTTATATATTAGGCACAATAAGATATTGAAAACAATAATCAGAGAAGAGACAATAATAACAATATGGCAACATCACTACTCGTGTACTTCAGGACTATTATTAAGTAAAATAAGGGTGACTTGAATGTAAGCACTGTGATACTGCAATAGTTGATCTGATGACTGAGGTGGCTACTAAGTGACTAACAAGGCAGGGAGTAGACACAGTGTGGAGATGCTGGACGGGGATGGGTTACGTCAGGGGTTATGGATTAGGATGGTGCAAGATTTCGTTATAATACTCAAAACAGCATGCAACTTAAAACTTACGAATTGTCTGTTTCTGCAATTTTTTATTTAATATTTTTGGACAGTGGTTGACTGTGGGTAACTGATACCGTGGAAGGTAAAAGTGTGGATAAGTGGGGACCACAGTATTAGTACATAGCTTTTCTCTTATTATATCACTTGATCGAAATCGTGGTTAATTGGTATAATTTTTGAATTAAAATATTTTCATATTCTATTGGATCATATTATGAGATGTTTAAGATATAGTTTAATAACACATCCCCCTCCTCTTTCAACCATGGAAAAAAGTTACCAAGTATTTACATATAATTCATTTAGTAAATTTCCTCTTTTTTTAAGAAAAGTCTTTTCCTTGTGTTTAAAATGTAAAAATTTTCCTATTTCTTTCTTTCTGTCCTCAAATCCACTGTGGGTGATATCGTTTTTGCTGACACACAGCTTTATCAGGTATGACTCCTAAGTGTCGTGTTGGACTCCACGGATGTATTGTTGAATTTTTCAAAGGAAGAACTTTTCACACTGCCTCTTCTACATTCCCTTGATCAGTATTTAGGAGTATTCTATGATCATTGCTGGGCTTTAAGGTCTAGAGTGGTCTTTGTATTCAAAACAAGTTTGCCACACTTATTACACCTATATTTCAGAAATAATTGTGAGTGTTTTCTTCAAATATATTATTGTTGTGTGTCTCTGGCTTTCTGTATTTTTAATCTATGCATAATTCTCTATGTTTTCCTCTTTTATATGTATAAGTGTTTGTATACACATCTGTGTTATTCTTAACATATATGTTTTTAAAAACAGATATATGTTCTTAACCAGAACTTTCTTTCCTAACCATGATACATATTCCTAACCAGGCTTTTTTCAAACTGTGTTCATGAAATAATATTAATCTGAGATGCTAAGCAAAGTGGCACAAAAATTTTTATCAATAAGTTTATTTTGTTTCTCCCTGAGCAGTTCACAATGCACATTAGCATATTAAAGGCTCTGGTTCCGTGCAGTAAAGAAATTGTTTATCTTTGTTTATCTCAGCATCTTCAAGAAATATTTGAGTTCGAAACACTTCATAATACACAGGGGTGTTCTAAGCCTGCTGATTTGGGAAATGCTGTAAAAAACCGAGTAAGATTTTCTTTGTAGTGTTTTAAGAGATCAAATAAAATTGACTACAAGTGATTAAATTTTCAAGAGGTTAAAGCATTTAGCTGAATTGTATTTTGAGAGGGTATTTTCTTATAGAAATTACATTTTGAAATACAGCATTGGTTTTTTCCCCCATAGTATTATCTTTTTCAATACTTTTGATGGCCTTTAAAAGGCATTTGTAAAACTAAAAATTCTGCCTTTTTGTGGAAAGAGGGTTTTTTTATTTTGTTACTGTCATTCCTTGTTTCTCTTCTATAAGAATTTGCCTTTATCTTTAAAAAACATGCTTACTGTTTCAGAGAGTGTGACGCAGGAAAGGAGGCCTCCCAAACTTGCCTTTATGTCAAGAGGTGTTGGGGACAAAGGTTCATCCAGTCATAATAAACCAAAGGCTACAGGTATGGATTAATAGCATATAACCTTTAGTAATTTGCATAATGCCTAACTTGCCATAGCATTAAAAAAGATTATAAGCTATTACTTCTGAACATGTATGTAGACTTTTTTTCTTTCAAACATTTTTAGTAGTGAAACTAAAGTTTGTATATAAATACTGTTGCTTAAGCCAAGTGTTCCCAGCCTTTTTTACCTCAGGAAGAGTTCCCCATAGGGTCTTGTGTGTTTTGCTGGTCTATAATCAAATGGTTTTTGGAACTCCTTACTTGGAATATTTGTATGTATAGTTTAGGATTGCAACTGTGTAAAATAATCCTATATGGATAATGTTATATAGGATAAAGTATACTAGAGGTTAATTAAATGGATTTTGCTAACTAGATTTGGTACAAATTAAATCCCAAACTGCTAAGCAAAAATTTCTTCTCTTTCCCAGAAGCTTCCTCACAATATGTGTGGAGCTTACAGCTCTTTTTTTTGTTAGCTTCCACATACTTCATAGATTTATAGAATAGTAGTTATACAAGCCAAAGAGCTCATTAAAAAGGCTCTGAGAATTTTTGTTAACTCAGATGCGAGTTAGGAAAAGAATATTTTTTCCTCAATTATTACAATTTTGGCTCATTTAAAAGGAAATTGTACTTTAAGAATTATTTTATGTGACATTGGGGCCTGGGAGACTTAGGATTAATTGCAGGATATATAGGTAACAGTCTTTTTTATGTTAACCTATAGATCTATATAGGATAGCTCAAACTTGCTACTCTCACTTAAATAGAAACAGACTAAAGATTTTCTTAAGCTATGGCATGTTAATTGTATTGTAGTAGATCTTAAAGTTATAAAATGTACAGCTACCTGCTTTAATTTGAAAAGGGAAATCAGCTTTTTTGTGGGTTCTGGAGAGCCCACTGCCCTCCACTGTGTGTGGTATGTCCTTGAATTAATACTGAGGCAGGGTAATGTCATGAAATGGCTGTGGCATAGCTACACTCGCCCTCTCACGTATAATAAATCCAATCTGTAAGAAATAATAGTGCTTGATTTTTTCAAAGACACAAGGAATTTGATGACCAAAAATTCCAAAATGTTTAAAACTTAACTATTTTTAAATGTAATTTGTGTATTGATTTATATATAGAATTTGAGGATTACCTTCTTTTAAAATAATAGGTTAAATTTGTGAACCAATGGGTCTATGAAATGAAGCTGGAGAATGGTGATTTTGACATTTAGAAATAAGCTGTGGTACATGGAACAATTTCTTAAAGCAGTTCATTTTTTTTAAAAATGAGTGGGCTTTTCTTTTAACTTACTCCTGTTTCCCTCCTATCTTGACTTTTGGGCTGAAAAATATTTTTAATATTGTCAAAATGGTTACCAAATTTTTAAAAGCTGAAGACAGTTAAAAAACATATTGTGTTTATATACATTTATTGGTTATGTAAACAGTTATTAACATCATATTCATAATAATTTCTCTTACTAAAAAAAAACTTTGATGCTATATTGACTTTATTTTTAAATGAAACTTTTCTTGTTCCTATAGGATCTACCTCAGACCCTGGAAATAGAAACAGATCTGAATTATTTTATACCTTAAATGGGTCTTCTGTTGACTCACAACCACAATCCAAATCAAAAAATACATGGTACATTGATGAAGGTAATCAGTAATTTTAGTGTTCTTTATAATGATCCTTTCTTTCTAACTCATCAGAGAAAAATGGTTTTTTATATCAATATTTGTAGTTTTTGGAAACAGAATAAGTAGACCGCTCTTTGTAATATTGCTGAACTAAAATATTGTACACAGTTTGAACCGTACTGCTGTTAAGATTATTAAAATGTTTAAGAAATGTATTAGTAATTTGTTCTTTTCCTTTAACTGCTGATCTATTTAGGGTGGAAGATTTCTGTCTGGTTCCTTCCTGACCTCTTTAAAGCACTCCCTTTTAAAAAATTTTATCTTCCCTTGGTCCTGGGACATCATTTTCACCTAGTTTATTCTCTTCTTTGTTCATTTGTTCAACAAATATTTATTGAGTGCTTATGATTGCCAGGCATTCTTTTAGGCATCAAGATGAAAATGGTGAGAAAAAATAGACATGGTTCATGCCCTTTGTGAGTTTGCAGTTGTTAAGTTGTTGAGATAGAAATTAGTCAAACAACCACAGACACAGTAGAGTTGCCTTGGTGGTGTGTGCAGTGAAGGTGCATGATGCTGTGAGAATACACCAAAGATGATTTTTCTCAGGGTCTTAGGGGTGTTTCTTTGGGGCAGTGACACATGCTTAGGTTTACCAGAGGAGTGACAGATGACAAAGTGAAAGGGGCTAGAACTTCCTCGGGAGAAGAAATAGCATAGGGAAAGTCCTCCTGGAAGAATGGAAGCTAGTGTTTGCCAGGGACTAGAACACAGACAGAGGCATGACATTCATGAGATGAGAATGGAAAGGCAAACAGGCCTGACTCTGTGGTCTCCCAGCCTTTAGAGTTTTGCCTGCCACATTTGTTTTTAAGGCACCTGGAGCTGATTTTCATGTAAAGTATGAGTAGGATTCCTGTTTAATTTTTTTTTAAAAATATGGATAACCAATTATCTCAACAGCATTTAGTAAGAAGTTCATTCTTTTGTCATTGATCTGCAATACCTGCCTGTCAGCTGTATTAGTCATTTTAAGAAAATAGCTTTTGGCTGTGGCTCTCTTTATCATGTGTTTGGTTTCTCTTAAATTACATTCTGTGTTTGTGTTTATTCTGGCTTTGAACTTCTTATTGTATGTTTGTTTTCTCTCTTCTGTTGTTTCTGTTCTTTAGTTTATTCTTCTCTACTTTTTTGAGGGTTATTCTGTTCTTTTAACTTCCCAAGTTGTATGCTGAGTTCATATTTAGCTTTTGTTTTTTTCTGAAATAAGCAATGAAGTCTATAAAATTCCCTTATAAGTATTAATTTAGCCATGTTTCACAAGGATTCTTTCTTTCTTTGTTACTTTTTCTCTCTTTTTTCTTTATTGTTAAAACGTATTATTTCTTTTTTGATCCATTAGATATATAGAAGCGTTTCTTAAGGTTTTCGGTATCTTTTTGTACTGCCTTCTCAATTAATTGTATTTTGGACAAAGACTATCACGTATACGATACCCGCTGATAATAGATTTTTTTGGTTTGAACAGTTGGGTGCCATTGACTGAGGTGCATAAATATGGAGGTGGAGAGAGGAGCGAGAACACTGTTGGAGATAATAACTTTGTGATGCCTATGAGAGTACTATTAATAGCAGGGAGGTCAGGTGGGCAGTTGGACTAGATCTGTATATAAATTTTTAGAAATGTAAGACAGAGTCAATATCCTTGAATACATTTCTGTAATTAGGAATAATTTTTTAGTTGCAGAAGACCCTGCAAAATCTCTTACAGAGATATCTACAGACTTTGACCGTTCTTCACCACCACTCCAGCCTCCTCCTGTGAACTCACTGACCACCGAGAACAGATTCCACTCTTTACCATTCAGTCTCACCAAGATGCCCAATACCAATGGAAGTATTGGCCACAGTCCACTTTCTCTGTCAGCCCAGTCTGTAATGGAAGAGCTAAACACTGCACCCGTCCAAGAGAGTCCACCCTTGGCCATGCCTCCTGGGAACTCACATGGTCTAGAAGTGGGCTCATTGGCTGAAGTTAAGGAGAACCCTCCTTTCTATGGGGTAATCCGTTGGATCGGTCAGCCACCAGGACTGAATGAAGTGCTCGCTGGACTGGAACTGGTAATTTAACTTGACCCAAAAATTTCAATTTTTTTCTCTGTGAGGTTTTGTGCAGATTTCGCCCTATTATATGCTTTTTGACAAACTGTTATATTTGTCAGAAAAGCTATCACTGCAGAATAATTTTCTCACCATGTTTTCTGACTTCCCTTTGCCGCCCCTGAAGCTTGCGACCCACTTGTCCTAATGTTAGTTGATTTATGTTCAAGGAATGAAAGTTGATTTTTAGGCCAATCGATTTAGGCTCCTTATATTAAACAGAATTTAGTAAATCAAGCAAATTTGCCATCAGCTTTTCTCTTTCTTCTTCAGCCCCTTCCCCTGGTCAGTTCTAATAATTATATCACTGGCTTTAAAGTTAATCACCATTTTTAGAGATCTTTTGAGACCTTTGCTAGAGGGAAAGGTTTTCCCTTTAGAGATCAGGAGAACATATCATTTGATATTTTGTAATCAGGAAAGGAGAAGTTGAGTATGTTTAGGATTTATTTAGAGATGGGGTCTCACTCTGTCACCCAGACTGGAGTGCAGTAGCACGGTCAGGGCTCACTGCAGCCTCGACCTCCTGGGCTCAAGCTATTCTCCTGCCTCAGTCACCTGAGTAGCTGGAATTACAGACATGTACCATCATGCTTGGTAATTTTTTGTATTTTTAGTAGAGACAGGGTTTTGCCATGTTGCCCAGGCTGGTCTCAAACTCCTGGACTCAAGTGATCTGCCCGCCTTGGCCTCCTAAAGTGCTAGGATTATGGGCATGAGCCACCACACCTGGCCAATTTAAATATATTTCTTTTTTTTTTTTTCTTGTTTGTTTCCATGCTAGTGAATACTATCTTATGGGGCATGGTGGGGAGGCAAGAATGAGGGTTAAAATAAATAGCCTTCTCCTTCCCTGCCTGTTTTAATGCTTGTAGAAATGGTGCGGGAAAGCCCGTTTAACCAGGGGAGGTTGAAGCATATATTCTGAAAGGAAATACAAGAAGGACTTCATGCTGGATTAAGGAAGTCACTTCTTAAATCAGTAGCTGTGGGCTGAAGCACTGATTACTCAACTCCTTTTTCTTGATGAGGTTCTCAGTACAGGTGCGAAGAGGGAGTGGTGAGAAAGGGTATACTAGAAACAGGTCTTAGAAACCTTAGTTCTTTGTATACTATCTCTGTAAGGCACGGTATAATGCATATTGAAGCATTTCTTTTTCAGGAAGATGAGTGTGCAGGCTGTACGGATGGAACCTTCAGAGGCACTCGGTATTTCACCTGTGCCCTGAAGAAGGCGCTGTTTGTGAAACTGAAGAGCTGCAGGCCTGACTCTAGGTTTGCATCATTGCAGCCGGTTTCCAATCAGATTGAGCGCTGTAACTCTTTAGGTATTTGGATGCTTTTTGTTTACTTAACAACCTGGAATGACTCTAATTCTAATCTCATATCATGTTATATTAGGTGATGGTGACAGTGTTTTAATATATTTCTTGCCAACGCTCATTAAGCTTTAAATCAGTAAAAATGTTGCATGGTGTATAAGAAAGTTGTTTTAAGAGGGGACATCTTAAAAAAGTATTAGGACGTGCGTTTGGGACTTATAAAGTGAATAATAGTGTGGTTTGTTTTTCTCTTCCTGTTGATGACAGACATTTAGTTTTCAGCAATACTAGTGGTAGAAATTGAAATGTAACCTTCTTTTTTTTTTTTACTGACTTCCCTCACAGTGTCTTGTTTACAGCAGTGAGTGTATCTTACAAAGAAATCAGCATTTTAGTGTAAGAAGTAGATTTCAACTGATTGCTGGAGGACAGCTCTCCTCATCATGTGTAATTGGTGGCAGTTTCCTGGTGCTGTTCCTTTCCACTTCTACATAATAGTGGAAAAGCATCTTGGGGCTTCAGCAGGTGCAAACAGGAAAGCCATCTTTATGAAAAACACTCTTATTATGTTGAAATAGTACTTTGGAATTTTCATTTTCTTTTCAAACTTGAAAGTGAAGCAACTTCAGATAAATAGTGAAATATTTGGGAAACATATTTTACTTGACAGATGCTTTTTACACATAATACTCTAAAGTGTGTTTTTAAATCTTGGAGGAAATGAAGTTGAAAATGAACAATAGCAATTTTTATAAGCCAAGTCAAATAGCAGTTAACCAAAGCCTACTTTCCACTTAAAGAAAAAATTTTGCATCAAAATACAAAAACATTTTAAAATGAAAAAATATTTATGGGAATACATATTGTAATAGTTTAAAAGAATTCTTTTCATTTACTTTTTTTAAAAAAATCTTTTCAGCATTTGGAGGCTACTTAAGTGAAGTAGTAGAAGAAAATACTCCACCAAAAATGGAAAAAGAAGGCTTGGAGATAATGATTGGGAAGAAGAAAGGCATCCAGGGTCATTACAATTCTTGTTACTTAGACTCAACCTTATTCTGGTAAGTTTAAAAAGAATGCAATAGGTATAGATAGTGCCATGAGGCAGGGACACATACCGGTGTGTGTGTGTGTGTGCGTGTGAGTGTGTGTGAAAGAAACTGCCATCTGCCTCTGAGTAGAGAAACTGGATGACTGTGGGTCAGGATTGAAAGGGAGATTTGCTTTTTATGACATACTCCTTTTAAGCTTTTGAATGTTGTCTCATGTTTCTGTGTCCAGAAAGGTGAATGATATTGGTACAATGGAATAGATATACAGAGGGTATCTGGGAAATCTTTGTGCATGTCTCAAACAACATAACTTGCAGTAAAGCCATTGGCTGTTATGTGCTGTATTTCTTTTAGTAGGTAAAGGCAGTCATAAAACTACTGTCTTTAAAAAAACGATTTTCAGTAGCAGCACTGCTGCCCTCATATATGCAATTTTTTCCAAAGTGGAACAACTTAAGATTTTTTTTTTTTTTTTTTTTTTTTTTGAGACAGAGTCTCACTCTGTCCCCCAGGCTGGAATGCAGCGGCACAATCTGGGCTCATTGCAACCTCTGCCTCCCAGGTTCAAGCGATTCTCTTGACTCAGCCTCCTGAGTAGCTGGGATTACAGGTGTGAACCACCACTTCTGGCTAACTTTCTTTTTTGTATTTTCAGTAGAGACGGGGGTTTCACCACGTTGGCCAGGCTGGTCTCGAACGTCTCACCTCAAATGATCTACCCGCCTTGGCCTCCCAAAGTGCTTGGGATTACGGGCATGAGCCACCACGCCCAGCCTTAACATTGCAAGGATCTTTAAGCTCTGGAAATTGAACCAAGAATCTTTAGGCTCTGAGGATTGTAGACTGGGCTAAATTGAGAGTAGCCTGCCAGTTCTGTAGCCATATGATAAGAATTAGGAAGTTAATATGGGATGTTAACATTTTTAAAGTAGGAAGAAGAATAAAGTGGCGGCCATTTTATTTGCAGAATACTTTGACAAAAACAAACCTTGTAGCATTGATATAATATTCTTTAGATTTCCTGATAAAAATCTATATTAGCTAAATTTTCTTTTTCTTTGATAACAGCAAGTTACTGCTGTCACTCGTTTATTTTTTTGAGAAGGAGTCTCGCTGTGTCGCCCAGGCTGGAATGCAGTGACGTGATCTCGGCTCACTGGAACCTCCACCTCCCGGGTTCAAGCGATTCTCCTATCTCAGCCTCCCAAGTAGCTGGGACTTCAGGTGCACTCCATCATGCCTGGCTAATTTTTGTATTTTTAGTAGAGACGGGGTTTCACCATATTGGTCAGGCTGGTCTCAAACTCCTGACCTCAGGTGATTCACCCGTCTCGGCCTCCCAAAGTTCTGGGATTGCAGGCATGAGCCACCGCACCTGGCCTGTTAGTCACTCATAAGTGATTTTAGCATTTAAAGAAATTTATTAATGTAATAGATCTTTGCAAAGGGGCATGGGGAGAGGGAAGTGGGGCACTGAATAGTGCTTGCCTCGGGAAGTCGTTTCCAAATGCTGTCCTCTGTTGTCTGTTTGTAATTTGACTGATATTTGTAGTCTCTCTATCAACTTTTGCAAAGAAGTTTTCTTTCTTAATATTCTGTTGGCACGTTGTTATCCTTTAACACTGCCAATCTGCCGTTTGCTTTCTCAGTATTATTGGTGTTGTCCTTAACATGGAAGGATCTGTAGGTCCTGATGATTGAACCATGGGTATCTTCACAGGGGTCCTGGTACCTGTGTTAATGAAAAACACAAATTGTTATGTTATTTGTTCTCCAGACTTTACTTATTTTCCTCTTCTAATTCTGTTAAAAATCTGTTTCTTGAAAAATATGTTTACAGCATGAAGAAAATTATCCTTTTTCTTTTGCAGCTTATTTGCTTTTAGTTCTGTTCTGGACACTGTGTTACTTAGACCCAAAGAAAAGAACGATGTAGAATATTATAGTGAAACCCAAGAGCTACTGAGGACAGAAATTGTTAATCCTCTGAGAATGTAAGTAGAAAACAAATTGCTATTTTGCCTTTACATGGTGTTCTATTTGCTGTTTTCTGGTATAGTAATTAATTTATACCTTGTCTTCATGTAATAAGAGATGGGTGAAAATTAGTTCTTATGGTAAAATATTACGTTTTTAAACCTTTGGTCCTTGTACTTTTTTGCTTATTTAATTTCTTAAATGTGGCCAAGGTGTAGAACATAGCATATTCCATGAAATGATTTAACCTATTTTGCTAGAGTAAACTATAATTTAGCAATTGCAGTATGTTTAGGAAAGCTAATACATAATACTTAGGATTCTTATCTTTTGAAATAGTTTATTCCAACACTTCTGCTACAAGTAATCATGCTTATTAGTTAAATTGGTGTAGTCTAGCTTCTTAAATCTGAAAGAAAAGGAGAAAGGGAAATTCTTTATAGAATAGCTAGTGTTTAATACTTTGGACTAGCAACAGATGAGATGTATTTTAGTACCATATTTTTTGGTTAAAGGAATATATTTGGCCTCTTTCCACCTGCCTTAAAAAGGTGATTCTTTTTCCATTTCCTACTTTAGGAATTATAAATATGTCTTTTTATGGCCACAGGAAGCAATTTGTAATGGTACAAGCACAAGTGACAGGAGATATCTAGTAAAGACTTTGAATAAGTGGTAGTAGTGATATGTGATAATGTCACATTATAAAATTTAAACTATGAAGAATTAGGACCATAGATCATAAAACAAATTTGTTCATTCAGGAATATAGAGAGAAAGTGATTTATTTAAAGTCCATATTAAGATAAATTTGAATCCTTTTATATACTGTTCTTATTTATCAATTAAAGTAAAAAATAGTTTGATATCAAATTTGAACCAAAAAAGCAGAATACTCAAATACAATGAGGATTCCAAATTATCTGCTATATCACATGACTAGGAAAGTAAATTATAAGAGAATAAATTTCCTCACTTATATCTTTTGCTTTCTTTAAATTCTGTAATGATTTCTCTAATGATCTTACTCTTTAAGATAATTGTGAATCTTGATTTTCACATCAACTATTTTGTCTTATGCAAATTTTTAAACATACGATTTTTTTCCCCCAAGTAATTGATACTGGAACAAGACAGGTCAAACCCGAAACTCTAAGGCATGTTAACACCTCCTTCCTAGAAGAGAGGAAGAATAAACATTCTTTGGATCCTATTGTTCAGCCAGTTAAGAATCATAGTTAATCACACTTTCTTACCCTGTCCACGGTAAGAAACTGGTCAGATGCCCTGTTGTGATCAGGATTCCCTGTGTCTGTAGCATTCATATCTGTATATAGCTGACTGGTTTTATTTGGTGCTGAAATCTCTGCTTTTCTTCAGAGACCCTGTCTTTTTAACCTTACTCATTTTGTATTCCCAGTGGCTGACAGGTTACGTTACTATGTAAGTGGTAGATTCTCAGTCTGTATTGGTTGCAGGAAACTAATGAGTGAATGAATAGTATAAAAAGTGGATATAAAATTAGCTAGTTCTGACTTGTCCTTAGTAAACTTATGGTAGCCGCCAAGTTCTCCTCTGAAGCCATTTTTAGAATTACAAATTTAAAGTGATATTAAACTGATTGAATGTGTCTTGCATTCAGACAAAGAAGAGAGAAAATGTCATCATTATGCCAATTGGTTTGATTGCAGATTTTAGATTTTCAGTTTCTTATAAATTCCCTTTCCCATTTCCCTTGGTGGCTGTTTCACACTTCAGTATTAAAAGGATATTCTCTCTCAAAATTGTATATTCTGCTTTATAAAGTAAATGCTTTAATTTCCCAAGCAAATATTATTTAAAAAATCAGTCACAGCAAACCTAAAAATTTTTTATCTTAGTGTATGACAGTTACTTGTAGAGCATATAATAGTGTCTAGGATAATTCTGGTTCTAGATCTTTAATTTTGCAAACTTCAAGAAGAAGCTTATCATTGTTTTCTTCAAAAATAATTGTCTAACCTATTGATTTATGACATACTGGAGTTGTATAAGAAATGTGTTGGCCAGGTGTGGTGGCGCACACCTGTAATCCCAGCACTTTGGGAGGCCGAGGTGGGCGGATCACTTGAGGCCAGGAGTTCAAGAGCAGCCTGGCCAACATGGTGAAACCCTGTTTCTACTAAAAATACAAAAATTAGCTGGATGTGGTGGTGCACGCCTGTAATTCCAGCTACTTTGGTGGCTGAGGCATGAGAATCTCTTGAGCCTGGAAGGCGGAGGTTGCAGTGAGCTGAGATCGGGCCACTGCACACTCCAGCCTGAGTGATAGAGTGAGACTCTATCTCAAAAAAAAAAAAGAAAAAAAGAAATATGTGATTAAGATGTGTTATATAATTTAATACATGCCAATATCAATTAATAGTTTTTTACTAACTTAGATATGGATATGTGTGTGCCACAAAAATTATGAAACTGAGGAAAATACTTGAAAAGGTGGAGGCTGCATCAGGATTTACCTCTGAAGAAAAAGGTGACCATCTTAACTTATATGCGTTAAAAATAACTGAAGAGCATATTCACATGTCAAAGTATTAGCTGAAATGTGTGTCTGTGTAGTTGGGGGGTTTTCTTTTAAATTAGAAATTTCTTTTTATGTGATATATGGTTAGCTCCTCTTTTTGTAAATTCTTCCTCTCTTCTAAAAGTGATTGATGATGTGGAATAATGAACTCCTTTAAGAAGCTGGCTGGTTCTAGTATATTAAATGCTTAAATAAAAAGTCCTTTCCTTTCCACCTAGCAATGATATTCTCAGTTGTTTCTCTCTTGTGGTGCAGAGTTGCATTGGGTTTTCTACATTTTCCCACTGAGTCTTCCCTGTTGTAAAAGGGAGTTAGAAAGCTGCTAACTAGGATTAAGTTTATAGTCAGGGAACAGTGTTATAATCTCTTCCTAGCTAATGGGCTTACTCAAAGATTCACCACCTGACTTTGAATTTGTCAGCAGCATACTGTAAACAGCTGTAATGTTCAGAGGCTTGCAGGAAAAAACAGAGCATACTTCAGATTGTACTCCATTTACCTTAACCCCTCCAAAGGAAATAACAGCTATTTCATTATGTGCAATGTGTTACACCCTTTCAAATGTAATAAACTCACAACAAAATTGAAACATAATACTTGATTATAACTTATTAAATGTCTTTTATGTTTTTCCTTTGTCAGGAAAACTTGAAAACTGTGCTTTTAATTGAAATAATATTGGATGAATGAAACTGAATTCAGTATTAAAATTTGACTGTTAGAAATGAAAAATAAAATGATTTAAAAATTTTGCCTGTGACTTATTTGATTTTTAAATTTTCTCCTAGATCCTGAGGAATTCTTGAATATTCTGTTTCATCATATTTTAAGGGTAGAACCTTTGCTAAAAATAAGGTAACCTTTAAATTGTTCTAGAAGCATTGGAAAAATAGACAATTCTCATTTCTACTGCCATTATTCAACAGACATGATTTCCAGAATGATTTCTTAATATTGTATTTGTTTAGGGCTCTTAATAGGCTAGGGGAATATCATGCAAGTTAATTTTATTTGTTGTCCTTGCCACAGTACCATAGTTTACTTGAAGATCAAATCCAATGTAAATTTATACTACAATTTTTAACCCTAGCGATAAGTATTATTGCAAATCATTTTCTTTTGAAACTGTATATATATTTTCATAATTTCAATTAATGAACCTTTTAAGAAAAAATATCTCATTCTAACTTAATCAGACACTTCAAGAAGACTGTTTTCTGTCTACTCATCACTCAAAAAATTTAGTCTTAAATTAGCTTTCCTGTTTTTAGTTGTATAACTTTGTCTCCCCTCCCCACCCACCATGTTGAATGAAAGCCTTGTTTAATGTAGTAAAGTTCTTAATGAAATGTTCTAAATGACTGAACGTTCCAGGTAGTTTGAATGTTCTCAGTCTAAACAATGGACCTTTTTACATTTTAGCTTGGGTTTCTCTGTTGAGAATCTTAGTAATATCCTATACACTTCCCTAAAAGCTAAGCATAGACGAGCACTCTTCCTCATCTCTGTGTCTTAAAGTGATATTGTTTGATGCCACTGTTGAACTGATGGGTGAGGAGAATAGAGGGAGGCTGGGTGGTGCCATGGCTGTGGTTTGATATTGTTTGGGAAGTTCTTATGAATGAAATGAGACTGATACATAACCATCAAGAGTTCATATTATCTGTTCAAAGATGATAATAGCCATATGTACACCTAAAAATCCTAGAGAATGGCCTAAAAATTACTACAATTAGCAAAATAATTCATAATTTGTCTATGTAAAATATCCATGGAAAAATCAATAGCATTTCTGTATACCTTCAAGCAAATATGAAAAAGTAATTTAATACTTCATGAAAGTATAAAATACCAAGAAATCAATTTTATTGAGATAGATTTTTTTTAAAAGACTTATACAGAGCTAAAAGGGTTTTGATTAATTAGTGAGAAAGATTACGTTCTGGGTAGGACAATTAAATAATTTAAAGATGATTACATAATAATTTGCACACAAGCAAGATCTTAACATACTTCAGGAAAGTGGATTTAGAGTTCTCTACAAAATGAAGTGGGAAAAAATCTTGAAGAATGCTTTTAAAATAGATTTCTATTATAAGCTACGAAGGCAAAGCAATAGACTTTAAAATAGTGTGTGATACTAGCATATGATTAGAAATATGGATCAATGGGGCCAAATAGAAAGCTCAGAAATAGAATTAACTGTATGTAGAATTTCAGTATCTTATAAGTCAACTTTCAAACAGAAATGGGAAAGGAAAGATATGTTTAATACATGATGTAGGAAACCTAGAAGGCACTTTGGGAGAAAAAAGTCAATTTGGTTTTTCATTTTAAAGAGATAAATTTCAGATGCTTAAAACAGTTGTTTTCATCGTTTTTACCCTTTTTCTAGCCTACACACTTATGGAATGTAATACACGCCCAGTAATAACATAGGTTGAATACTGAGTGATCCTCAGAGTGGGTAGGGAGGGATCAGGGCATCTCTGAATATATCTCAGAGTCTGAATGCCTTGTGGGACTTGAAAGGGCCCTGGGAAGTTCTTACACCCCCTGAAGGGTACACTGTCCCCTTCACCCCTGCAAACAACCTCTTCATATTGAGAATCACTTTTTAAAGATTATAAATATTCTAAGTTGGCTCTTTTTCAAGAGTAATTCTTCCCCTCCACTAGCATTTCATTTTGACAGACAGAGTCAGCAGATGCAACAAATAGGAGGATAAGTACCTTAAAAAAAATCTAAAATAATTAAATAGTCTAAAAGAGACTATAAGATGTTCTTAAATGATTGAAGAGACAAAAGAACTAGATGACAATGAAAGGTAAAACAGATTTGATAAACAGAATCAAATAACCAAAGACAGAATCTCCAGAAATAGAAACCATATCATGATGTTACCTCATTGATGCAGTGTGCACAGCTGAAGAGAGAATTGCTCATTTGGAAGACAGAGCTGAGGAAAGTACCCAGAATGTTGCACAAAGGGATAAAGAGTTAGAAAACAAGAAAGAGAGGATAATAGACATGGAATATGGATTCTAACTGGAGTTCCAGAAGGAGATACTAGAGAGAATAGGGAAAAGGCAATGTTTCAACAGATAATAGCTGAATAAATTTTAGAATTTTTGATAGACTGAAATTCTAAGAATAAAAATATTCAGAATTTCTGAGCAGGAAGAACCAGGACTAAATTACCATTCAGAGACTTACTATAGGATGTACTTCAGTAAAACAAAACTGAGTTTAGAATAAAGGAGTGGGATGCAAGAAACAAGGGAAAGTCAAGAAATTAGTAAATTGTCTTCTCCATCCTCATTTCTGCCTTCTTTCCCTCAGTGTTTGCAATGCAGTGGTCCGTTCAACCACCAGCCCTCCTCCCCTGCTGCCATTATTATGATTACAACTACTTACCTCTACTACTTCCTGGTTTCTTATTTTCCTCTCTTATTTTTTTTTTCCTGTAAACTGTTAATTTTCTATGCTTTTTGGCTTTCACAGAAAAATTCTGGTCTTTTGTCATAGTCATCAACAACTGATTAAAACATTGGTATATCATAGCCTTCAGGTTTTTTGATTATCATCTGTTTGTATTTGTTGTGGGTCTCCAGAATCTCCTGTTTTGTTATCAATTAAATTTTGTTTATTTGGGGATATAAGTTGCTTTGGGAAGCTGAGAATTTTTGCAGGCTGATCTCTGAATAGCTGAGTTTTTTTTTTTTAAGTGAAAACTATGTTAATATTTTCTCCTAAAAATCTTAAAATCTAGATATAAGTTTAGATGTAAATAGTCTAACTTTATATCCAGAAATTCTGCTGAAAAGGTAAATAGTAAACTTAAGGATTATTAGTCCTTCTGGTAGAGTTAAAGACTAATGGCATGCTATAGTAAAATATTTAGGAGGAAAGATGCTCAAAATATAAGAGTAACACTGTGATTGGCATATGGTAGGTGCTTACTTGGTATTTGTTGAATAAATGAGTGACTATCAGACAGCATGCTTTAGCAGAAAGAATGGTAAGCAGTGGTTAGGGCCCCTAGATTCTTTACCCAGCTCTGCTTTTGACTTGCTGAGAAGTCATTCTCCTTCCCTAGATCTCAGCGCCTTCATTTTAGAAATGAAAAGTTCGATCTAGAAGGTCTGCTAAGGGTCTGTCACATCCAGCATATAATAATTTATTTTCAGGCATTAAATACAGTTTGCTGCTTTCTAGATTTGGGCAGTGAAGTTGCACTAAGTGATTTACCTTTTGGTTAGTTCTGTTCACACAGTGCTTCTTGATTGAGATTATTATTCCATTATTTTTTTCCTAATCACTAGGAGAACTTTCCAGTCTAAAAACTAAGCAAAATAAATCATTTATAAGGTCTTGTGCCTGAGCACATTTAATTATTTTATCCAAATCATTTATTTCTCTCTGTTGTTCTGACTATCCAAAGCTACACCATCAATTTTATGGTTTTTCTGTTCTCAAATACTGCTGGGACAACTTAACATTTTGATTTAAGCATTTGATAAATAGGTTGTATGTATTTTTTTCTCTGCGTGTTTTTAGATCAGCAGGTCAAAAGGTACAAGATTGTTACTTCTATCAAATTTTTATGGAAAAAAATGAGAAAGTTGGCGTTCCCACAATTCAGCAGTTGTTAGAATGGTCTTTTATCAACAGTAACCTGAAATTTGCAGAGGTTAGTGATACTCACCTGTGGTATTTTATGTGAAAGTCTGTGGGAGTCTTAAGACTATTGGTAGTTTCAGTATCTATTGATTTTAACTAGCTGAGAAAAGTTTGAAACACAAACTGTTAAGAAACACAAATTTTAAAAAGTATGCAGTGTTTCAACTTTGCCTTTACAGAAAATGTCTTAGAATTAAGATTGAATTTTTTGGATTTCTGCTGCCAAAGAAAACACCAAGCTAATCTGCGTAACTTGAAAACTTTTAGGTAGTTTAAAGCAAAAGGAGACTTACGTTTTTTAAAATGCCATTTTATGCAAGCATATTATCCAAATACATCAAAATATAATGTTTACTTCCCCCCTTCATTAAGAGACAAAATGTCAATAAATTCATTTATATTTGCTAATGAACCAGTGATAGAAATTATTTTTCTTTTATTGTCCAAGAATCTCAGTAATTTTAATAGTATATGCTTGTGGTTTATTTTGATTGTATTCATTTCTGAAGTCATTTTTGGTAAAACCTTAACAGCCACAGTTATTTATTTGTTGAAATATAATGAGTAGTATCCTTCTGTGATGACATTTTCTGTATTATATTTGCAAAAACAATCTGTCCAAAACCTTTAATAAATATAAACCCAAATAAAATGCCATGATTTTATTTGAGACTCAAGATTATTGAACTCTGTGACCTCTAGGTGCTGGTGTGCCCCTGCGATCATGAGCCACTTGAAGACTTGTGGCTTATTGGTGTCCTCTGTCCACAGCCCATGGTCACGTGTGGATCCTGTTTCATAGGACACCAATATTAAGGCAGAACTGTTTTGTTTGACAGCCATGACTATTTTGGTTTCATAGGGAAAAGTGTTTTTTTTAACACTTTGATTCTAAAAATATCTGTCTTTTTTATAGGCACCATCATGTCTGATTATTCAGATGCCTCGATTTGGAAAAGACTTTAAACTATTTAAAAAAATTTTTCCTTCTCTGGAATTAAATATAACAGATTTACTTGAAGACAGTAAGTATGAGATTTTTTTAGTTTGTTTTGTTGGTTTTGTGGAAATTGTCAGATAATTCTCATCAGTTGTGGGTTAGACTCTAACTGGACACAGTATTTCCCAAGGCAATTCAGTATCTGAAGAGCCTGGAAATATGAAACCAGTCATTTTATTTCTAGGAATTTATTCTGAGAAAACACAAATGAAAATAAATATTTGATATGCAAATATACTTATTATTATATGATTAAGAAATTAGAAACAACTTGAATGTTAACCAGAGGAGAATGGTTAAATGAGTGTGTATCTAACAATTAAACTACTGCCATTAAAATTCATGGTTTTGAAGACCAATGTGTATGAAATGGTCATGATGTAATATTAAGTGGAAAGGTAAGTACGTTGATATATTCTACAAAAGGAGCCATATACACACACACACACACACACACACACACACACATGCATATATACCTATGTAAATATTCAGTATGAAATTATTAGAGAAAATTCATAATCATATTGACAGTGGTTATCTTCTGCCAACTAAAATTGTAGATGCTTTTAGTTTTCTCCATTATACTTTCTTGTATCTTTGAATTTTCATCAATGGGTATTTTATAATGAAGGGAAAAATACTCTAGGAGACACTATTTAGAAAAACTATTTGGTCCAAAAAAATGTTTTTAAAGATATTTCAAATACTAACTGAGAGCTTAAGCAGATGGAAGAGAAAGAGACTTTTTTGAAGCCATGAACATTGTCCTTTTTAAAGCCTAACTTTTCTTTACATCTTCTTCATGAAAGAATGCATTTTTTTTAAAGTCCTCTTAACTTCCCTTCCCCTTCTCACATTTCAGCTCCCAGACAGTGCCGGATATGTGGAGGGCTTGCAATGTATGAGTGTAGAGAATGCTACGACGATCCGGACATCTCAGCTGGAAAAATCAAGCAGTTTTGTAAAACCTGCAACACTCAAGTGAGCTTCCCTTCACTTAATGGATAAACTTTTGTTGAACAGTAACTTATTTATAGTTGAAAACACAATGCTCGTTTTGGAAAGTTTTTTAAAATCATAATTAACGGTTAAAAATTCACAATAAAATGGTATTGCTTTTGCCTTTTCTGTTTACTTGAGAGCTGTTGGTGAAGTACTTGATTGCTATAAGGGATGTATTTAGTAAGAGTAAGGAAGCCCATTCACTTGACACATTGAGTTTCTCTCATTAATGACATTTTTTTTTTTTTTTTTTTGAGACTGAGAGACTGAGAGAGACTAATGCCCAGGCTGGAGTGCAGTGGCACGATCTCGGCCCACTGCAACCTCCGCCTCCGGGATTTAAATGATTCTCCTGCCTCAGCCTCCCGAGTAGCTGGGACTGCAGGCGCCTGCCACCACGCCCAGCTAATTTTTGTATTTTTAACAGAGACAGGGTTTCACCATCTTGATCAGGCTGGTCTTGAACTCCTGACCTCGTGATCCACCAGCCTCGGCCTAATGACATTCTTTTCATGGTCCATTTTAGGTCCACCTTCATCCGAAGAGGCTGAATCATAAATATAACCCAGTGTCACTTCCCAAAGACTTACCCGACTGGGACTGGAGACACGGCTGCATCCCTTGCCAGAATATGGAGTTATTTGCTGTTCTCTGCATAGAAACAAGCCACTATGTTGCTTTTGTGAAGTATGGGAAGGACGATTCTGCCTGGCTCTTCTTTGACAGCATGGCCGATCGGGATGGTACTGAAAACGCCTTTCTTCTGCATGTGGCACAGGGTTCTGGTTTGTAGTGGGACAGTTTGTAGTGGGATCGCCTGTTCTGAGTGATATTTTCTGAGAAAATCCTTTCAGGATTATTCTGGTGACAACAGTCTTATATCTTGGATTGCATTAACAACCTTGCTAGCTGAACTAAGGAATAATATGCTGTGTTTTTTTTTTTCCTTTTTTGAGATGGAGTCTCACTCTGTCACCCAGGCTGGAGTGCAGCAGCGTGATCTTGGCTCATTGCAACCTCCACCTCTCAGGTTCAAGCAATCCTCCCACCTCAGCCTCCTGAGTAGCTGGGACTACACGCATATGCCACCATGCCTGGCTAATTTTTGTATTTTTAGTAGAGATGGGCTTCTGCCATGTTGCCCAAGCTGGTCTCAAATTCCTGGCCTCAAGTGATTAACCCTCCTTTTCCTCTCGATGTGCTGGGATTACAAGAGGAGCCAGTGCACCCAGCCTCATATTGTGATATTTTGACATGCATATGCTCTTTTTTTAAAAAAAAGAATCCTAAAATTCTTATTTCAGCCCTGAGGGATCTTATTTCCAGCTTCGCTGTCTTCTTTCAGGCCCCTCTCATTTTTGTAGGAGCCACGGTAGCTGTTTATTGAGCACCATTAAGTCATTCTACCTAAATCCTGGCAAGATGGGGATTATTCCTGTTTTTCTGTTATTAAAGCTGAGGTTTAAGGGGCTTGAGGTATTGTAGTTTGTGTTTAACTCAGTCTTTCTGATCTCAGTGCATATGTTTTTTTGTACTAAACCATGTTATCTTCCAATTGCCAAAAGCTGAGAGCAGAAGTAAACATCCTTTTCAGAAAAGTAAAGCCTCTTCTGCATGTAGTATCTTTCTCCCTGAAGTGGGGAATAGGCTGCAGTTGCCAGGCCACTTTCTAGGATGCTTAATCATTATTTAACTAATGCTTAATGAATGCCAGGCAGGATAGTGGGTTGTAGGTAAGAAATGTTTGTTAAAGCAGCCCTGCCTCTACCTATAAGGAGTTTGCAGGTTAAGACCAGGCCTGGGCAAGGTTGTGAGGTGTGACTCTCATGTTCCTCCATTCTTATACCCTATTTTTCCTTTAGCTGCTCTCTCAGATCCAGCCCCCACGGCCTTCTGGTGTGGCCCTCCAGTAGCCTAAGACATTCCCTGTGGCAGCCTCTTGAACAGAGGCCCAGGCCCTAGATCAAGAGTTCTCCACCTTTTCTCAGTTCTCTGATGCTTGAGGGATACATCCCAGCCCCATCTGTAGATGTGCCCCCAACCCAGTTAACATTTGCACTAAACAGCGTAACACAACAGCATAGGTTTGGAAAAGCCACTGAGGTAACCCAGAGGAGCCTTTCCTGGAATCTCTGAAATCACACCCCAGAGCACCTTCATCAGGGCCTGGTGATGTGTCAAACAAACTGTATTAGAGTTGCGTAAGGATGTGTTTAAAGTGTAGGGAGCTATAATAGCGTTCATTTGACTAGATCTATTCCAAATTGGACAGTCTTATGGTGAAGTGTGCTGGGTGGCTTGTGTCTGGGAGGAAATGAAATGTGAGGAACAGAGTGTCGTCTACATATGTATTGATAATATGATTCAGAGAGAAGTCTGGAAAGTAGGTTGGGGGCTTACCTCAGAATTCGTGTCCTTTTACCAGGTTTATTCACTGTTGGCCCCAGAATCCTTTCAGAAACCAAGAAATGAGAATATGTCAAGGGTTAAAGGAGGCTTTCACTTCCAGAAATCAGAAGTAAAATAAAGGCTTTTAGAGCCTGAAATTAGCTTTTTGGAAATGATAGGATTATAAAATCACTGGCAAAAGGGTTTAGAACTTGACTGCCCTATAAAGAGTTCTTCCTCTGTGCCATAGGTGGTCAGAATGGCTTCAACATTCCTCAAGTCACCCCATGCCCAGAAGTAGGAGAGTACTTGAAGATGTCTCTGGAAGACCTGCATTCCTTGGACTCCAGGAGAATCCAAGGCTGTGCACGAAGACTGCTTTGTGATGCATATATGTGCATGTACCAGAGTCCAACAATGAGTTTGTACAAATAACTGGGGTCATCGGGAAAGGCAAAGAAACTGAAGGCAGAGTCCTAACGTTGCATCTTATTCGAGCTGGCAGTTCTGTTCACGTCCATTGCCGGCAATGGATGTCTTTGTGGTGATGATCCTTCAGAAAAGGATGCCTCTGTTTAAAAACAAATTGCTTTTGTGTCCCTGAAGTATTTAATAAGAAGCATTTTGCACTCTAGAAAGTATGTTTGTGTTGGTTTTTTAAGAAGTCTAAATGAAGTTATTAATACCTGAAGCTTTAAGTTAAGTGCATTGATCATATGATATTTTTGGAAGCATACAATTTTAATTGTGGAAGTTTAAAGCCTCTTTTAGTCCATTGAGAATGTAAATAAATGTGTCTTCTTTATGGACCAAGGATATGAAATCATTTTTCTTTTGTAGCTAACGGTTGCCTTGAGGAAGAAATAATTTGGTTTTATTAAGAGTCTACTCTCAATCCAGTTATTAGAGATGTACTGAGTTTGATTTGTTAATCCTTTCTATATACTGCTGATCTTGCATGTCTACAATCTGCTCAGTTTTTCTGTGTTTCTGCAATAGTGGTCAGAAAAATACTTAAATTCCCTTAATGGTGTTGTTTTCTATTTGTTCTGGTTTTGAGATAAATGAGTGATTCTGTCCCCAAATGTCCATTTTTGAAGTGATTTTCCTGGAGGATTAGGGTATTTAGCAGTTGAAGCTCTTCATTCATAGTAGTTACTGTCAGCTAACAGGTTTTTTAAGGCTTTTAACTATTAATATTTTATGGAATGGGGCAAAGTAAATTGATGAAAGAATTGGAGTGATAATAGTCCTTTACAAACATACAGTCCATAAGAAAATGAATTTGGCATATAGAATTATTACAATTTCCTGGGAGAGATGGATATTTAAACCTCTATTATTTTAGACAAGACTGTCTAGAACTTAAGTTTGATCTGTCAGCCAGTACTCCCATTAAATTCAGTGTAGTTTCACTTGATAGAATCAGATATGTTATCGAAATGTTAGCAGCAGCTTCATCCTCCTTCTGATTAAAGTAAGTAGAAATGGGATGTTTTGTTTAATAACAGCCATAGTGTGTGTTTAGACCACAGCGGATGTTGTAGACCAGGACCATAGATGATACATGTCAGTGCTGTGGAATGTGCATTCTCTGAGTGTTGTTTTGTGGTATCATTGTCTTTCCTGAATGACTTTCTAACTGTGCAGAAAGGCAGAAAAGTCATCATATGTATATGTCATATGACTTTATAAAATATTTAATGTGACAAAAAGTGGAAAGAATCTTTACAAACCCTGCAATTACTTTTTTAAAGGCACTTTTACTCTTTGGTTTTATCATTCCATTTTGCTAATATTTACTAGCTTTATAAATTACAGTAAGGTACAAAAACTCATCTTGTAATATTTTCATTTTTGAAGTGAAAAAGTACATATATTTTGCACAAGGTTTTATACTGCTAAGTGCTTGGTTGGGGTGGTGAGATGATGATTAGATCAGGGGTGAGGCTGAGAGACTCTGGGTTTAGGGCTAGCCCTGCCTCCATCTCCCTTGGGTAAAATGAAGGGTGTGGGGTAAAAGATGCATAAGGCCTTTTCTAGCTCTGACAGCCTAGAAGTCCAATCACCCTGTAATAAATATGTGTTGAATGAAGAAATGGGTGAATGAGCTTGTCAATGTGATTTTAAAAAATTGACTACCTGGAGGAATGATTAGGAATCTAAATGAAGCCAGCCCTCGGTATCTGCAGGTTTCTCATCCATGGATTCAACCAACTGCAAATGGAAAATACGATTTTTTTTAAAAAAAGGATGGTTACATCCGTATTGAACATGTACAGACTTTTTTCTTGTCATTATTCTCTGAACAATACAAGAACTCTTTATGTAGCATTTACATTTATTAGGTATTATAAGTAATCTAGAGATTATTTAATTAAAATATACAGGAGGATGTGTGTCAGTTATATGCAAATTCTGTACCATTTTGTATCAGGGAATTGAGCATCTTCAGATGTTGGTATCTGCAGGGATCCTGGAACCAAACCCCTGCAGATACTAAGGGCTGACGATCTAGGTAAGACTGGATTTAACAGTTGGAAAAAAAAAAAAAAAAGGAGAGAGAAGACAGTTCCTTTCCTGTAGAAATTAAAACAAAATACAAATTGAGGAAGCTCTGCTACCCAGGCTGTCATGGTAGAGAACTTGAAGAAGACCTGTTTGGATGGACACCTGGTTTCAAAAGTCAGGTGTGGAGACTGTTAAATGGGAGGGCCTCATCCATAAATGATTTCTGGCAACGTCTTCTTCAGGTGGAGCTTGACGTCTTTTTAATGTTACTTGGGGAGGGAGTGCTCATTAAGGGATGCCAGGGCCAGCTCTGGTGGTTCCTGGGGAGGCTGCGTCCTTCCCTGCTTCTGCATGTCATGAGGCAGCAGGAAGGTTTCCCCTGCACCTGTCTGTCCTGGCTCCCTCTGGGTAGCCCCCTACTGTTCTGTGCTTCAGCACAGCCTGGTTTGTCAAGAGGCACATAGTTGGGGCTGGGCTGCATGGCACAGGGGCTTATGTGCCTGCTGGTTATTTAATTTTCAGCCTTAAGTTTTCTTTAATATTTTCCTGTTGGCTATTTAAAGGTTTTGGTTATCTTTTATTCCTTATCTACAATCAAGATGACAATGTAATTGAATTATCTTATTTATAACACGGTTCGTGATTCATGATTCATGATTACAAGTAGAAAATATGTCATGTTCCTCACCTCCAAATAAATATGTGTGTGTCTGTGTGTGTGTATATATGTATGTGGCGGAGAGGGAGAGAGTGGGGAAGGAGAGCAGTGTTATCATACATAGAGAGGCTAAATGTGTCCCATCCCTCACTGTCAGCTTTATAAAGGAGTTTGACTCCATCCACAGAAGAATGTTTTATAAGACTAGGAAAACACGTTGAAAACTAGGATAAACAGCAACAAAAATCAACTAAATATGTTGTTACTGTTGCTAAGGATTTTCTCCTTAGAATAATTTAGGATTTTTAAAAATTTCTGTTTGCCAAATGCTGTAGATAAATGGCCAGATTCTTCCTATCCCTAGGATTCCTTTATTATTTTTTTTCACAGATTTTGAGAACAAGGGGGAGAGATAGTATGGAAGATTAAGATTCCATTAATCTTATAGAACTGTGTTGTCACCCAAATTCCTGCTTGTTTGAACATGGCATCTTCATAGATTCAGGATTCACTACCCTCTATAGCTGGATCTTGAAAATTATCTGGCCAGATAATTTTGCATCTGCTTGGATGATTGTAGACTGAGATGTGAGTGGAGGATAAAGTATTAGACTTTTGCTGAGTAACTGCCAACCAAGAAGTATTTATCGGACACTTACTAGGTGCCTAGGATTGTATCAGAGGGAATATGAAATGTGTCCCTGCCCTACCTAGTTTTAACGACAGAATATCTATTAAAGGCTACTTAGCTGAAGGGTAAGGGTGACAGGTCTAGGGGAAGCTTTGGGAGGTGGTGTGCTGTGACAGAAAAAGTGGCAGAGTAGGGACGAGAGACCTGCATTCTAGCCCTGTTTCTGTCACTTGCTCTGTACACTTAGACAACAGCTTGACCTCTTGAGCTTTAGTTTCCTCCTCTGCATAATGAGAGGGTTAGACTACTGAATTGTATGGGAAAAAAATACAAATTCCTGGGTCCTAGGCCATGCCTGCTGAATCCGACTGTTCAGGAAGAGGCCTAGGAAATCTGTGAGGGAATCCCCAGGGGAATCTCGTGACCAGCCAGGTGTGAAATCTGCTAACTGGAAGATCTCAAAGCTTCCTTCACTTTTTGTGATTTTGTGGTCATGTAACGTTACTGTATTATTCTACGTAAATGTGGGTACTTGGATGTTTATCATACTGTTTCTCTGTGTTTACATACTAATTTGTGTAAGAAATGCATTTTAGTCTGTGTACCTCAACCTGCTGTTTGTTTCCTAGAGGTGTTAGTAGTCTTTAAATACAAGTAAGACTTAAGAGGATATTTGATGTTATTTACCTGGATATTTTCTTCCCCTTTTATTTATTTAGAGGAAATTGAGATTCTAGGAGCCAAAAAAATGAAAACAAAATTCTAAGGCAAAGTTAAAGAAAAAAATTACATTATTTCTTACCATTTGCTACTTTATAATGAAAATTTAAAAATTATATGGGAAGATTTTTCTCTGGGATAACAAATCCTTGTCATAAAGTAAGAGGTCTTTTTAAAGTAGGTAGGCTATAAGGCCTGTAATTTAAAATAATACTCCTTTCTCTAGGGTTTGGTGCAATTCTCCATTAATGAAGATAACATTTGAATTCCCCAAAGCAGGTGAGGAGTCGGGGAGGAGAAAGCGATGTTAAAATGAAAACTCACTGCAAAAGAGGAGGCAGAGGAAGAAGGAATGTAAACCCCTTAAAGCAGATGTGTGTGGGGCCTTATGAAGACCAGGATTCTGCGGGTGTCAGGGGATTGCCCCTCTTGACAGAGACTAGGGTTTTAGACTGAGGCTTCCTGCAGGGTGTTCGCATTGCCCTTCTCCGTTCCCCTTCAGACCTTTCTGGGGAGAAGAGGTGGGAGGAGGGGAGAAAGACTGTTCATCTTATTCTGAATCCTGGAGCAGCTGAAGGTTTTCTCTTGAGTCAGGATGCAGTGGTAATGCATTAACCAGCAAGTGTGGCCAAGGATAATGAAAAAGTGGGAAAGGAAGGTCCTCCTCCTCCCTGATTGTAGCATCCAGCAGTCTCTGTAGCCAGGTTACTCAAGAACCACATTTGATTTCCTGGCCCTTTGCCTTGGCAGTGATGGCATTTTTATTTCACTGTGTTTTAAAGTCTTCATTTATTTTTATAACATGGGTTAGGGAGAAGGGCCACAAATGGAGGGATTGTCCTTTCAAGCACCACAGCTTCAGATAAAATTAGTACTTTCAAATATTGTCCACTTTAACTTAAAAAATTCTAGAGGGATTATATTGGAGACTCAACTGCCCTTGGTTTTAGTTTATAAAATGGCCTAGTACTGTGGAATTTTAATTTTAGAAAGTCTTAGCATCAGATCATAAACATTCATTAAAAGAACTCACATCCCATCTGAAACTTCCCAGGGGAGTTGGGATTCTTAGTAGATTGGTAGAAAGGGGCTCATTTTCTACTGCATTTCCCATTTTTGGTATCTTGTTCAGCATGTTTTATTTTTATTTCTTGTCTGCAGAACATCCTATATTTATGAGAACATTCTTTAAGAAGACCACCACATAGAATACCCCTTCCTATCAGCTCGCTCTGATTTAGCCTTAATTTTGTTAAATTTTTTAGAGATGAATGAAGTGCTGCTGTGGAAAGAAATGTACATATACTATTTCTGTATCATTAAAATTACATTTTTATGGTTCCTTTTCCTGGATTTCTTTGAGGGAAGGGTTTTGGGTTATGAGAAGGCTGGAATTGGGTCTCTACAACACTTTAAGTTTTTGCTGTGGTAAGATTTCTTTGAGGAAATGCTATACCTGGGCACACCTCTGTGTCTTGATCAAGCCTCTACCACCATTACAATTGCTTTAGAAAACCTCACACACTTACCCTGTTCTGGGAGATGTGCCAGCGGCATTATGATGCTGTGTGGCTTCTTGATCTAGCCAAGTAATTCTGACCTCTGATGCTTGTTAAAGCTCAGCTGCTCCAGCCTCCAAGCCACTCCAGCCAGAAGTTGTCCCCCGCTGCTTCATTCCATCATCTATAAACATGAACCCAACACTGTTGCCTAAGGAGTAGTGTGTCCCATTCTTTTTTCTTTTTTTTGAGATGGAGTCTCGCTCTGTCGCCCCAGTTGGAGTGCAGTGGTGTGATGTCGGCTCGCTGCAATCTCTGTCTTTCAGGTTCCAGCGATTCTCCTGCCTCAGCCTCCCAAGTAGCTGGAATTACAGGCGTGCACCACCATGCCTGGCTAATTTTTTTGTGTTTTTAGTAGAGACAGGGTTTCACCATGTTGACCAGGCTGGTCTCAAACTCCTGACCTCAAGTGATCTGCCTGCCTGGGCCTCCCAAAGTGCTGGGATTATAGGCGTGAGCCACCACACCTGGCCAGTAGTGTGTCCCATTCTACCACAGCTTCCACAGAGGCAGTTAAATATTTTACTTTTTTGTGATAACCAGAGGAATGGTCGCACGATGTACTGTGTATTGAAATTCCTACTTTAGTCTTCTTTTAGGTAACAGATCAACCTTCCTTGGAAATTATTTGGAGTTTAAGTCACTTAATGTGCCATGATAGGAAAGCTAGAATGGTCTGAGTTGGTAATACTGGTATTGACAATACATTGAAGAACATTTCTGTTTCAGAACCCCATGGGTGGATATGCGTGCTTATATCCA
Source organism: Homo sapiens (assembly GCF_000001405.40). Taxonomy (NCBI): domain Eukaryota; kingdom Metazoa; phylum Chordata; class Mammalia; order Primates; family Hominidae; genus Homo; species Homo sapiens. The sequence continues at coordinate 50,802,915 of NC_000016.10, forward strand.
AACAATGCTGTTCTGACATCACTGATCTTCCTTGTCAGATTCAAGGGTTGGCACACTTTTTCATAGTCGCCACTCCTTGTGACTCTGTTTGGGTCTGTTACCGTGACGGCGACAGTACATACCTTGTGCCCATCTGCGGATCTGGACAGTTGTGAAAACAAGTCCTTGTCAGAAGAAAGCTGGCCTGGCCGAAGGAGGAGCCACTGGCCCTCCCCTAAGCCCCTTTTTCTGACTTGCTGAGGCATGTTCTTCCTCATTATCACCTCATTATCAAACTTCGAGCAGCAGTTCTCCATTCAATCCTGGTTGCATGTTGAATTCACACAGGGAGATTTTAAAGACGCCAGTGCCTGTGCACACCCCAGACCTATTGGAATCTCTGAAGATGGGGCCAGACAGTGGGTCCTTGTCAAAGCTCCTTATGCATTTCTGTTTCAGAACCCCATGGGTGGATATGCATGCTGATATCCAAACAATGCTGTTATGACATCACTGATCTTCCTTGTCAGATTCAAGGGTTGGCACACTTTTTCATAGTCCCCACTCCTTGTGACTGTGCAACCAGGATTGGGAACCAGTTGTCAGGAGGAATGGAGTTTTCTGAGGGAGACAGAATCAACTTGGCATTCCCTGGTGGAACATTCTGCCCTGCAGAAAGAGAATGTGGACATGAACGAGCTCCTAAGGGAAAGTAGAAAATTTATTGTAAAGCTACCAGCCCAGTCCCTTGAGGAAGAACTCAGGGAATATATGGGGAATGTGTTCCAGAGGCAGGAGAGAGAATTTAGAAGTAGGATGAAAATTACACTATTTGTGAAGAGGACTTAAAAGATGTCCTTAAATGGGCATGATGATGACGCTAATCTCTTTGTTTAGGAAATATTTCAGAGATAAGCCTCAGATGTATAAAAAGAAAGGAGAGAGCTCACCAAGTTGATTAGGGAAGAAAGAAGGCAGGAGAAATCTTGGGGAGGGACTGTTTTGGGGCAAGCTTTCAAGCCTGTCTTTGCACTGAACTGTGGGCAGTCAGGTCTCTGTGGGCTGCCAGCTTCAGTAGACTGCTTGGAGTGTGGATTTATTGGAGAGGAGGTAGATTCTGAGGTCTAATGAGAGTAATTAGGGGAGTGAAGACTGAAATGGATATTATAAGAATAGTGTAATTCTCCCAGCAGACTGACCCTTATTACAAAAGCGCGACTGAAATTTGCAAGTTGCGTCCACTCTTTTGACTGTACCACTTTACTAGGAGTTAATGAAAACCTTTAAATTCCGTGTATGAAATCACCTTACAACTAACACACAAATCTGTTTAAACACCTAATATGGCCTTTTCCAAACTAAGTAGTTTGAAGTTACACTGGGGTTTGAAGAGTTGGTGAGGAAGTTGACTGTACCACGGATGCCTCCCTGAGTCCCTCTCCTCCAGTCCTCCCCAACTTTAGCAGACTTTGGAAGCGACCCCTCAGGCCTTGCCTTGCAGGTTCTATTTGGTGGCAGGCAAGACTCAGCAGCCTGTAGTAAATGCAGTCAGGCCTCAGGCCATGATGAGTGGCTTCTTCGCTGTGCCTTCTTATTGGCTCCAGGGAGGCGAGGCTGCTCCTGGGTTAGTGCGTGGTGGGGTGATGACACTGGAATATACTGTGTTTTAAACAAATGTGCGTTTTGTTGGGTCCGGCCATCTCTGTAAACTTCAGACTGTTTTGTTCCGATGTATTTCTGAACTGTGCCCTGTAGGTCGCCCATTGGGGGTGGGATGGGCCTCTGCAGGTTGGAAGGACTAAGTGTGGTTTCAGGTTTCTGTTCAGAGGTCACCTCCCTGAAGAGGCCTTCACAGACCACATTAGCCAGGGGTGTGCTGGAATGTTTAACAACCAGCTCTTGGGGGCTGAGGGGCAACCCTGTTTGTAGCCTCTGCTGATTTGGTGGTATAAATACCCCCACCACGGCCAATTGCAAGCTACCAAAATGACACCTTTCAAGGAACTAGGGAAGACTTATATAGTAGGATTAACACAAGTACATAGCATTTCCGCCATACAGATACGATAGACATAAAACCACGGTGGCAAACAGCAGCCCGTGAACCAAACCAGCTCAGCACCTGATTTTGTGAATCACATTTGATTGGAACACAGTCATGACCATTTATCTAAGTACAGGTTGAATATCCCTTATCTGAAATGTTTGAGACCAGAAGTGTTTCAGGTTTCAGATGTTTTTGGATTTGGGAATATTTGCAGTACCAGATGAGCAGCCCTAACCCAGAAATCCAAAATCCAAAATGCCCCAATGAGCATTTCCTTTGAGTGTCATGTTGGTGCTCAAGAAGTTTTGGATTTTGGAGCATTTCAGATATTTGGATTAGGGAGCATTTAAGATTTTTCAGATTAGAGATGCTCAGTCTATATTATCAATGCTTTTGTGCTACAATGGCTGAGTCAAATAGTTTTGACTGAACCCTTATGGCTCACGCAGTCATTAAATGGCCCTTCCCAGAAACAGTTTGCTTACCTTTGGCACAGAAAATGGTAAAATATAAAATAATTAGGAAGTAATGAGTTGCGAGTATTTGTTACCTTTATTTTAAGTATAATTTCATTTTAAGTTTATATAATTTGTAAGTTTATATACTTTGTTAGCTTAATAATTCAATAATAGATCCATCCAAGAACTGACTCGCAAAATTCCTGAAAATTTAATAATGGGCTCTTGTGAGCCATGGATGCCAGCTCCAGTTTACTTCTGCCATCATCTCAAACACACCTACAGGCACATATAGACTCCTGTGCGCTTCATTTTCTCCACAGCACTGATCCCCTGGCTGCATGGCTTATCGTGGGCTCCTCAGGACCTCCCCTAGTCCCTTTAATTGTCTTTCCTTACCACCTTGATCAGTGCCTGGCACAAACCTCCCGCCTCAGCCTCCTCAGTAGTTGGGACTGCAGGTGCACACCACCATGCCCAGCTGGCTTTTTACATTTTTGTAGAGAGGGGGCTCTCGCTATGTTGTCCAGGCTGTTTCAGCCTTTTATTCGTGGAAGCCCCACTGTCTATTGTCAGTGTGCTCAGAATTAGATTACTGTCCCCATTTCTTTTGAGAAAGCACAAGACGTCTCAGTCTCTAGTTCCCCAAATAATGCTTCCTCTCAGAAGTGGAGACATCGTAGGACTCCCCTGCTAGGGCTTTGATGAACTTTGAATGAAACCATGCACGGAAAGTGCTTATCACAGTGCCTGGCACTCCGTAGCCCCTGAGTAAACAGCAGCCACCAGTGGCAGCAGCAGCAGCATTAGTACTAATATCGTAAACATGAACTTGAGAGACAGGGTGCAAGTCTAATCAGCAGTTCTCTTTCTGCCTCTCATCTCCCTCCACGATCCTATTTTAAGCCACACTCTTTATCCTTTAGATGGTTTTATGAGATTGAGATTTTTCTCAGGCATCTTGTCCCTGAGTGCAGCAGCGCCATCTTGTGGTCATTACTGGTTATGGCGCTGTCCTAGATCTAAGCTCCCAAACTCCGAGCCGCAGCCAGAACCCAGGCTTGGGAGGCAGCAGGGATTTTGAAAGCCAATGTGGCAGTCGGGCCAACACACCAGATTACACACTACACCCTAAGAGGGTTTAAGTTTCCTCTGCGTCATTTCGGGACAGCTGCTTAGTGTTGACCATTTCTGTTTGTGGCTGTCCTCTCTCATAATGGGCTCTGTCTTGCCCTTTCTCTGCATCTGCTGCTCCCTCTGTCTTGAGCTTTCAGGCACCGTCTACAAACGGGGTTTAAAATGAGCTAGCGCCATCTACTGGGCGAATGCCGTAAGGTCGGTTGTGAGGTCCCGGAATCTGCAAAGGAATGAATGAATTACAAATCTGTGGCTTTATGGGGGGAATGTCGGTACGTAATAGGATTCTGATGTCACCTCCCTTTATTTGCGACCCTTTCTCAGTGTAAGCCTCATATCTACTGTGTTAACTTTAGTACAGGTTACTTTGTCAGGATCCCAATGTGAAAATCAACCACACTGTCTTCAGTGCTTCCCAGAGAGGGGTCTTTGGACCAACCTGCGTCGTAGTCATCCAGGGACATTTAAGAATGCAGGCTCCGGCTGGGCGTGGTGGCTCTCACCTGTAATTCCAGCGCTTTGAGAGGCTGAGGCGGGCAGGGCTTGAGGCCAGGACTTTAAGACCAGCCTGGGCAACACAGCAAGACCTTGTCTCTACAAAAATACAATAATAACAATAAAAATTAGACAGGTGTAATGATGCACTTCTGTAGTCCTAGCTACTTGGGAGGCTGAGGCTTGAGGATCACTTGAGCCCAGGAGTTGGAGGCTGTAGTGAGCTATGATCACACCACTGCACTTCACCCTGGGCGACAGAGCAAGACTCTGTCTCTAAAAAAGAGAATTTGGTCTTGGAGGCCCTGTGCAAAATCTACAGCATCAAGCTCTCAGGGTAGGGCCCTGGAATGTGCATTTTGAACACTTCCCCCTTTTCCCACCAAGAGAATCGGGCACACGCTGAAGTGTGAGAACCACTGCCATTATGGAGAAGAGGCTTCCCGCCCCCTCACCTGCCACTCTAGAAATCCAGAGAAGAGATTCCACTTGGATTAAGACTTGCATAAGTGGGGAGTTGAGTCCAGTCTCTTTCCCCCACTGCAATACCCTGTTGCGGTGACATGTAATAATAATAAAAAGACTTGCATGAACTCCTTTCTGTGCAAATGAGAGCAAGCATCTCTGACAAAACCACAGTGCCCCTGTCGCTCATTTTGTGTGTGGTTTCAGTGATAACAGACCCAAAGTCCTGGGACCAGCATCTGGCACACCATGGGGGCTCAAATGGGTCACTACTGCTGCTGTTACCTGTGTGAGGCCGGCTGGAGGCCTCCTCAGCATTCCTCACCCCCTCCCATCCACCTCTGCTTGGGAGGTGGGGGAAAATGGTTTATACTTTCATATCAAGGCTCGGCCTGCCACCTCGGGCCCTTCTCCCAGAGCAGGGCTCACTTCAAGCAAAGCACACAGCCATGTTGGAAAGATTCCAGTACTGAGGTCACCCCCTTCCTGGGTGGCACCTCTCTGAGCCTCAGTTTTCCCATTCCTAATACAGAGAATTGTATTAGAGTCTGTGCTGTCCCTTCCAGCTCTGACGTTCAGGGTGGCTCAGTGCTTTGGAAGCCCCTTCCCCATGTGGCACTTCCATGGTGTCTGGGTCTGGTGTGTGCAGAGACCCCCCCCCTCAGAATGCTGATTTCTCTTGCTTTGGTTCTTTCTCTGCCTGCTACCCCTAACCCATTTTGCACAAATTGTGAGCCATGTAGGTGCCCGATACACGAGTGCTTGGTTTTCAAAAGCCTTCATATTGTGCATACCTCATCCCCAGCAATTCTGTTGCTGGGAAATTTTTCTAAGGCAATCATGATCGCAGATGTGCCCAAGATTAGCCATCAGACTCCGAGCAGCACTGTTTATAATGCTGGCCAAACCTGAAAAAGTTAAATGTGCAGGACTGTAATAAATTATGGTACAGCTAGACTATACCATAACCATTAACCATGTGCAGTCATTAATGATTCTTCTGGAATGTAATTTTTTTAAGGACATGAGCAAAAATTCACACTATATTAGGTGAAAAAAGTGGATTATTAAAAACTTATGTATGATAATAGATCTAATTTTGTGTATACAAAAATTTGTGGCTGGGCATGATGGTTCATGCCTGTAATCCCAGCACTTTGGGAGGCTGAGGTGGGCGGATCACCTGGGGTCAGGAGTTTGAGACCAGCCTGACCAATATGGTGAAACCCCATCTCTACTAAAAATAAAAAAATTAGCCGGGCTGTGGTGGCATGCCGGTAATCCCAGCTACTCAGGAGGCTGAGGCAGGAGAATTGCTTGAATGCAGAAGGCAGATGTTGCAGTGAGCCGAGATCGCGCCACTGGACTCCAGCCTGGGTGGTGACAGAGGGAGACCCTGTCTCAAAAAAAAAAAAAAAAAAAAAAATATTGTGCATGTACTGAAAAATTTGCTTGCAGGGAATACATTGATTCCTGAGATGACAGTGACTGCGGATGACTTTCATGTTTGTGTTTTTCTCTTGTCGGTATTATCTAAATTAAAATCCGTGGTTGACTGAATGGCAGGATGTGCAGGGAGGGTTGTCAGGAAGGGGCCATTTATCAGAAGGAGAGAACAGACACCAGAAAGGGCATGGGCTGTCAATCAAATACCGTTGAGGTGTTTGGGAGTGTGGAGTGGTCACCTCTGAGGCCATTTGCATGATAAAGACCCATGTGAACTTCCACCAGTTTTGAAAAGAGACCTGGCCATCCTGGGAAGAAAAAGACTGTCTGGAAGGGCAGTGGCTGGGCCCCTGGAGATCAGAGGCTTTTATGACTCCCTGGAGGGAATGCATTGCAGCTGGCATGGAGGGTGAGGCTGCCAAGAGCTCACCACATCAAAGGGGTGGGCATGGCAGTGGGGGGCTCTGGGGTGCACCAATGGTTTCGATCAAAACAGGAGCCATGCCCAGACCAGGAGGAGCGTTCTGTGTGGTGAGGGTCCTGTAGAGGATAGCATACGGAATAAACGTCAGGATCACACTGGGGAGACTGACGCAGCTGAGCCAGGAGGCAAGGAAGAAAGAGGAAGACTGTATTCTGTCCAGTTGGTATAAAAATCAAACTCAGCCAGCATCGCCCTCTGCTTTATGTTCAACTCTCCAGGTAGCCACCTAGAAAACCTTTTCACACCCATTGTCCCCACCCTCTGAGTAGACAGAATGGAGAGTTTTATTTCACAGCTGGAGAAACTAGGGCTAAAGGAGCTCAATGATCTCACTGGTGTTACTTCCTAACCAGACCTGTGCTGTGGGACTGTCCCGCAGGACGAAAGCAGCAGCTAGGCGTGACCATGGGGAGCCCCCTTGCCCCATAGGTAAATGCCGTCACCCTTTCCCAGCCTCAGATGATAGGGGTTCTGGGACAGAGAGACCCTGAACATAGAGTGCTGTGGGGAGTGGCGCATGCCTGGAACATGCTGTGTGGACAGAGGAGGTGGGAGAGATGAGGTGGTTTGGGCTAAGTAGAAGAGCAACTGTGGGAGGGACTGCATTCTGGAAACCCCAGAGCAGGGGATGAGGAAGAAATTGATCAAGCAATCCTCCCAGCTCGACCTCCCAAAGTCCTAGGATTACAAGCTTGAGCCACTGTGCCTGGCCTACCTGGATTGTGGTGTGTGTATCTGCTCTCTGGGCCTCAGTTTCCCCATTTGGTGAACATTGGGCCCTGGGTTAGGTGCTTCCTATATATGCTCCCTTATTCTTGTGAGAACTTCATCCCTAATTATCTGATGAGAAAGCTGAGGGTCAGGCAGAGCCAGTGGGACTTGAAGTCAGGGCCACCTGCCTCTAGTAGCCTGGCATTGACTCTAAAAATGACGAGTGGGAGGAGGGCAGGTTGGTCCAAGATGATTCCCTCAGCTCCTGCCTGCTTCTGCGGTCTCTCTGGAGATGCCTGCAAGGCTCTGCTGGGCCCCAGCACTGTCCCCTCAGCTAGGGAGCAGTTGGCAGGGTTCCCACTGTTCAGTCAGGTAAGGGCCTGCTGCTCTTCAGTGTGGCCTGTGTTTGGTGCCCATCCTATAGCCCAGAGTGCCAAGAGAGCATGCCATCTACCCTGCCTGGGAGGGCGGCCTTGTGCTTAGCTTGAGTTTTATTTCCTCCAGCCCCTGGTAGCCCCTTCGCCCCTGCCAGCCTATCTGCTGTGGGTGTGGGCTCCAGCTCTGTCATATTCTGTCCGTGTCCAGGGCTATGCACAGAGCCACAGTGCTGGCGAGGAGGGGCGCTGCCAGGGGTGGCCCAGAATCTAGACCCTGAATGGCACTGGGGAAGCATGGGCTGCTCCCTTTTCCTTTCTCTCTTTGTTACTGAGATGCACCTTGTTATCGTAAAGGGCACTGGGCCCCTGTATAGGGCTCAAGGAAATTTACATTTCCACACACTCTTGCAGCCATACATTAGGTCAACCTGGGGACCTTTCCCAGCACCTCCAAGGCTCCTTCTGCTCCCCCAAGTCAAGTTACCTCCCTGCACCAGTGATTACCACTATTTTGACTTCTGTCACTGTAGATCCCTGTTGCCAGGTTTTGAACTTATGTAAAGGGAGTCATAGATCGTGCACACTTCAGGTAGTGTCTGATGTCATGCTGTGTGCATCCTTCAGACTGTCTCTGTTGTGTATGTCAGTGATTCTACTTCATAGCTATGTGATGCTCTCTTACGTAAATATACAATCGTTTATTTATGGTTCTCATACTGATGGAAAGGGGCATTGCTGACAGTTTGGGGCTACTACACATGACCCTACTGTGATCCTTCTTGAATTGGTGGATTTTAGCTTTAGGAGAGACAGCTGCAGACTTTTCCAAAGTTTACACTCCTTCCTTCTTTCATTATTATTTTTTAACCAACTCCACTGAGGTGTAATTTACATACAGTAACATACACATATTTTAAGTAAGCAGTTAGATGAGTTTTGACACATTCATGAATTTATTTTTTATGAGACCAGGATCTCACTATGTTGCCCAAGCTAGTCTCGAACTCCTGGGCTCAAGCGATCCTCCTGCCTCAGCCTCCCAAGTATCTGGGACTACAGGCATGCACCACCATGCCCAGCCAATTTTAAAAATTTTTCGTAGAGAAGGTGATCTTGTTATGTTGCCCAGGCTGGTCTTGAATTCCTGACCTCAAGTGATCCTCCTGCCTGGGCATCCGGAAGCTCTATTACAGGCATGAGCCACCACTCTGGGATCTGACAAACTTTCTGTAGTGTTGAAGTTCAGTGACTTGGAGTAGTCACCTCCAGCTCAAGGTGCATGTGCCTGTGTGTTTTCTCCTTTTTTTGATAAAACCCAGGCTCAGCACAGGGTCGAGAAAAAGACTGAAAGTCAGCCCAGAAAGCAGTGTAGAAAGTAGAAAGCTAGTCTGGACTACCATTAGCATCAAGGACCTCAGTCACTGGAGCCATTGAGATGGGTCCACCCCTTCTCCCTCTCTTTCTCTCTCTCTCTTTTTCTTTCTTTAATTCATTAGCAAGAGGGTCTGTCTCACTATGTTGCCCAGGCTGGAAAACCTGGGCTCAAGCAACCCTCCCATCTCAGCCTCCCAGTCCCAGCTCAATCTTTCTTTTTAAAGTTGGAGAATTTTCTAAAGTTCTCCAACTTTAAAGGCTGCTGCCTAGGGAGGCAGGGCTGCACCCACGGGCAGAGTTAGAGGCAGAGCTGGAACAGAACCCCAGCATGGGAAGTCCGTGTTCACGGGGGGCCATTTCACCCTGGGACATTGTAGGGCAGCTCGAGGCTCTGACTAGGGAGGCCCAGCGCCTGGGGCTGGCGCTTGGTCCGAGCTCTGCAGGCTTTCCTGGGTGGAGAGGAGCCTCTTCCTGCCATGCACACCAGGCCTTCCTTAAGTGACTCAAACACCAATCTTCCTTGGGCTTCCTGAACTGTGAGGATTCCACAGTCTGGCAGGGCTGGTGGCCTCAGCCGTACACTCTGCAGCCAAGAGGGCTCTAGCTCCTGATTCCACCCTGTCCCTCAGCGGCTCCCCAGTGCTCTTCCAGGCCTTAGGCCTGCACCATCCCCACCTCTCCCTCCTCACCAACCTGCCACCTCCTGCCTCAGGTGGACACACTCAGGAGGAAGTCAAGCCTGTCCCTATACAAAAGCCATATTCCCAGGCACTTGCCTGAGTAGAGACGAAGTCTCAGCTCCTTCTACGTGAGCCCGAGGTGCCCACGGTCCCCACACCCCCTCCAGGAGTCCTTGCATTTGCGCAATGCTTTATACTCATCTGTCAGCTCGGCAGTGGGTCCCCCAGAGGGTGAAAACCACATTGTCCCTGTCTCATCAGCAACCAGAACAGGGGGCACCAACTGTGGCCTCCTCCCATATTTGTCGGGAGACTGAATGATTCTCAGGAAGCTGCGCGGCCACCGGCCATTTCACATGGGCATTTCCAAGCTGGGTGCTTTTTGCACCATGCTATTTTGGGCGGGAAGACTTTTCCAGTCCCTTTCTCCTTGGCATGCCACAGAAGAATTTCCTTCACCCACATCTGGATCATCTAGAATTACCCAGTTCAGCCTGTTGCTTTCAATGGCAAACGTCCAGTGCATGGTGTTGGCTCATTTTCATCCCCACTGTCTAGGAGCCCTTGAGCCTTGAGCTTTGGTTCACTATGGGCAGTCTCTTCCCTCCAGGCCTTGGCTAGAGCCAGGCAGGGACAGTGCCCACTCAGGGGCCGATCCACCTCGCTGGGGGCCACCAGTTCGAGCTGGGTGCTCTGTGAAACCAGTCATACCCAAGCTACTGGACTCTGGTCACTCCATGATCCTTGGCAAGATGTCTGTCTATGAACCGCAGTCCCTCTATCTGTAAAATGAAGGATCCTAGACTGGGACTCTCAAGCTCACTTGCCTACAGGGGCCAGGCAGGTACCTTAGGGAAGGGAGAAGGTTGGAGTGTTGGTGGAGAGCTGATATGGTAAAGGAAAGGAAGAAGCAGGCCAGTATATTCTGATTTTTTTTTTTTTTTTTGAGACGGAGTCTCGCTCTGCTGCCCAGGCTGGAGTGCAGTGGTGCGATCTCAGCTCACTGCAACCTCCACCTCCCGGGGTCAAGCAGTTCTCTGCCTCAGCCTCCTGCGTAGCAGTGAGTGCCACCATGCCTGGCTAATTTTTTTGTATTTTTAATAGAGACAGGGTTTCGCCATCTTAGCCAGGCTTGTCTTGAACTCCCGACCTCGTGATCCACCCGCCTCGGCCTCCCAAAGTGCTGGGATTACAGGCGTAAGCCACCGCACCTGGCCTATGTTCTGATTTTTCAGACGAAGTCAGAAATTTCTAAGAGAAGCAAAAGTTCCTGATCTGTACAAATCTGGCAACTTTTCTTTTTTTTAACTCTGTATGTGCCAGACGCGTTTAAGCCAGAGCAGCTCCATCTTGAATAAGGGCTGGGTAAAATGAGGCTGAGACCTACTGGGCTGCATTCCCAGCAGGTTAAGGCATTCTAAGTCACAAGATGAGCTAAGAGGTCGGCACAAAATACAGGTCACAAAGACCTTGCAGATAAAACAGGTTGTGGTAAAGGAGCCGGCCAAAACCCACCTAAACCAAGGTGGCGACAAAAGTGACCTCTGGTTGTCCTCACTGCTCATTATGAACTAATTACAAAGTATCATCATGTTAAAGACACTCCCACCAACGCCATGACAGTTTACAAATGCCATGGCAACATCTGGAAGCTACCCATATGGCCTAAAAAGGGGAGGAACCCTCGGTTCAGTGAAATCTCTGCCTCTTTCCTGGAAAACTCATGAATAATCTACCCCTTGTTTAGCATATGACCAAGAAATAACTATAAGTATACTCAGTCAAGCAGCCCATGATGCTGCTCTGCCTTTGAAGTAGCCATTCTTTTATGCCTTTACTTTCCTAATAAACTTGCTTTCACTTTACTCTATGGATTCACCTCAAATTCTTTCTTGTGCTAGATCCAAGAACCCTTTCTTGGGGTCTGGATTGGGACCCCTGTCCTGTAACATATGGACCAGCTATTTGAGCTCTGGCCTAGACATCCTGCTCTATATACCTTCCCCCTGGGGGATTGGTGGGTGGTGGCAGGGCGGGAACCCCAGAAAGGTGCAGGGCTTGAATTCTGACTACACCTGCCTCTCCCCACACACCAGCTGTCATGTCACAGGCACCCTTTGCAGTGTGATCGCCTTCCTTTTGGGGCGCCCGAGCTAGCATATGAATTTTTGATCAGCTTGCCTTTTGAATGAGTTGACTATCATGAATAACAGGGCAAAGGGCGCCAGCATTGTGTCTTTAACTATAACTGTTCCAATTAATTATGGGTGTAATTAGCATACATCGTGAGCAGCCCTGGAAAATAATACTTCATGGGTTATAGATGCCCTGGCAGCTGTAACATGAAGTGTGATACCGGGCTGGGGTAGAGATAGTTATTAATAAATTACTCCCATTGTCAGAGACCCTTATTTATACAAATTAGCAGGGGATACATAATCAACTTTAACTGTATAATTTATAATAATTGATTTCATTTTGACTGACCACCAGTCGCTTACCAAATACCCTCGGAAGAAAAATTGCCCTATTAGGGTAAGTTTAATCCTAAACATAGCTAATGAATCCTATTACTTTAAGGTCATATTTGAAGCTTTTGTTAATTGTCAGAACCATTTTAAATTGATTAGAGTTAAATTAAATCAATGTAATGTTTAGAAAAACAATATTTCTAATGGATGAGGCCAGGCTGACCTCGAATAAACATATTTATCAACCGATTCCTGCTGACGAGAAGGGGAACAGCTGGGCCCATAAGTCACATTTGTCTATAATATGGGAAATGTCACCAGACAATTAGTTATGTCAGGTAATGAATAGGGAGCACGGGGACTCCCCTCTGGCAGCTGGTGTGGATGGGGTAGAATGTTCCAGACCTGAGCCCCTGGCTGCACCCCTCTGGATGGTCTTTGTTTCCCCAACCTAAACCGAACGCTTCTCAGCTTCCTCATTCACCTCCCTGGATGCTCACCTGGTCCACATTCCCTCCCTGCCCTGTCCCCAGTCTCTCAGGCTCTAGTGCTCTGGCCTTCCACCCGGAGCTGGGAAGCCACCTGTCTTCCCCGTCCACACCTACTCATCCTGTTACAGGAAAGGGGTCCCGATCCAGACCCAAGGGAGCATTCTTGGATATCACACAAGAAAGAATTCGGGGCAAATCCATAGAGTAAAGTGAAAGCAAGATTATTAAGAAAGTAAAGGAATAAAATAATGGCTAGTCCATAGACAGAGTAGCCCCAAGGGCTGCTGGTTGTCCATATTTATGGTTATTTCTTGATGATATGCTAAACAAGGGGTGGATTATTCATGCCTCCTCTTTCTAGACCGTATAGGCTAACTTCCTGAGGTTGCCATGGCATTTGTAAACTGTCATGGCCCTGGTGGGAGTGTAGCAGTGAGGACGATCAGAGGTTACTCTCAGTGCCATCTTGGTTTTGGTGGGTTTTGGCTGACTTCTTTACTGCAAATTGTTTTATCAGCAAGGTCTTTATGACCTGTATGTTGTGCCGACCTCGTACCTCATCCTGTGGCTTAGAATGCCTTACCATCTGGGAATGCAGCCCAGTAGGTCTCAGCCTTATTTTACCCAGCCCCTATTCAAGATGGAGTCGCTCTGGTTCACACACCTCTGACAGTCCCTCACCATCCCCTGGGTTTTGCTCAGGTATCACTGCCTCGGGGAAGCCTTCCCTGACCCCCATTCTCCAACAACCTCCCAAGGATGAGCTGTCAGGGCAACATGGGTACCCTTCTCAGCTGTCGTTTTTCCATCCGTGTGATTCCAACACCAGGCTTCAAGCCCCATGAGAGCAGCCCTGTGTCACTTCCTTAGCCCTGGGTCTCGGATTCTGAGCCCTGATGGAATGCCATGAGGACCTGCTGAATGAATGAAGGAGTGAAGGATGCAGGACTGATATTGGGCTACTCGGAGAATGTCATCTACTGCTTACAGAACATTTACCAAACACCAAGTATTTTACATACATTCAGCTAGTTTTTGAGACATTCTTGAGAGGTGGGGCCTGGTACTTCCATTTTATAAAAGAAATAACTCATCCAAGATGTCTTGGCTAAGCGTGAAGAAGATAGGATTCAAACTCAGGTCCAAGCTGGGTGCAATGGCTCATGCCTGTAATCCCAGCACTTCAAGAGGCCGAGGTGGGAGTGTTGCTTGAGTCCAAGAGTTCGAGACCAGCCTAGGGAACATACTGAGTGAGACCTTGTCTTTACAAAACAAAAGACAAAAAACAACAACAAATTAGCTGGGCATGTGGTGGCATGTACCTGTGGCCTCAGCTACTGGGGAGGCTGAGGCAGGAGGATCGCTTGAGCCCAGGAGTTGGAGGCTGCAGTAAGATGTGATTGTGCTGCTGTACCCCAGCCTGGATGAAAGAGCAAGACCCTGTCTCTAAAAATCAGTCAATCAATAAACAAACAAAAAAACTCAGGTCCAAGAAAATCCAAAGCCCTTTCTGAAGCCTTTGCCTGGTCAGCCAGGATTCCTGCAGGAAACAGCATGGGGACCTCGAGGAAAGGTTTGGATTTCCAGAGGGAGGCCGAATGGATCCTCTGGGCTAACTCCTGAGAGAACCAAATCTGGGCAGGAGAAGCAGATGTCGGGGAGAGGAAAGAGCTGGTTCATTCCAGTGGCCCCTGCTTCTTCCCTAGCCCAGAGGGGTGGTCCCTGGTTGGGGTGGTGCATAGGGTGGAATTCCTGCCAGACATCCGGACCTGCGGTAAGTCCTCGATGGGAAATGTATTCACCGTGTTACCTTGGGAGCATCACTGTGGCCTCGGTTTCCAGGGCTGTGAAATGAGTTCCCAGCCACAGCACTGCTCAGAGGAAAGGCATGGCGGGAGCAGGCTCATGATGTGCACTGGGGAAGCCCCTCCTCTCCTCTGTCCCCGTTACTTCTGTCACCCTGGATTAGCGGCAGGAGGTGGGGATCTCTGCCTTTACCTAGCTTCTGCTTGGCACCTTGGAATGGAGGTGGCCAGCAGGCTGGGATCTTTCAAGCCTGCTGAAGCCTGAAAGAGGGGCCCTCAAACGGACCAAGGTGCTTAGGATAGGAAAGGCACTCAGACTCCCCACACAGGGAATAAAGATTCAGAAAAGATTCAGAAACTCACAGGCACATGCCACCACACCCAGCTAATTTTTGTATTTTTAGTAGAGAAAAGGTTTCTCCATGTTGGCCATGCTGATCTCAAACTCCTGACCTCAGGTGATCCACCTGCCTCGGCCTCCCAAAGTGCGGGGATTATAGGCATGAGCCAGTGCGCCTGGCCTTGCATGTGCCGTCTCTACAGTTGGTTCTGTGCTTCGCTTTATGAATTGAATCATACAATTCGGAGACTGCCAATCAATAGTAGCATATAATAAGGGTGTCTTCATTTTTGTAAGCAGTTGCTTGGTGTTTTATTGCTTGGTTGTGCTGTCATTTATTTAGCCATTTAGATTGTTTCCAGGCTGTAGCTGCTGCTTCCTCTTCCTCCTCCTCCTCCTCCTCTGAAACGGCTTTTCCAGGTGCTTTTTGTAGTAAACTCACTCTGGGCTGTCCTGAAAATCTGCCCACATGCCAAGTGGTCATTGAGGGAAAGAACATTTCTTTTTAGGCAGAGTCTCACTTTATTGCCCAGGCTGGAGTGCAGGGGCATGATCTCGGCTCACTGCAACCTCCACCTCCCAGGTTCAAGCGATTGTTATGCCTCAGCCTCCCAGTAGCTGAGATTAAAAGTGCCCGCCACCATGCCTGGCTAATTTTTGTATTTTTAGTAGAGACGGGGTTTCGTCATGATGGCCAGGCTGGTCTTGAACTCCGGACCTCAAACAATCTGCCCGCCTCAGCCTCCCAAAGTTCTGGGATTACAGGCTTGAGCCACGGTGGCTGGCCAGCATTTCTTTATCAAACCCGAATCCTTCTACATCCCACACCTGCCGTTGGAGGAAACATGATGTCGCTTTGCAGAGGTTGCTGTGGTGGGCGGGAGGGATCGTGGTGGGCAGGTGAACAGCTGAGGGATAGTAGGGGCCTCAGGGAGAGGAGTCCTGTCTGTTATAAGTGGCCCCTGAGTGTGCCAGGCACTTCACAGCCCTGTACTGATCAATACAGAGCACTTTGATCAGCTTATTCCAGATACAGCAAGGGCTAGGTTCTGACATGTGGTTACCTGGGAGGGAGGGAACAGGAGCCAGGGAGGATATAACAGGGAGTGCATCAGAGAGTTGAGAAGAGTCTGGTGGGTAAGGGCTGCAAGCTCAGGCTGCCTGAGAAGTCCCACAATCTGCCATCTGCAAGCCCTTTGGGCTTGGGCTGGAACTCTAGTTCCAGTGGCTCAGAGTGTACCCTCAGGGGCCCCATTCCTGCCCCTGAGGGTACACCATTCCCTCAAGGGCTGGAATGGGGTGGTCTGTGTCTCCAAGGAAGTTCTACCCCTTCTAGGAGAAGCAATAGAGATTGCGAACCATAGCCTTTTCCCTGTTTTGTGGGTCATAGAGTGGAGGTTGCAAACTCAAGGCCTGCCTGCATGAGGCTTGCAAAAACTTGTGAAAAGTTGCCAGCCATGGTGGTTAATTTCATGTACCAACTTGAGTGGGTTAGTGGGTCCCCAGATTAAACACTGCTTCTGGGTGTGTCTGTGAGGGTGTTCCAGGCAAGATTCGCATTTGCATCCGTGAACTCGCTTAAGCAATTGTGGGTGGGGGACATCCGATCCTTTGAGGGCCTGAATAGAATTTTAAAAAGAGAAAAATCCACCCCCACTTTTTTCTGGCCTCACAGCTTGAGCTGGGACATCTTGTTCTCATCTCCTGCCCTCAGACTGGGATTGACTCCACCTGCTCTCCCAGGACAGCCACTGGTGTAGTTCCAGTCCAAGCCCAAAGGGCTTGCAGATGGCAGACTGAGGGGCTCCTCGGGCTCCCTAATAGAAGGAGCCAGTTGCTCATAATAAACCCCTCTGTCTCTGTCTGTCTCTCTGTCTCTCCCACTCTCTCTCTGTATATGGAAACACACACATGTATATTCTATTGGTTCTGTTTCTCTGGAGAACTCTAATTAAATCAGTGTTTAAGAAAATGGAAGATTTCACACAAAATCTGGATCTTCAGCCTTTCTCGAAAAAACTGGAGGAGTTGGCACATCAGGCACTGTTATCTACAAGGGCACCCAGGGGCAGCAGAGGACCCCCACGATCAGCCCTGAGCTCTGCCATTCTCCGCAGTCCCCACCTGGCTGCTTGCTAGGGCCTGGACACCAGACATAATTAAGTTTGCAATCCTTAGCATAAAGGGAAGGCCATCGGGGTCCACGTATCCTGCCTCCCGGGCTGGTTCCTTCTGAGGGGTATCAGGGAAGGAACTGGTCCAGGCCTCTCTCCTGGGCTTGTGGATGGCTGTCTTCTCCCTGCATCTCTTTACGAGGCTTTCTGTCAATGCCTCTGTCTCTCTGTCCAAATGTTCCCTTTTTATAAGGACATCAGTCATATTGGATTAGGGCCCATCCTAATATGCTCATTCTAACTTGAGTACTTCTGTAAAGACCATATGTCTGAATAAGGTCACATCTAGGGGACTGGGGAATAGGACTCTAACATGTCTTTTTTTGGAGGGGAAACAAGTTAACCTATAACAGGTGGCTTTAGGAATCAACTTCATTTGTCCAAATGAATTATAGTTATTTCGCTTTCTCCTCCATGACATCGAACTCTGCTGACACCCTAGGTCAGGGATGACTTGTATATCACCGCTCTCACAGCAGACATCATTAACTGATCATCGAACTTTTGCATTGAGCCTGGCTGTGACCTCAGAATCCTTCTAAACACAGCTCTCCTGGTACCTACTACAAATCTGTTTATCGTGTCTGACCTGTGCCTTGCTCTGTTATGTGTTGCTTCTGTCTTGCTTGGTTCAATTCTGTTTCCTCTGCTTAGGAATGCTCTTAAAGCCCAATTCAGGTGTCTGCTTTCTCCCTTTGTATAGCCTTCCCTGATTATCCAAGCAAAGAATATCTCTCCTTCCATGTGCACCAATGCACTGGTTCTGAAATTGTCCCTGTAGGAAGGGCCCTCATTGGAAGAAAGAGACTTGGGGATGGGTTTGCATAAACTTTGCCCGGGAGTCAGAAAAGCCCAATTATTTACATTAAAGTAAGGGGGATGGGCTGGTGGAAATGGGAAGGAGGACCAACACCCCCAGCCCCTTATGCTCAGTACTTAGTACTCACCCTGCTTGTCTCATTCATTGCATCCTGAAAATTATCTGTGCAGAGAATGAGAATTTATGTCAACCTGAAAATGACAGCCTGCTTTCCCTTTGAAGGAGGGCTTCGGCCTATTCCTGGAGTGGTTTGAGGGGAGGGTGGATGTTCCCCAGATATATATAAATTACCCTCTCCTTCAGAGAGTGGAGATTTAGCAGTTGTGTTTTCCTAAGACAAGGCCTTCCCTGCTCTTAAGAAATGGGAAATTCAGTTTTTGGCTTTCTAATAACTTGAGCTCTGGGTTCTAGTATCACATGGAGATTTTTTCTGATTGGCTACTTAGCGGAAGGAGAAGAGGTAAACCAGGAGCGAGGAGCTGATCCCTCCAAGCCATTCTCCAAAAGTAGAGTCTGGGTGAGGTTCAACAGCAGCTTCCCCAAAGATATGTCCACTCTGAACCTCAGAAGTGGCCTTATCTGGAATAAGGATTTCTGCAGATGCGATTAAGACTAGGGCCTCAAGGTGATCTTATACCTGGATTAGGGCCCTAATGCTGATGACAAGTATCCTGATAAGAGACAGAAAAGAAGACACACAGGGCAGGTGTGGTGGCTCACACCTGTAATCCCAGGATTTTGGGAGGCTGAGGTGGGTGGATCACCTGAGGTCAGGAATTCAAGACCAGCCTGGCCAACATGGTGAAACCCATCTCTACTAAAATTACAAAAATTAGCTGGGCATAGTGGCGGGTGCCTGTAATCCTAGCTACTTGGGAGGCTGAGGCAGGAGAATCACTTGAACCCAGGAGGTGGAGGTTGCAGTGAGCTGAGATGGCGCCATTGCACTCCAGCCTGGGCGACAAGAACGAAACTCCATCTCAAAGTAAATAAATAAATAAAAATTAAAAAGAAAAGGAAAGAAAAGGAGACACACAGGAGAGAAACAGATGTGAAAATGGAGACAAAAATGGGAGCACTGAGTCCACCAGCCAAGGGATGCCCAGGGCTGCCAGCAGGCGTCAGTAGCCAGAGAGACAGGAACTGTTAGCACTTAGGGAACCTGTCTGAGTCACGTAGCATCAAATGTCACTGGCAGCAAATCCATATGGATCTGTAGCAGCCTCATTTCTTGCCTCCTCAGAAGAAAGAATTCAACTGAGGGGCATAAGGCAGCGTGAGAGACCAAGGCAAATTTTAGAGCAAGAGTGAAAGTTTATTAAAAGGTTTTAGGGCAGGAATGAAAGGAAGTAAATTACACTTGGAAGAGGGCCAAGCGGGTGAGTTGAGAGTCAAGTGTGTTATTTGACCTTTGACTTAGGGTTTCATACTTCCGGGGTCTTGCATTCCTTCTCCCCTGATTCTTCCACTGGGTTGGGCTGTCCACATGTGCAGTGGCCTGACAGCACTTAGAGGGGGCCGCATGTGTGTGTGTTTACTGAAGTTGTGTGCATGCTCAGTTGAGGCGTATTCCTAGAAGGTCATATACCAGGTAAACTCTGCCATTTTGCCTCTAAGTGCTCATGCTTAAGCCCACTCGCCCACTCCTGAGATCTTATTGGGAAGCTGCTGATCACCAGTTTCAGGTGTTTCTGTTTATTGGGAGACAGTCTTTCCCTGGCGCCGGCTGTGACCAATTATTATTTTAGAGAGACAGCTTAATAACTATCTGACCATCACCTGATGGTCGCCTGACACTCCTGGTGGGGGTGACCCTCTCCTGCTCTGCTCGTATCTGACTAACTACCGACTATGACAGAATAGATTTTCCCACCAAGCCTCAGAAGGAGCGTGGTCTTGCCAACACCTTGATTTCAGGCTTCCTGCCTCCAGAAATGTAAGAGAACACATTTCTGTTGTTTTAAGCCACTAAGTTTGTGGTCATTTGTTACAGCAGCCCAAGGAAACTAATACACTGGGTCACCATTTTTATTGACCTCACAGTAGTTAACACACTGATGAAAAGACTCTGGGTGAGGCAGAACTGTGAGGCCCACAGCAGAGGTTCAAAAAGGGTGGTGTGTTTTTGTGCCCTTCACAGCTTCTCAAGCCCCATGCGCTGTCTTCTCCGGGTATCCTCCGGGTTTGCTGTCTGCCCTGTCGGATCCTGGAGTGGCTTCAGACGGAGGGCTTTCCTTCGAGAGGGCAAAGGAAGATAGCTTTCGGAGGAGGGAGAGGGAGTAGGGCAGAGTGGACACTGGCGGAAAGGAGAAGAATGGGGGTATGGGGAAAAAGGGAAGAGGAGGGTTGGGTGCCAAAGCTCATGCCTGTAATACCAGCACTTTGGGAGGCCGAGGCAGGAGGATTACTTGTGGCCAGGAGTTCTGAAGCCTGGGCAACATAGCGAGACCTCCATCTCTAAATAAAATAAAATAAAATAAAAAATCAGCTGCACATGGTGGTGCACACCTGTAGTCCCAGCTACTTAGGAGGCTGAGGCAGCAGGATCACTTGAGTCCAGGGAGGCAGTGAGCTGTGACTGTGTCACTGCACTCCAGCCTGGGTAACAGAGTGGGATCCTATCTCTAAAAATAAAAAGAAAGAGAAAAGAAAAGGTTGACTGGAGCTCTGAAGTCTGAGGCCCCCCAAAATGAGGCTGTTGTTCAGGTCCAGGTTGGTGGTTGTAAGGGGTACTGCAGGGTGCCCCAAGACCAGTTGGGTCTGAGCCCTTGCCCACCTGATTCCAAATAGCTCCTTTGCGCCCATTGCAGACCCTGAAATTCCACTATTAAATTCTCTTGGAAGACCTGGGGTGGAGGTGAGTTCTATAGCAATTACAACTCAGTGTTGTCTTCCTTTATAAATCACATCCGCAATGCAGGTTGGCTACATCCAATTCCGGCATTTTAAAGGCTGAGTGACAAAGACACATGTGAAGCAATCTGAATACATAAGCCTGGATTTCTATGACGTTTTCTCCTAACATTTATACTTGTCTTGTTCATCTTTATTTCCATGACAAATTTTTTGTCCACTGCTTTCATAGGGAACACCACATTTTAAAAGCAAATTATAGTTATGGCATCTTTTACAAACATTCAAATTAGTTTAAAAAATGTTTTCCACTCATATTTCATTGGTTGAATATTATTTAATTAATGCTATAGAAACTCCAAAGAGTGAAAAATGGAACTAGCATTTGACCCAGCAAATACCACCACTGGATATCTACGCAACGGAAAAGAAATCATTTTATCAAAAAGATATCTGCACTTGTATGTTTATTGTAGCACTGTTCACAATAGCATAGTTATGGAGTCAACCTAGGCACCCATCCACGGTGGACTGGATTAAAAAAATGTGGTACATATACACCTTGGAATACTTTACAGCCATTAAAAATGAATTCATGTCCTTTGCAGCAACATGGATGCAGCTGGAGGTTATTGTCCTAAGTGAATTAATGAAGAAACAGAAAATCAAATACTGCATATTCTCACTTATAAGTGGGAGCTCAAAAATGGGTACACATGGACATAAAGATGGAAACAATAGATACTGGGGTCTCCAAAAGTGTGGGGAGAGAGGGAAGAGGGCAAGGATTGAAAAACTGCCTATTGGGTACTATGTTCACTGTTTGGGTGATGGGTTCAATAGACGCTTGAACCCCAGAATTATGCAATATACCCTGTAACAAACCTACACATGCACCCCTGAATATAAAATTTTTTAGAAAGCCACAGAAACTCAGTAAGAAACGCCAGCATTACATGGGTCTGGGAACATATACAATTGATATTGGTCAACTTCCAACTCAAATGGCGGGTGGGTACAGAAGTGAGTTTGTGACTAGACCAGAGCTTCCCAACCTTAGATTTGAATGATGAGAGTGTAACTGGGGAGTTGGGGAGGGAGTTTTACATATATAGGAACACATCTGGGGAAAATATCATGGGAACAATTGGGGGGTCTGATTGAAAATGCAGATTCGGAGTCGGCTGGCCTGAGGTGGGGTGTGCGGGGCTGCATTGATGAAGCCCCCCAGGCTGTGCTGGTCCTGCTGGTCTGGAGACCACACTTTGAGGAAAGAGGGGGAAGAGCAACTTCTCAGCCTTAGTGGTGAGTAAGCTCCGGGTGGAGAGGGAGAACGAGTCAGTTCGCAGTGGCCATTAGGAGGACTCTTGCTCTGAGCACACTTCTGCTTTCCCATCCTTTTCCCATTCATTGCTTTCAGTTCTGGTCTTGGAACCATGCAGGATAAATCACTAAATCACATAAGCTTCATGAGAATAGGGTCAGCTTACAGCCTTGCAGGTAGCTAGAATGCCTTAAAAGTTTTATTTTTTTCAGGTTTATTAAGGTGTAATTGACATACAGTAAAAATCACTTTTAAAATGTGTACAGTTCAATGAGTTTTGACAATATATATAGTCATGTGACAGCCGCAATTGAGAGATAAAGCATTTCCTGCAAGCAAGAAAAGTTCCTCTTGTCCCTTTTCTGTTCAGTCTCCTTTCTTCACCCCCAGTCCCCGGCAACCACTGATTTGATTTCTGTTCTTACAGTTTTGCCTTTTCCTGAACATCATATTCACGAAATCATACAAATTGGGTCTGGCTTCTTTTAGTTACCATAATGTTTTTGACATTTATTCATATTGTTATATAGATCAGTAGTTCGTTCTTTTTATTGCTAAGCAGTATTTCATTATATCCATCTATTAATGGGTTTGGGGGTTGTTTCTACTGTAAGCTAATGTAAGTAATGCTGTCATGAACATTTGGCCACAGATCTTTGTGTGGACATAGGTTTTCATTTCTCCTGGTAAAAGCCTGGAAGTGGAATCACTGGGTCATGAGGTCAGGGTATGCATCACTTTACCAAAGACTGGCAAAATGGTTGCCAAGAGAGTTCCAGTTGCTCCACGTTCTCACCACGGCTAATATTGTCAGTCTTTTTAATCTGAGCTATTTTAGTATGTGTGTCATAATATCTCATTGTGGTTTTCATTTGCATTTCTTTAATGACTAACAGTGTTGAGCTTCTTTTCATGGGGTTATTTGCCATTCCTACATCTTTCTTGGTGTAGTATCTGTTCATATTTTTGCCCAATTTTTAAATCGAATTCTTTGTCTTCTTGTGTTGTAAAGAGTTCTATATATTATTCTAGATACAAGCCCTCTCTTTATCCAGTGTTTCTAAATATGTTTTAAAATATTGCCCCTCAAGAGCCTTTTTAGACATTTTTTCCTAACGTCTCCCCCCATCCACTATGAAATGTAAATAACAGCCATATCATATATCTATTTATATACCATGATCCTTTGCAGGCTCACATATCATTATAATATCTAAAATTTTTAGCCACCAAGAACAAATTTTTGCCCCCTCAATGATATCACCTCCATTGAGAATGCATACAGTTATCAGATATGTGTTTTGCAAACATTTGTTCTCAATTTGTGACTTGTTTTTTTCATTTTTCTTAATATCTTTCGAAGAGCAGAGTTTTACATTTTTATGAAGTCCAATTTATCATTTTTTTATGACTTAAGCGTGTTGTTTTCTATCTAGGAATTATTGGTCAAAACCCAGGTCATGTATATTTTCTCCTAGAAGTTTTAAATCTTTAGCTCTTACATTTAAGTGGGTGAACCATTCCAAGTTACTTTTTGTATATGGTGCAACATAAGGGTTAAGTTTCCACTTCTTTTGAAATGAATGCCCCATTTTCTAGCACTATTATTGAAAATACAATATTTCCTCATTCAGTTACCTTGGTACTTTGTCAAAAATAAATTGACCATGGAGGTGTAGGTCTATTTCTGGACTCTTCATTCCATTCCATTGATCTATATGACTTTCATTATGCAAACACTACACCATCTCATCTGCAATTAGATAGCATTAATCCTCTAGCTTTGCTGTTCTTTTTTGAAATTGTTTTGGCTGTTCTAGGTCATTCATTGTTTTATGTAAATTTAGAATCAGCTTGACAATGTCCACAAAAAGCTAGCTAGAATTTGGACTGGGATTACATTGGATGTACAGAAATATTTGGGAAGTGTATTAGTCAAGGTTTTCCAGAGAAACAGAACCAACAGGATGTGTGTGTGTGTGTATGTGTGTGTGTGTGTGTGTGTGTATAACATATATATATTTATATTTATTATAAGGAATTGGCTCACATGATTATGGAGGCTGGAAATTCCAAATTTGCAGTGTGGTCTGGCAGGCTGAGACCCAGGAGAGCTGTTGGTGCAGATGAGGTCTGGAGGCAGTCTGCTGTAGAATTCCTTCTTGCTAGGGCAGGTCGAACTTTTCGTTCTATTAGGGCTCCAACTGATTGAATGAGATCCACCCCCATGAAGAAATGCAATCCGCTTATCAAAGTCCACCCATTTAAATGCTAATCTCATTCAAAAACATCCTCCAAGTTGACACCTAGAATTAACTATTGCAGGGAGGATTGACATTTTAACAATACTGAGTTTTTTGATCCATGAACCTGGTTTATCTGTATTCATTTTGGTCTTTTATAAAAATTTTTTTTCAGCAATGTTTTATAGTTTTCAGCATATAAATCCTGCATAGATATCATTAGGTTTATCCATAATTATTTCATGCTTTTTGAAGCAACTGTAATTTTTTTAAATTTAAATATTCAACTGTTAATTTCTAGTATACAGAAATGTCATTGATTTTTGTACAGTGATCTTGCAACCTGTGACCATGCTAACTAAACTCACGTAGATTTCTTTAAATATATATGATCATATTGATTATAAATAAAGACAGTTTTATTTCTTCTTTTTGAATATGTTTGTTTTTTATTTCTTTTGCTTTCCTTATTGCACTGGTTAGAACCTTTAGTACGATGTTGAACAGAAGTGGTAAAAATGGGAATTTTTTTCTTTAGTTTTTGTCTTTTTTTAATATTAACCAGGTCCTCACCAGACAGATAATGAGAATTTTTTGAATCTCTGTTATTAGATCTTTTGAGATGATCATTTCATTTTCTTTCCAGCTTATTGATGTGGTGAATTTACACATTTTTGGATGTTAATCCAATCTTGTATTTCTGGGTTAAACCCCACTTAGTCATGATGTAGTATCCTTTCTATATATTTTATTTTATTTTATTTTGCTGAATTTTATTTGCTCATGTTTTAATAAATATTTTTGAGTCTATGTTCATGGGTGACATTGTCTGTAGTTTTCTTGTTGTATCTTTGTCTGGTTTTGATATCAGGGCAATGTCGGCCTCAAAATGAGTTGAAAAGTATTACCTTCTCTTCTGCTTTATAGAAAAGTAGTGTTTCTTCATTGAATGTTTGGTAGATTTCACCAGTGAAACCATCTGAGCCCGAAGTTTTGTTTGTGAGAAGGTTTTAAACAATGAATCAAATTTCTTTAAAAGTTATATGAAAAGCTATTTCTTGTCAGATAAGCCCTGGTAGTTTGTGTCTTTTAAGGCTTTTTTCCATTTCATCTAAATTGTCAAATTTGTTGGTAAAGTCACCCTTAATATTACCTCTTTAACATTCTGATTTCCATAGGGTCTATCGTTGTGTACCTGCTTTCATTCCTAATATTGGCAATTTGTGTTTTCTGTCTTCTTTCTTGATCACTGTCTAAAGGTTTGTTGATTTTATTGACCTTTTCAAAGAACTAGGTTTTTGCTTTATTGATTTTTCCTATTTTCTCATGTTTTATCTTACTGATTTCTGTCCTAATTTTTATTTACTTTCTTCCATTTTGGTTTAATTTTCTCTCCTTTTTTTTCTTTCTTTCTTTTCCTTCCTTCCTTCCTCCCTTCCTTCCTTCCTTCCTTCCTTCCCTCCCTCCTTCCTTCCTTCCCTCCCTCCTTCCCTCCCTTCCTTCCTTCCTTCTTCTCTTCTCTTTCTTTTCTTCTTCTTCTTCTTTTTTTTTTTTGACAGAGTTTTGCTCTGTCACCCAGGCTGGAGCACAGTGGTGTGATATCAGCTCACTGCAACCTCCACTTCCTGGGTTCAAGCAATTTTCCTGCCCCAGCCTCCTGAGTAGCTGGGATTACACGTGCGTGTCACCATGCCTGGCTAATTTTTGTATTTTTAGTAGAGACGGGTTTCACCACATTGGCCAGGCTGGTCTCAAACTCCTGACCTCGTGATCCACCCATCTCAGCCTCCCAAAGTGTTGGGACTACAGGCGTGAGCCACATTTTTCTAGTTCCCTAAGGTGGAGGCTGAAGTTATTAATTCGAGATCTTACTACTTTTCTAATGCCAGTACCATGGGGTCTATGGAGTCACATGGTCCAAGCTACAGAACTTGTAGCATAGCCTGGACCTGCTGCAGAGCCCTCTCTTGCTTTGAGCCTCACTTAAGACTAGCATGTTTCCTTACAAGTCATTGAATGGGCAAGAGCAGTATCCCCCAGTGTTGGAGTATGCGTCCTTCAATTCGGACTGGTCTACCAAGCACTGGGGATTTTTCCTTAGTGGTAGGAATTGCACAGTACAATAACTTTACTTTATTTTGGAGGGGATTGATATTATTTGCATGCATGTGCCCACCCAAATCTCATGTCAAATTGTAATCTCTAATGTTGGAGGTGGGGCCTGGTGGGAAGTGACTGGATTGTGGGGGCGTATTTCTCATGAGTGGTTTAGCACTATCCCCTTGGTGCTGTCCTCATGACAGTGAGTGAATTCTCTCGAGATATGATTGTTTAAAAGTCTGTGGCACCTTCTCTCTCTCTCTCTCTCTCTTCCTCCCTGCTCTGGCCATGTGACATGCTTGCTTCCCCTTCTGCTTCTGCCATGATTGTAAGCTTCCTGAGGCCTCCGCAGAAGCTGAGCAGATGTTAGCACCATGCTTCCTGTAAAGCCTGCAGAACCATGAGCCAATCATACCTCTTTTCTTTGTAAATTACTCAGGTTCAGCTATTTCTTTACAGCAATACAAGAATCACCTAATACAGGGATGCTCCACTGCTGCAGACCACTGGCCCCTAGAAACTTTGCTGATACATACCTGGGATTTCTTACTTCCCATCCTTTGGACAGCATGTATCTTACCCAGGCATCCCGATGACTTGTCTCTTCTTGCTCATCTGATCCAATTAACGTATCATACAGGGAAGTAATTTCAGCTCACTGCTGAAATTGATACAGGGAAGTAATTTCAGTTTCTTTGTGAAGTGTCCAGATTGCCTAGGTCACATTATGGACTACATTATGGCAGAAATCAGAATTACCATATTCCAGGGCAGGATTATCAATATATGCTATTATCCATTGGATGTAGATGCAAACAGCTTCTGATCCTCATTTGTGATGGGCACGTGTAGTGGGTTAAATGATGCACCTGCCCCCACCCCACCAAAGAAAAGATATGCCCACCTGGAACCTAGAACTGTGGACTTATTTGGAATAAAGGTCTTGGCAGATATAATTAAATAAAGGATCTCAAGATACGATCATCTTGGATTAGGGTAGGCCCTAAATCCAATGATAAATTTCCTTATAAGAGAAGAGAGAGGAATACATACAGGAGAGGACAGAGATTGGAGTGATGTGTCTACAAGCCAAGAAATGCCAAAGACAGCCGGCAGCCACCAGGAGAGGAAGGACTCTTCCCTAGAGCCTCCAGAGGCAGCCTACTGACCCCTTGACTTCAGACCACTGGCCTCTAGAACTGTGAGAGAATAAATTTCTGTTGTTTTAAGTCATTAAGTTTGTGGTAATTTGTTATGGCAGTCCCAGGAAACAAACAACAGTATTGGAAAGAACACGTTTGGCAGATCAGAAATAAATTGCAAACCACATAGCTGAGGTTGTGTTAGTCTGCTGTAGTAAACAGACCTCCTTTGGCATAGGAACTGCAATTCAGCCACCACTTCGTTGATCCTTTCGTCCATCATCTGCAGTGAGAGCTCTGGCATCTCAGCTTCATTTAATGAGGGCCAATGTGAGCTTTTTCCAAGCTTCTAAGAGCCATCCCAGCTATGTATTAGACCCATCCCTGGAAGCCTCGCCGGGGTGTTAAATTCCATGGCAAAGGAGAGGGCTCCCTTGTCAACAAATGTTCCTTTATTCAGTGATAAATTCTGTCCACCTTGACCCAGCATCCTCAGGATCCACTCCTGGGCATGCCCTCCCAGTCCTGCCAGGGCATGTCCACTAGTACCTGCAGAGTCTTTTACTTAGAAACTTTCCCATTCCTAAGCAGGCCTCACACAGTTGACTCATGCTGAGACTTGGCCCTACAGATTAGACTGGTGGCGGGGAGAGGAGGTGACAGCAGATACGGAGGAGGCCAGTGCTGCTTTATAAAAATCCTCATTTGGGGCTTCTTGGATAGTCTCCTAACAGGGTGGACAGGCCGCTTCTGCAGACCCAGAGGACCCAAAGTTCTCAAGTACATGTACTCAAATGCACTTACCCCAAGTTCCAGATTCCTGCAGCTTCTCCATCAGAGGTCTGACTTTGGTGTAGAAAACTTGCCTAGGCTTAGAATTAGAATTTAAATTTCCTTAAAGTTGCAACTCTTATCCTTAAGTCCTTTCCTCATATCCTTAAGGCCAGGGCCTGGGAGCCAGCTGTCTGCCTCCCCAGCTGTGGGAGATGAGAGTTTCTATAATGCTGGCAATGGGGCTCTCAGACCCTCATGTTTTGCTTCACATTGTGATTGATGGCCCTGAGTCTGTCTTTTCCTCTTCTTAAGGCATGATTGGCATTCACTGGTGGGCACCCAATTCTACAGTCTTTATAAGAACTCTTTTTCCCATACCTCTCAAACATCAAAGCTCTTGCACAGGGCAGTGCACCTTTTCCACCTGTATCCCATGCCCTGGGTGTATTACAGGTAGAATCTTAGCAACAATCACTGCCTGCCATTTACCACTGTACACTAAGCACCGGTGATGGGGCTATGATTTCTAGCCATCTAGGGACTTCAGAATCCTATCCTTCTCATCTATTTCCTAGGATCACTCCTGGTGCCAAATATATTAGCTTGGGTTCCCTAAAAGCAGAGCTTGAGAAAGGAATTCAAGGAGCACATGATTAATCAGGGGAGTTTTTCAGGAAAATCCTGTAAGGGAGGGAATTAGGCACAATAAGACAAGGGAGAGAGCAGAACAAGGAAGCAAACCTCAAGCAAAGCCCAGTCTTGGTCTGAGCCATGGTGATAAGAGCCCTGAAGCTCTGAATCACATTGATCAGTCAGTCATTAGCTGTGGGCTGCCCTTGCTGTGTGTTGGGGTCCAACTTCCAGGTCATGGTCCCTGTCATGAGCTGAAGGCAATTCTCCAGGGAAGGGTGCAGCTGGTGCAAACTCACTGGAGTCCAGAAAGGCGATCTGGGAGGGGAAAAACAGCATCCTACAGACC
The DNA here is from genome assembly GCF_000001405.40 of Homo sapiens. Classification (NCBI taxonomy): domain Eukaryota; kingdom Metazoa; phylum Chordata; class Mammalia; order Primates; family Hominidae; genus Homo; species Homo sapiens. The sequence continues at coordinate 50,832,084 of NC_000016.10, forward strand.
CCAGGTAATTCATAGCCTCCATAATTCACAAGTTCTTTCTCCATGAGGTGGTAAGTGGCAATTTTATATTCTTGGAATGCCACATACCTATAATGATAGTAATTTTTTTCAGCAATGTTTCTGACATTTTTACAGAGCATGCACTTCTAAATTAGTGACACACCATGGTGATGTTTGGCCTTCTTCAGAATAACTTTATCCTTTCCCTTCTCTGGCCCAGAGCTATTGATTTTTAGGTGGTTATTTTATTTTATTCTTTTTTTTTTTTTTGAGACGGAGTGTCTCTCTGTCACCCAGGCTGGAGTGCAGTGGCACAATCTTGGCTCACTGCAACCTCTGCCTCCTGGGTTCAAGCGATTCTCCTACCTCAGCCTCCCGAATAGCTGAGATTACAGGTGTGTGCCACCACACCTGGCTAATTTTTTGTACTTTTAGTAGAGACAGGGTTCCACTGTGTTAGCCAGGATGGTCTCCATCTCCTGACCTTGTGATCCACCCACCTCGGCATCCCAAAGTGCTGGGAGCCACTGCGCCTGGCCTATTTTATTCCTTTTCTTAGCACAAACTCTAGCACAACCACGACCCTTGAATCAATGCTTGGATAATGTTCCTAGAAGATTACAAAATATTTTGAATCACAAGATCAGTTAATGTTAAAGATAATATGCACTAGTCACCAAAGATACTGTTGGAAGTTGTGATAGGGGAACAATAGCATGGGTCACACAATAATGACAAAGGACAGCACGTCCTTCTTTTCACCAGCTAGAGGCATTGCCATGTTGCACTTGGAAATGCAGTTTCAACTCACCAGCCTACCAGTTTGAAAGTTATGGAATTCTTGATGAGTTGCCAAGTTATGCAATTCTTGATGAGTTGTCAATCCCCCCATTTGGGAGGATTTCACATTTTGTATGTAACATGAGGACATTATTATTTTTATATTACGTAGTTTCAAAATCACATCATTCAAATGCACATGTGGTGTTGTGTTCTAATACTTTTCTGGATTTGTCTTTTACATTTAGCTTCTTAATCCAGTAGGAACTTACTTTTATATATGATGTGAGGTAGGGATCCAACGTTTTCTTTCTGTTTTCCAATGGAACTCCAGATGTCACAATCTCATGTATCGGAAACACCATAATTTTCTTGATTTTTCCTATAAATAGCCTTCCATTCTAGACTTTCTATTCTGCTTCTTTGATTTCTTTGCCTGGTCTTATCAGCTTCATGTTCTTGTATCCACTTAATGGTCTCTTTTAAAATTTGGTAGAATATGCAAACACTTGTTTTTCTTTTTCAAATTTTTCTTGTCTATTCTCTTGAATTTTCTTTTTCAAATGAATTTTAGTGTCGACTTGCCCAGTTTCATAAAAAATCCTGTAGGGATAGTGGTTGGGATGGTATTGAATTTATAGTTTAATTTGAGGGGATTTGACATTTTTACAATATTGAGTGTTTCCATCCAGGTGTTTGGTTATGCCTTTCCATTTATTCAGGTCTTCTTTTATGTCCCACAGTAAATTTTTATAGTTTTCTTCACATAGGTCCTGAACGTTTCTTGGTAGGTTTATTCCTAGGTATTTTATATATATTTTTTGTTTTCATTGTGAATGAGACTAGAGGGTTTCTGGGATTGTACTTACATCATAACAGGATTGTTTATGCGTGGAGAAAAAGAAATGTTTCTTGCTCCTGAATGAAGGTGCCTGTACCTCACTGTGGCAAATCAGTGGATAAAACTGATTGCAGATGCGGGTTCCCTTTTTTTACTGTGCAATCCTTCAGTTTTGACCTGGACCTGGAGCTAAATGCTGCTGCAGTCTCCTGTTTGGGTATGGGGGTGGGTGTCGGCTCCATTGGTTCCAATGAAAACCAATTCTGAACACAGTTATTTTGCTAATTTCTCTGCCAATCGCTCCACCCCCTCCTCTTTGTATTTGTTTACTCTGAACCCAAGTACCCTGGATCTTCTCTTACTTCCTCAGTAGCTCTGGCCATAGTGGTTGGCTGTGGTTTCCGCCAATCCTGCCAACCCAGTCCCATCTGCTTTCCATCTTCCAGGAATTGCAGACAAGTTCTTGTTTTTCCACATGTGGTTATAGATTCATTTTGTCTTTTAAATATGGCTTTTCTTTTGAGGAATTGGGGCAGGAGGACAGGTAGCTGGCTAGGCCTGTGTTGTCCTCCTGAGTCTATCATCTTGTGTACTCATTTTTCTTAAGTCAGGAGAGTCTTAGCCATGTTTCCATGGTGATGTGGTGGCCAGTAGGGGAAAAGGGAGGTTGAAGATGCAGAGAAGAGGTGACAATGGCTGCAGCGAAGTCCCTGGGAGAACATGAGGACTTGAAGTTCAGGTGGTGGGCTAGCTTAGGACAGGCAGGACAGGTCAAGAGCAGGCATAGGTGTAGGTGTGTTCCCAGGTTTGGTGGCAGGAAATGAACTGTGCTTCCATTTGTTCCTTCTGTGTTCCCTGTGAGATGGAACTTGAGGTTGTCATAGGCAGAAGGAGAGAGTTGAAGAGTAGAGCCAAGGAGCTCTAGAGAGGGGAGGATGTTTGAGATCACCCCTGTGAAGAGTGTGACAGAGAGCCACTTACGGACACAGAGGCTTCCTGGGTCACCCTGAGGCCACCCCTAGGATCAGATGCCCAGCCCAGAGAGGCTGCCCTGGCCAGTCCGGAAATACTCTTAGAAGAGTGCTGGTTGGGATGTGGAGAAGCTTGACAAGGTTCTGATTAACCTTTTCTACTGGGGATTCTCTTCACAAGGCCCAAGTGGACCAGAACTCAGCGGGCTGGGTTCAAGTCCTCATGGGGCCGCTTAGCAGCTGTGGGATGCTGGGAAGCCATGGCCCTCTCTAAGCCTCTTGTTCTCTCCTTTACTGAGGCAGTGGGGGCATTGACCTCATGGGGCAGCTATGAATAATTTACTGTGAACAACACTGGGACATGGCAGGGGGAGAATGTTGAAAAATTTGGTGGGGGCATTGTTATGAACTGGGCGGGGATACTTACGCCCTTATCATTTATTTTTACGTATCGAAAAACATTACTCGTAAAATCTAGAAAGAGAGTGATTGAGATGGGTAATACCATCACCCTCTGGCTAAGCTATGAAGCTGCCTCTTTTTTCCACCACACTTTGGGGGCCCTTTCCCCCAGTGCCTTGGTGTCCCCTCAATGCCAGCACATCCAATTTCTCTTCCGTCCTCTGCTCACAGATATGGATCTGGTATCAGTCATCTACATCTTAGGGGCAGTTTCTTAGACACTTGGGGGTCTGGAGGGGACACAGAAGCTCTTACTACTGATATTGCAAACCACTCTCCCATCCCCAAGCATCCAGTTTTGACATGGAAACCTCTTGAGGCCAGGTTGTTTTGCAAGGTAAGCCCAGAACACTCAAGCCCAAGCAGAAGACCACGCTCCTTTGAAACTGCATTTCTGCCATTTGGTTGTGGGATTGTTCAGGGGTGGTGTTTGAGATTGGGCGCCTTCTCCCTGCAGGCTCACCAGGCAACCACGGATTCCACTTGCCCCTGAATTAGATGGGTTGCTGGGGGTGCCCAGGCTTATCCCTGTGTGCCCACCTTGACAGGTAAGCTGTGACAGGGCCTCTCTGCTTTGGGCATAACTAACTTTATCCATAGAAGTTCTCAAGCATTGCTGGCTGTATCTGTACCTCACTCCTAGAAAGCAGGAGCTGCTCAAATACAAGTTGGTGTAATCACAGGGAAAGCCGAGCTTTGGCCGGCACGATCTGAAGTTTCTGCTGCCTGGGCCGTCAGCTCAGAGCCGGTGCTGTTTGTCAGCACCAAGCTCAACCACTGAGTGGGACTTTCTGGAGCATCCCAAGAGAAAAGTGAGACTTCAGTAGAGGACACAGAAACCTGTGCCCAGTGGGGGCAATCGGGAAACTTCAATGTGTGACTCGTTCTTTTCCAAAATTCCTCTTTTCCCCTTATTTAATTTTTTTTTCAGAAAAACGTGTGATTTTATATGCTTTTCTCTGCATGTATTAAACAAATTGCACAGCTGAATAGCTTTTCTTAAAACCTGGACATTCACCAAAAAGAAGTTTGCCAGCACAGACAATTAAGCTTTCTTCTTTGAACAATGGAGTGACTGACTGGCACATTTGAAATGCAAGCGTGTTTTTTTATTCCACTGTTCATCCTTCAAGCTGATAAACAGCAACAATGGGAAACAGCTGGGACAGGAAAACATTTGAGTTTGTATTTTCAAAGCAAGCAAGAAAGAAACCCGTCAGTGTGGGCCAGATCCCGTCTTCCGCCTGAGGGCGAGCCGGCATTTGGGGAGGGAAAAAAATACTATACATATTTCTAATCAAACATTACATATTTATTAATGTGCAGCTGGTGCATTGTATTCCGAGGGTTGGTGGTGGGAGTGTCTCTCCCCCCACCCCCACGCCACCCGCCTTGTTCCTCTAATGTGTCTTGCCTGGCAGGCTGGTATTGTTCTGTAACTGACATTACTTTATAAGAATCAGAGCTGCGCACATTTAATAGGAGTTATGGAGACAATTGCTCTCTGAGCGGTTGGGGTCTCTGTGACGTAGGTGCCATCTGAGCCTCAGTTTCTGTTCTGGGAGTGGACAGAATGGGCAATGGAGGTATTTTTAGGCAGATGTACCTGAGATACTGTTGATGGGGAAGCCCCCAGCACCTTCACTGCCACCCCTACACCACAGCCTGGGTCCCATCCATGAAGGCCATGGCTCCTGCCCACATGTCTGTGCTCTCTCTAAACGTGGGAACAAATTTATTTTGATGCTTATTGAGATTAAACTTGCTGCGCATTTCATCGGGAACAGGGGTTGGATCTGTTCATTAGGTGGGGAGGCTCACCTTGTCAATTTCCATTGAGCACTGGCAAAAGCGACCACTTTATCATCATTTGTCAGCAGCCTCGACAGGTTTTACTCAGCTCTGATTCCTCCTGGGCCCTGCTGTCATAACTTCATTGGCTTTATGGTAGCAGCTGAGTTCCCTTAGGTAATTGTCTAATAGATCTATTTTGCCTTAATATTGGTAATTCACTAAATGTAAAAGAACGCAGAAGAGAGGCTGAAACATTAAACACCAGACATGCCACACACTCCTGCAACAACCCCAGCCCCACCCTAAACTACTGTCTCCATCCATCTTTGGAAATCCCATTATATTTAGTAGGAGGGGATTGGTCTTTTTCAGCTTTGAAAAATTGGAGCTGAGACTTCAGCCTCCCTCTGGTCTTATGGGCCAAAGGAATTTAACATGGGATCGTGGAAAGGGCTCTGGGCCAGGGCTCAGGGGCATGTGGCTCCTGGGGCCCAGGGCTGGCAGCACCTTTTTCCTTTTTGGGCCTCAGTCTTCCTATCTGTTTATCAGCAGGATGCCAAGGTTCTCACCCTCAGGATCACATGGGGGCCAAGCAGCAATGGAGATGGGCTAGTGAGCTGGATGGGGACGGTGGCAAGCTGGAGGGCACATGCCTCTCTGCCTGGAGGGGCAGCCACTACAGGTTGCCTTGGGCCAATGCAGGCCTGGTGGACCCAGAGGCTTAAGTTTTAATTTTATTTTACTATATTTTTCTTTTCCTGTTTTTATTTGGTTTGTTTGTTTGTTTTTTGTTTTGAGACATGATCTCACTCTGTTGCCCAGACTGGAGTGCAGTGGTTCGATCACAGCTTACTGCAGCAATTGTAGTCCCTCTGGGCTCAAGCAATCCCACGACCTTAGCCTCTGAGTAGCTGGGACTACAGGTGCGTGCCACCATACCCAACCTTTTTTTTTTTTTTTTTTTTTTTGTAGAGATGGAGTCTTACTATGTTGCCCAGGCTGGTCTTGAACTCTTGGACACAAGTGATCCTCTCTCCTTGGCCTCCCAAAGTGCTGGGATTACAGGCATGAGCCACTGTGCCCCACTGAGGTTTGGATTTTTAAACAAAAACTAGGATTCTAAATTTATATGTCTACTGTTTTAATGTTTTAGTACTGGCACTGAATTTAAAAAAGCATTCTTAATAAAATAAAATGTCTGCTGGCAATGATGAGTTATGGTGATGACAATGGTGATTAATGATAGCTAACATTAGTGAGCGCTCATCATGTATCAGGGTCAGTTTTGGACTGGTTTCATCCTTACAACAATGCTAAAAGACATGTCCTGGTGTTGTCCCTGTTTCACAGGTGAGGAAATGGAAGCACAGTGAGTAACTTGCCCAAGATCACTGTCTTTGCTGCTCAGTTGATTGGGTAATTGACTTCCAGGAAATTAGAGATCTACTGACAAGGTACCCTGGGCCTGCGTGGAAAATATGACATCAAGATAGATTTCCTGGCAAAGGCCAACTTATTACAACATTCCACTTAGAAAAAAAATCTATGCACTTAAAAAAAACCACAGCCAGGCACAGTGGCTCATGCCTATAATCCTAGCAGTTTGGGAGGCTGAGGCAGGAGGATTGCATTAGATCAAGAGTTTGAGACCAGCCTGGGTAACACAGCAAGACTGTCTGTACAAAAAATATTTAAAAAACCAGCCATGCCTGGTGGTGCACACCTGTAGTTCTAGCTACTTGGGAGGCTGAGGTGGGAGGATAGTTGGAGCCCAGGAGTTCGAGGCTTCAGTGAGCTATGACTGCACCATTGCACTCCAGCCTGGGTGACAGAGCGAGACCCTGTCTCAAAAAACAAAAACAAAAAAACCAACACACTTGTTTTCTGGAAGATTTTACCTATATACTACCACTGTCCTTCAGAACCATGGGTTTTCCTTAAGTAGCAGGGAATAACCATGTTGATTACTAAGTCGCAGGCCAGAAGGAAAGAACTTGACTTGGGATTTCCTGAATTTATTACAGCGTACTTTATTTCATAGGCTAAAACTGTGTCTTAGGTTCAATGAACTATGTGAAAACTCTGGCTGGTCCACTCCCCATAACTCAGCCCTTTGGCCTCCTGACTGGACATTTCCCTGAAATATATTAGGTCCAGCTGGGCATGGTGGCTCATGCCTGTAATCCCAGCACTTTAGAAGGCCAAAGCCAGAGGATCACCTGAGTCCAGGAGTTTGAAAACAGTTTGTGCAACATAGTGATACCCTGTCTCTAAAAAGAAAAAAAAATTAGGTCCTTCATAAACATTTGTGGGATGAATGTTTTAATTACAAATTTTAATATAGGGTGTTTTTAACAGGATTTCTTTCTTTCTTTTTTTTCTTTGTTAAACAGTCACTGTGTTTATTTCCTGCCATTATCTCTGGATGTCATTTTTTGCACAGACTGTCACAGACCAACATGATGTGTGCATACATTTACGTGTGGTTCGATATACACATATGCGCCTGCAATGCTTCTGTGTGAGTCAACATACATGTATGCACACACTTACATGTAGCTCAATACACATGTACATGTGCAATGCACACACCAACATGTGGTTTAATATACACGTGTGCATACACTCACATGTGGATCAACACACATGTGCACTCACATGCAACTTAACACACACAAGCACACTTACCTGTGGTAGAACACACACATGTAAATCCTTGCATATGGCTTAACACACGTGGGCAATGTGCACATTTACACATAGTCCAGCCTATACATGTGCACATGCTTACATGTGATTTGATATGTATGGGTGTATATACTTCATTTGGTTCAGATATACCTGCAGGGTGGGGATTTTATTGTATCCCTGAGTGATTCCTGTCCCAGGCTTAGCAGTGATGAAATGAGTTTCTCTCACCCTAGCACCAGGGAGAAGGATAGGGAGGTATTTCTCTTCCTCACTTGAGCCAGGATCTGCGGCTGTCCCAGTGAATGTTTGACATTGGCCGATACTCAGCATTACCAGGAGGTGGTGGACGATGTTCACTGGTTGGCATCACCATTCCGGGGGAGAACCCTTCGACTGTGCACCGTTCTATGCATAGAGTTCGTCATGGAAGTCCAGTTCCAACATTGCTGATGGGCCAATGAAGGGAGGTGGGGTTTTCTGGGCTGCGAGGTTTTCTGGGCTGCAATGTGGAGGTCAGCCACACAGTGAGCCAGCATCCCGTGTGTACAGCATGTGTACATGCATACAACGCAGTGGATGCTGACGAGGGTGTGCAGGCCAGTGTAGGATGGCTCTGGGATGGAAGGAGCATCTCTCATGCACCTGTGCAGGTGCAACGTGTCCTCTGCTGGCTTGACGTGGACGCTCCCCAGTACCAGAGAATGGCAGCAGCTTTGTGCCCCTGCAAGCCCTGATTCGAGAGGAGGCTGGAGGCGTGCTGTCTCCGGCTGAGGATGGAGGTATCTCCCTAGGGGAAGCAGGGAGTGGTCAGCACCTTGGGGAATGGGAGCTATTAACCTTTCAACCTGGCTTGCATTTCTTTCCAGGATGTCCTGTCTTCTTGTAAAGGAAGTGGCAGATCTTCAGGCAGGGGGCAGCAGATTCTGTTAGACTAAGACTGTGGCAGTAGGCAGGGTGGGAGCAGGAGGTCCTGTCCCTCAAACCCACTACAGATGCAAGGGTAGAAAGATCAAAGGGGGTGCAGTTGAGGAGAGGGGAATGGTCACCCCAGAAGATAACTGAGTAAAATAATAATAATTGTTGATAATGTCATCCCAGCCCTTACTATATACCCATTTCTGTGATAGGTGCTTTTCATAGATAATTTCTAAGCCTGCCAATGACTCTTTGAGTTGATATCTTTAATATCTGGGCACATTTCTCCATTAATGTAACCAAGAAATTAAATCAATCTATGCGAAGGTCCATGGCATGTATGTGCGGACTCTGTTTTGGAAGCCAGGGCTATATGACTCCACAGCCCTTTTCTGTCCCCAGAAGACCACCACCTCCAGTCCCCCGCGTCATTTCAGGACCTGCCACTCTGGTGTCCTGGTTCTTAAGGCTGGTGGAAAAGTAAGCTGGGTTCAGGGACCAGCCTGTCTTGCTCAGGACCTCCAAGGAGGCCAGAGCTGTTTCTCCCGTTTGGAGAGGGAGATCCTAGCCTTTCTCAATACTTTTTGATTTCTGGGAAAGGAGAAGTTGGAAGGCCGCCTCGCCTCCTGTCTCGGTGGCGTTCAAGGTTATCCAGACAGCGGTCTGCGGGTTTCATTTGCAAGTCACTGCGCGGCGCATGCAGAAGCAGCCGCGGGCCGGCGGGGCGCGCAGATAAGGTCTGGGGGCGTGGGTTTCGGGCTGTACCTGCATTATCGCGGCTTCCTTAAGCTCGGATGAATATGTAAATCTCTCGCTGCAGCCTTCCGGTGCCGCAGTCGCAGCCGTGGGGGCCGCCTCCGCTGTAGCAATTCCGAGGGTAAAATTGATTAATATTTGTTTTCAAAATGACACGCGGTGATGTATGGGCCCTGTTACAACTTAAATTAATACTTTAAAGAGATGAATGGTCTCTACCGAGGGTGTTAAAGTTCAAGCCCAGGGAATTTGCATATTTATATTACAGCCAACTGATAGTAATTGTGGGAACGGCCTGTAATGCTGTTCGTTTGTCATTTTCAGCGGGGTGTGCTTCTGCCGGGGACCTCATTAACTCAGAAGGCCTCAGCCCCTCAGCCCTGCAGGACACGGGCTGGCGGCCCGGCGCCCAGGGCTTGTGGTCAGGGCACCGTCCTGCCTTGTGGGCTTCTGGAGGCTGAGTGCCTTCAGGCCTGGCCACCTGGCTTGGGAGGTGAAGACAGGTGCCCCGAGCCTGCCGACCTCACCTCCTGCTCGGCTGTAAATCCCTTCCTAATGTAGCCAGAATCCCTTCTTACTATGTGTGATGCCAACCACCATCTGAGCCACCTTCGAGTCACTTATGGCCATACTTCCCTCTTAGCTAAAGTTCTCCCAGAAGTACATCTTCAGACAAGTTTCCCCCAAGTGCTTTCTCCCGGAGGTGGTCCCAGGAAGCAGTGGTAGAGGAGAGAAGGACCGCACACGGGGTACGTCACCAAGCAGGTGACAGCTGTGGGCAACTGGGGTGCAGTCCTGCTAGGGATCCTGGGGCGGCACTGTGGGGCACACTTTGGGATTGTCCCACCTGGAGGTGGGGAAGCTGCGGTCTTCTCTTCAACTCCATTTGTCATTGGCTGAGGGCTGTTCCCTGGGGGTGTTAATTCCCAGCACCTCCTGCTGCCTGAGAACCTGCTGCAAAAGCCCGGGGGTGGAGAGTCCCGGATGCTGCTACCGGGCCGATGGCCTGTGCGGGATGACGGGTGGTGGGGAAGGCCAGCATCTCCTAGCGGGCCTCTCGGTGTCCGCCATCCCCACTTGTCCTCCACTCAATAGCCAGGCTGATCCTTTAGAAACAGGAGTCAGGCCAGGTCACTCTTCCGCTCAAAACTCTTCCCTGGCTTCCTCTTTCTCTTTGGAGTAAAAACCAAATTCCTTGCCATGGCCGGCGAGGCCCCTGTGGTCTGGCTCGGCCTTCCTCACCGACCTCGCCTCCCCCTCCATCCCTCTCTCTTCCTCCCCTGCGTCCACAGCAGCCTCCTTGCAGTTCCCCTAACACTCCAGCCAAGCTGCTGCCTCAGAGCCTTTGCTTCCACTCTCCTCTTTCTCCGGAACCTGCCTCTGCCTCCCAGTCACTGGACATGACTCAGTCTCTCACTTCTACTCAACAGTCACCTTCTCAGTGATACTTCCCCTAACCTCTGCGGTTATGATTTCATCCCCTACCCTGCACCCCACAGTGCGTGCATCTCCTCTGCCCTGCTCACTGTCCAACAGATGACATATTGATTTATCTTGTTTATTGTTTGTCTCTCCCTCTGGAATTTGAGCTCTGTGAGGGCAGGGACTTGTATTTTCACTGCTATGTCCCCAGCACTGAGCACAGTCCCTGGAGTGTCACAGACACGCAGTAAATCTGTGTTGAATGAATAAATGAATGAATGAAGGTGGGCCCAGTAGTGACTGTGTGGTGGCTTCCACTGCCTGGGTGTGATGGCCAGGGTCAGGCCAGGTGAGGAGACCCAGCAGACAGGACCAGCTTCATGTGAGTGTGACCCATGCAGGCCCCATGCTTAGTTTAATGTCCTTAATTAAATGTAACTGTCTTGAACTTTTTTAGAGACTGTATTTTTAGAGCAGTTTTAGGTTTCAACAAAACAGAGCAGAAGGTACAGAGATTTCCCGTATACACCCCACCCTACACATGCACTGCCTCCCCCATTAGCATCCCCATCAGAGGGGTCCATTTGTGTCAGTGAACCTACATTGGTTCATCATTATCACCGGACTCCATAGTTTACATGAGGTTCACTCTGGGTGTTATACATTCTATGAGTTTGGACAAATATATAATGACATGCATTCATCATTATAACATACAGAAGAGTTTCACTGCCCTAAAAATACTGTGCTCTGCATATTCACCCCTCCCTACCCCAACTCCTGACAATCACTGACCTCTTTACTCTCTCCACAGTTTTGCCGTTTCCAGTATGTCGTAGAGTTGAAATCATACCATATGGAGCCTGTTCAGATGGGCTTCTTTCAGTTAGTCACATGCGTTTAAAGTTTCTCCATGTTGTTTTATGGCTTGGTAAGTCATTTCTTTTTAGTGCTGAGTAATATTCTGTTGTCTGGATGTACCATGGTTTATTTATCCATTCGCTACTGACAGACACCCGGATTGCTTCCAAGTTTTGGCAATTATGAATGAAGCTGGTATAAACATCTGTGTGCAGGTTTTGGGACAGACATAAGTTTTCAGCTTTTTTTGGTAAATACCAAGGAGTACAATTGATTGTTGTATGGTAATGGTATGCTTAGTTTTCTAAGAAACTGCCAGACTGTCTCCCACAGTGCCTGGACACTTTATATTCCCAATAGCAATGAAGGAGAGTCCCTATTGACTCCATCCTCACCAGTATTTGGTGCTATCACTGTTCTGGATTTTGGCCATTCCAACAGGCACATAGTGGTATCTCATAGTTTTAATTTGCATTTCCCTGATGACATAAGATGCGGAGCATCTTTTCATAGGCTAGTTGCCATCTGTGTATCTTCTTTGACGAGGTGTCTTTCAGAGTCTTTGGCTAATTTTTTAATTGAATTGTTCATTTCTTATTTTTGAGTTTTAAGAGTCCTTTGCATATTTGGGATACTAGTCTTTTATCAGACGTGTCTTTTTCAAACATTTTCTCCAAGTCAGTGGCTTGCCTTCTTATTCTCTTGACAGTTGTCTTGAAATTTTTAACAATTTTAGAATAAAGGACTTTGCATTTTCATTTTGCACTGGGCCTCACAAATTATTAGCCAGTCTAGCATGCAAGGTTACTAGAGGTTAGTTCATTCTGTGGCTGTGCTAAGCATTGGGTCTGGGAAGAAACTTTGCAAGGAATTTCTAGCTAGTGCTGCCACTAGTGATAGTAGTCTCCCTCTTAGAGGTGTTTGGGGGGACAGAAGAGCCCATTGCCAACAATCTCAGAATGTGTGCCATCTGCTACCTGCCATGTGGTGAAAGTGAAGTTGCTTTATTTCTCATGTGCATGCACCTCCCAAAAGCCTAGGTGGGCAGACTCATGGACACACACATTTTTTTTTGGTTTATTTTGCAAAATTTAATTGCAAAATTAGCTGCAGTTTTCTACCCTGCTCTCCCTCCAGGGCAGTGTGACTTTGCAACTTTTCCCATCAAGAAGTGGAATCTGTTTATTTTTCCACCACTTGAACTGAGTTGTTTTGGCCAACAGAATACATTAGAAGTGATATGTGCCCGTTCCCAGCTCTCTCCTTTGTGAACTTTGTCTTCATCTTGAGAACAAGCCTGGGCTAGCTTGCTAGAGGATCAGAGACCCTGTGGAGCAGAGAAGAGTCAGCAAAGGCGTCCTAGCCAGAGTGAGATCAGTAAAGCCATCAGCACTACTGCAGCTGACCACAGATGCCTCATGGAGTCCTATTGTGCCTGGCTTAGATTAAAGAACTGCCCGTTTGACCTGTAGTCTTGTGTACAATAATAAATAGTTGTTAGATAAGCCACCGAATTGGGGCCAGTTTGCTATAAATCATTATTGTGGCAATAGATAATTGATGTGCGGCTCCTACTTCGCTAACCACTTGTTTGCACATGAGCACATGGCCACATATTTGCACATCTATACTGAACCAGCTCAGACCCCCAGTGGATTTTGTGGGTACAGAAGGGGGCCAGAGGAGCAGAGGGAGACTGGGTCTCACCCTCATGCTTGGTGGTAGAAGAAATCAAGTCTAAGGGGAAGAAACATGGAGTACGTGTAGGTCTGTGTGCTGTTGGCCTCTGCCTTGCTTGCCTTGGGGTCCTCTGGATGTGGGGAGAAGGAGAGGTTGCTTCTTGCTTGAGGGGCTGGGAATTAGTTCACCTTGAGGAGCGTGTGGTGTCACTGGGCACAGGGGGCTATGCATTGTTGAGGCAGGGGCTCCAATCTCTCCCTTGAAGATTCAAGGAGGGGAAAGATAGCCCCAGGTTTGAAAAAACTGGTGGGAAGTGGGAAGGAAAAGACATGGCCCTGCACCCAGAGCAGTTCCATGAGCAGTTTCATGGGAGCAGGAGTCTGTGACAAGTGACAAGGTCTGAGCTGGTGGTCACATCACTGAGAACTGTCTAGGGCCAACCTGTACAGGATGAGCCAGTTTTCAAAGGGGAGGCTGGAAGATGAGGGCTACCCAGCCCAAGTCACCAACTGGGTGGTGGGCACAACACTCACACACACTCATATACACACACTCACAAACACACACATACACACACAAAGCATAAGCAGGACAGAAGGCAGATAGCACTTTTAGTTTAAAAATATATTTTTTTGGGGAAAAATTTCAAGTCTATCTGAAGTTGCAAGGATAGTACAATGAATGCCCAGCTACAATTACCTAGATTCAACAATTGTTAGCATTTTGTCACATTTCTTTCTGTCTCTTTCTACATGTGTATATTATTGTTATGATGATTGCTGATGCCTTTGAGAGAAAGTACAAATATCATGGCCCTTCACACCTACACACTTCAGAGGATATCTGAGAACAGCACTTTCTCTTAGGTATCACAGTATAATGATCAAACTTAGGAAAGTTAACACTGACTTTATTGTTATCTAATGTAGTGTTCATATTCAAATTTTGCCAATTATTTCAGTAAAGACCTCTAAGGCATTTTCCTCCCAAATATAGACATATATTTGAGACAGGGTCTCACTCTCTTGCCCAGGCTGGAGTGCAGTGGTGTGATCATAGCTCACTGCAGCCTTGAACTTTTGGGCTCAAGTGATCCTCCTGCCTTAGCTTACTGAGTAGCTGGCAGGTACCACCACACCCCATTAATTACCTTTTTTTTTTTTTTTTTGTAGAGACAGGGTCTTGCTATCTTGAGCAGGCTGGATCCACCCCCAGCCCAGATATAACATGCAGCTGAGAGCCAAGAGTGGCATTCACACCCCTTTCACCTGGAACAGTGCCTGAGCCCCCACCCATGTCCTGCTCTCCCCTTTGTCATTCACAACTTTGGAATTGCTAGTGGTTCAGGGAAGTTGCTTTGTTGGATGTTCCTCCACCTGGATCTGTCTGATAGTTTCCTTGTGATTATATTCAGGGAATGCACTTTTGGCAGAATGCTGGACGCATCTTTTGTGAGAACATCCTTTAAGATGGCGGAGTGTGTGTCCTGGCCATGGTGAGGCTTTCTGACCTCTGGCTCCAATTTACCTCTCCAGATTACCTTCCTGCCCTGAGGCCAAGAGGTCTTCTTCTCCTGAGTCCATCTGATAGAGTGACATGGGTCTGGAGCTTAAGTCCTGGGCTCAAATTCCAGCTGTAACACTTGCTCTGTGGTCTTGGGTACATTACATAATGTTGAGTACATTGGACCTCCATTTGCTTAACTGCATGATGGGGATAATAGTCCCTGCCTCCTATGATTGTTATCTGAATGAAATAAACTAATTTATGTAACATATTTGGGTGGTACCTGAAGTAGCAAATATATATGATAGCTATTAATGCAGTTTATTAAATATTTCTGGCTTCCTGACTTGCACAAATGTGGTAGAATTGCACTTTTTACTCTCCTTGAAGCTAGGGGAATGGTACTAGCCCTGGCCAATGAATTATTTGCAGAAATTATGGAAGTCATTTCCTAGACCAGATTATTTAACTGCAGGTATAAGATACCCCCTGATTTCTCTTTCTTTGTGGCAAAGTGACCATCAGCTTTTGAGATGGTGGCTGCTTCACTTGCCCTGGTCTTTGAGTAACTATAATGGGCAGCGTTTCCTCCCACCCTTCCTCCAGTGCCAACCTGCAATGAACAAGTAGCATGAGCAAGAAATAAAACTTGGCTGTTTTAAGCCACGAAAATTGTGGGCTTGTTACTGCAGCATAACCTGGTTTATTCTGCCTCATACAGCACTACAAGAATGTTGGACATTGTTACCATCACTGTCGTTCTTAACATTATCCTTCCTATTTTCTGTGACCATCTTGCTCAAAGCCTTTCTACCATGTTGTGATGATCTGTTCAGGTTCTACCTCCTCTTCCCATCCCTTACTGTGAGTTCTTTAAGCACAGGATCCATGTCTCTCTCTCTCTCTGTCTCTCTCTCTCCTTTTAAATTAGAGACAGGTTCTTTCTTTGTCACCCAGGCTGGAGTGCAGTGGTGTGATTGCTCATTGAAACCTCGAACTCCTGGGCTTAAGTGATCCTTCCACCTCAGCCTCCTGAGTAGCTGGTTCTATAGGAGGTGTGCACCACCACGCCTGGCTGGTTTTTTTTTTTTTTTTTTGGTTGTCGTTGTTGTTTTTGAGACAGGATCTCACTATGCTTCCCAGGCTGGTCTTGAACTCCTGGACTCAAGCAATCCTTCTGCCTTGGCCTTCCATAGTGTTGGGATACAGGCATGAGCCACTGTGCTCAGCCTCTTTTTGTCTCTGGAATCCTAAAACCCCATCATAGGGCCAGTCACAGACTTGATGGTCCATGCTCAGTAAGTGATTGTTTAAATGTCACTGGAGAAATCTGAGTTATAACTTCTTAAATGGCTTGGCTTTGATTTCAGCATTTTTAATTGTGCAAACAATATCATAGCAACAGCCATAAAAATAAAAGGCAAAAAAAAAGTCATTTGCAATTCCCCTAAAATTAAGGCCTTGTCCCATGCTTTTGTGTCTGTCTTCCCGAATGTATGTTTTGCAGTTGCATTTTCAGCCAGACGGCATTTTGTATCCTGTCTTTTTCTCCACTTCAAATACTACCAGGGCCAGGCATGATGGCTCACGCCTATAATCCCAGCACTTTGGGAGGCTGAGGTGGGGGAATCACTCGAGCCTAGGAGTTTGAGACCAGTCTGGGCAACACAGTGAGACCCCATCTCTAAAAATAATACTTTCAAGAGGACACATTTCTATCAAATACGTAAGACCTTTATTTTAGAGGCTGCGTATATTCCATGGGGTAGATGCACCCCTGATGGCTTAGAGGGGCTCTGACTTTTTGGACATTTGAATGTTTTCCAATTCTTTGCTGCTTCAGCCAACACTGCTGTGAATATCTGTTCATCAGGTGTTTTCACTGACCCCATACCTCTTCAGGAAGGATGGATCTCAAGACACTCTCAGAACTCCCACTTTGAATACAACATTCTAGTGTATCATGTCTCCTTCCCCCATCTCCCATGCTCAAGGAGAAAAATATTAGGGGGTCGTCTAAGTGCTGCTTCCATCACTAAAAGATTTAATCTTGTTATTAAAATAAGCTCTGTCACTTTTAAACTTTGCCTAAAGTTTTCCTTTTTATTTGATGAGTTATCTGCTCATATTTGGAGCCCTTTCTGAAACAGTCTCATGATTTGCTTTTCCCTGTTTCCATTTCAAGCGATGTGGACATAACATTGCTCAAGCCCAGGTTAACATCGGTTGTAGCTTTTAATTTATCCCATTGTTTACTTTCTTAAACTGCTTCTCTTTGTATTCCTTCTTGTATTCTCTTTGTTCCTACCAACAGCATTAGCAGTTGGCATTCTTTCTTGGGACTTTTTGTCATGGAGAAACAAGCTTTCAACTTTTCACGAGAATGGTCCTGTATAGGTAAATGAGTATTGAACAACCAAGACAGGTGGAGTCCTGGAGTTGGTGGGAGGTCCACTCTGCTCCCTCCAAACTGGGTGGCACAGGAGGCCTCTTTGTACCTCACTCAAATGGCAAATCAGCCACTTCATTGATCGCTCCAGTAGGAGGTGGTGTGTGGTGCCTCCCTGAAAGTTCAGAGCAGAGCATGTGTCTGGGAGGAAAGGTCAAAGCTCCTGTCCATGGCCCCTGTGCAACTGTGAGTGCCGTAAGCTTAGGGCCCACATCTGTCCTGCTGTGTGTTGCCAGGACCCAGCTCAGGGCCTGGCTTAGAGCAGATGCCCAGTGATTGATTGTTGAGTGAATCAGCGACTGATAGGAGAAGACTTCCAGGAAGAGCAGGCATCTGCACTGGGTCTTGTCAGGTGGAGTCTATGGAAGGGAGTGGGGAGGGAGGATGAAGACAGAAAGGGATTTCAGTAGGGCCTTGTTCAGCACATAGCACAGATTGTGTGTGTGTGTGTGCATGCGTGCACATGCGTGTGCATGGCTTGGCTTCAGTTCCACTTGGGGTTGGGTAGAGAAGTCATTCATTAATTCATTCAACAAATGTATTTAGCCCAACAAATGTTGGGAAAACCAACATTATCTCCTTTCAGTTCTCACCATGTGTCATGTACTGTGCCAGGGCACAGTTATTACAGGGCCTTCCTTGACAGTGAGAAGGGTCAGGCGTTGCCAAATCCAAGGTCATGAATATTTACTCCTATGTTTTCTTCTTAGAGTTTTATAGTTTTAGCTCTTACATTGAGGTCTTTGATCCATTTTCAGTTAATTTTTTTTGGGAGGGGGACGGAGTCTCGCTCTGTCACTGAGGCTGGAATGCAGTGGCACTATCTTGGCTCACTGCAACCTCTGCCTCCTGGGTTCCAGCGATTCTCCTGCCTCAGCCTCCCGAGTATCTGGGATTACAGGTGCCCACCACCATGCCCAGCTGATTTTTTTGTATTTTTAGTAGAGATAGGGCTTAACTATGTCGGCCAGGCTGATCTCGAACTCCTGACCTCAGGTGATCTGCCTGCCCCGGCCTCCCAAAGTGCTGGGATTACAGGTGTGAGCCACTGCACCCGGCCTAAATTTTTATATATAGTGTGAGGTAAGTGTCCGACTTCCCTCTTTTTTATGTAGATATCTAGTTGTCCCGGTACCATTTATTGAAAAGACTGTTCTTTCCCCATTGGATGGTATTGGCACCCTTATTAAAAATCAGTTGACCATAGATGTATAAGTTTACTTATAGATTCTCAATTCTCTTCCATTGATCTATATGTCTGTCCTTATACCAGGACCACACTGTCCTTGATTACTGTTGCTTGTAATAAGTTTTGAAGTCAGGAAGTGTGAGTCTACCTTCTTTCTTCTTTTCCAAGATTGTTTCAGCTGTCTGTGGTCCTTTGAAATTCTATATGAAGTTTAGAATCCCCTTGTCAATTTCTATAAAGAAGTTTTCCGGGATTCTGAAGGGGACTGTGTTGAATCTGTAGATCAGTTTGGGGAGTATCATCATCTAAATAGTGTTAAGTCTTCTGATCATGAACATGGGATGTTTTCCAAATTATTTAGATCTCCTTTAATTTCTTTCAACAATGTTTTGTAGTTTTCAGGTACAAATCCTGTGCTGCTTTTGTTACATTCATTCCGAAGCATTTTATTCTTTTTGGTGCTGTTGTTAATACAATTGTTTTTAAAATGTCATTTATTAAATTGTTCTTTACAAGTGCAACACAAATTGATTTTTATGTATTGATCTTATGTCCTGCAACTTGCTGAATTCATTTATTCATTTTAATAGCTTTTTAGTGAATTCCTTAGGATTTTCTGTATACAAGATCATGTCATCTGTGCATAGAGGTAGCTTTACTTTTTCATTTCCATTCTGAATGTTTTCTATTTCTTTTACATCTAATGCCCTGGCGAAAAACTCCAGTACAATGTTGAATAGAAGTATTGAAAGCAGAAATCCTTGTCTGGTTCCTGATCTTAGGGGAAAGCATACTGTCTTTCACCATTAAGTATGACATTAACTGTGGATTTTTGGGCAGATGCCCTATAACAGGTTGAGGGAGTTTCCTTCCATTCTTAGTCTCTCGAGTGTTTTTTATCATGAAAGAGTGTTGGATTTTGTTAAGTGGATTTCCTGTGTTATTTGAGAGGATCTTGTGATTTTTGTTTTTTATTCTATTATATGATGTATTGTGTTAATTGATTTTCAGATGCTGAAAATCAACTTAGCATTCCTGAATACATCCCACTTGACCATGGTATATAATTTTTCTTATATGTTGTGTACTTGGTTTGCTAATACTTTTGTTGGAGATTTTTACATGCATACTTGTAAGACATATTGGTCTGTAGTTTTTTTTTCTTGTGATATTCCCTCTGCCTATAATCTTCCTAGAATTCCCCCCAGAGTTCAGATCAACCATCTAGGCTCCCATGTGCTACAATAGCCTGGGCCAAATTACCAGCTGCCCCCACTGGGAAGAGCACCAAAGCATCTTTGCAAACATCTACCCAAGTGTCTGGGGAGGCAGGACTGACTGGCATTGGCTGACTATTGGGTCTTTTTACATGTATTCTCTCATTTGACCCTCTCAGCAACTTGTGAATGTAGTCATGTATGCCCATGGTACTGGTGGGGAAGCTGTACATGATAGATCCATGGACTGCTCCGAGAACCAAGGCTTTTGATGATATCTCACTATACAACAAATCTGTAGTCAGTTTTATTTCAGTTTATTGTTATTTCAGAGAATAATGTAACAAACATCCCTACTCGCACCATTCAGCCATTAACATTTCTCATATTTGCTTTCAGTATTTTTTTCTTCAGTGAAATAAGGTATTATGAATAAAGCTGAAGGTCATTTAACTACTCTCCTGCTCCAATTCTGTAGAGACCATGATTCTTCCATTTTGGTGGTTATCCTTCTAGATAGACCATTTTTCTACTTTTATATATGTAAATATGTGTTTAAAATAGCAGACACTATTTTGTGCATTTATGTTCTCCATAATTTTTATTTCATGCACACAAATATTTACATATCTTTATGAATTTGGAGTTTTTAGGTTGTTGTTTCTTTTACAAAAATGGATCATTTTGTACATACTTTTCTGCTTTTTGCTTTTCTTACTCATCAGTATCTTGAGGAAATTCCCTATTGTTTGGCATAGCTCTAATACATTCTTCTTAGTGTCTGTATAACATTCATATTATCCATCCATTTGCCTTTTGATAGGCATCTCCTAATCTGGTGAACAACTGTATGACAAGCACATATCTATTCCCAGGTACCAGGGTTTTAATTTTTATAAGATACATTTCCAAGAGAGAGAGTTTCAAGTCAAAGGATATATGTATTTTTACATTCTAATGGCTGTTGCTGGAATGCATTCCAAAAAGCCTAAAATACTTCCCATTTACCCTGGTTTTGAACAAGGGTACTCATTTTCCCACATCTCCTTGGCAGTAGATGTTACTTAATATTTTTGCCAGTCTGGCAGATGAAAAATGATATCTCACTGTTATTTCAATTTGTATAGCCCTGAATTTGAACATCTTTTCATGCGCTTTTTGACCTTTTGAATTTGGTTTTCTGTGATTTGCTAATTCCTGTCCTTATCTCAATTTAAAATTAAAAAATAATTCTTCTATTGGTAACAGTTCATTAATATATTATAAATATTAACCTTTTTTCTTTGTATTGCACATATTTTCTTGACTCTTTTATGGTCTAAATTGACCGTGTGATCTGATGCTGTATAAAAGTTTTAATTTTTATATTATAAATTTTTTTGATCATAGAAAAATTATTTTTCTTCTGAGCTTTCAGGTTTTTCTAAGAAAATCACCTATATTTATTCTTGAAATTGTTGAAAAGACCAATGGAGTAGTATGCTGCTGGCTTTGTTATGTAAAACTGTAGTGATTCATTTTGGTGTGTAAGGGCCAATTCAAGGAGGAGGAGGATGATAATTCACTCAGTAAATATTTATTCATGCTTTACTATTAATGAGGTTCCTCGTATAAGCACAATATATGTATTAGTTCATTGATTTCTCATAACACTCTGTGAGGTGGATGCCATTATTACTTATTTCCAATTTATAAATAGGAACACTGAAGCACAGAGAGGTTAAGGAACTTTCTTAATATTGCAAAGCCATAAGTGGCAGAGCTCCCTCTCTCTACAACCCATACTCATAACCACTGGGTGTTTAGTTAAAGAGGAGGGTGGGGGTCTGCACAGTCTCAGAAACAGGCTCTGACAAAAGAAAAACAGGCTGTCGATGGAAACAGAAACCAAAAGGGTGGTTGGTATGGGCTCATCAGAAAGGGCTGCACTTACAGGGGATGAAAGCTCTACCTAGGATGGGGATCTTGCTAACCACAGATTGACATCTACCCCATGTTATGTACAGCTCCTGGTTTTATGGGCCCAGAGGCAGGGCTGGTGATCAGGGGCACTCCATGTGCCATGTTGTCAGCTTGATCAATATCACTGTCTTGGATGGCTGGCAACCCATACTCTACCTACTTGTGATGGTTAACTTTATATGTCAACTTGACTGGGCTATGGGGTGCCTAGATATTCGGTCAAACATTATTCTGGATACTTCTGTGAGGGTGTTTCTTGAGGAGATTAACATTTAAATTGGTAGACTGACTACAGCCATCTGGCCTCTATAAATGTAGATGGGCCTCATCCAATCAGTTGAAGAACGGAATAGAAATAAAGGCTGATCCTCTGCCAAATAAGGAAGAATTGTCCAGCAGACTGCCTAACGACTTCATCGGCACCACTGGCTGCACCTGCCGGCCCACACTGCAGATTTGGACTTGCCCATCTCCATAATTGCATGAGACAATTCCTTACAATAAATTACTTTATCTATCTACACACTCACACACACACACACACACACACACACACACTATTGCTTCTTTCTCTGGAGAGCCCTGACTAATACACTGCTGAACTGAAGATATTTGCTATGCTCCTTAGGTGGTGTGCATGGAACAGGCTCTAGTTCTAATGGGAAGACCATCTGTAAAGTTTCTTTTCTGCTAGGCAGGGGCTACTAGTTTGTAAAGGCAAAGACTTTTTTTGGGCAGCAGCATGACAGATTTGGATTAGACATTGCGAAAAACTTCCAGGAGGTGAAAAGTACTATGGCACATTCAAAGGGAAGAGTAAAAGGAATTCTGTTTGTTTGTGGTTGAGGGCATGAGGGCAAGAGGACAGAGGGATGACTGAAATGATCTTTTTAGAGCTTTTCTGGTTTTGGGGAATGATCCAGGAGGCAGCAATTGTTGCCCCTAATAATGTGACCACCTAGAAAGCGTCATGTTTTCATTCCCCATACTCAAGAATGAACACTCCTGCTAAGTTGCAAAGATGCTGAGGGGTTCCCAGGGTCATGATTAGATGGGATTACCAGGCTTGGGCTGGGCCTCCTGGGATGTGGACAGTGAGATGGACAGTTGCAGCCTCAACCCTCTGGTGGGCTGTTCTGTACAGCATGCATATTCTCAGGAGAGAAAAAAGGAAGGGGAGAGAGTTTTTTATTTTTCATGTGAGAACTCCACTCCAGGCCTGGGTAGGTGCTTTTCTTACAGTGAGATGTTTTTTTAATTTTTATTGTATTTATTTATTTATTTTTGAGATGGAGTCTTACCCTGTCACCAGGCTGGAGTTCAATGGTGCGGTCTCAGCTCACTGCAACCTCCGCCTCCCGGGTTCAAGCGATTCTCCTGCGTCAGCCTCCCGAGTAGCTGGGACTACAGGCGTGTGCCACCACACCTGGCTAATTTTTGTATTTTTAGTAGAGATGGGGTTTTGCTATGTTGGCCAGGCTTGTCATGAACTCCTGACCTTGTGATCCACCTGCCTCGGCCTTCCAAAGTGCTGGGATTACAGGCGTCAGTCACCGCGCCCAGCCTACAGTGAGAATGTTAATCCTCATATTATCTCTTTGAAGTGGGGGTTGCTTTGAAAAATACACATTGGTTTATATGATTATTGCAAATTTAATGCTTGTTCCTTATAAGATGGTTAGAGAGCACATAGGTATATAAAGTAAAAAGTGGAATTCCTGCCTCCTGTTCCATGCCCCTACCCCTTATAGTGACTATCTTGAGTAATGTTGAAGGCATCCTTTTCAACTTTCTACAAGTACAAACAATATGTGCACATAAGGGTTTTAAAAAATAGTGTGGGAGAATAGACATAACATACAATTTACTATTTTTACCATTACTGCCATCCTTCTCCAGAACTTTTTCATCTTCCCCAACTGAAACTCTATTTCCATTAAATAATAACTCCCCATTCCCCTCTCTCCCAGCCCCTGGCAACAACCATTACTTTCTATATCTATGAATCTGATTACTCTCAGTACCTCCTGTAAGTGGAATCATATAATATTTGTCCTTTTATGTCTGGCTTATTAACTTGGCATAATGTTTTCGAAATTCATCCATATTATTGCATGTATCAGAATTTTATTCCTTTATAGGGCTGAATAATATTCGATTGTCTGGATATACCACATTTTAAAAAACCCATTCATTCATCAATGGACATTTGAGTTGTTTCCACCTTTTGGCTACTGTAATAAAAAGCTACATGAGCTTTTATAAGGGCTCATGTGCTTAGATAGGGCCCACCTGTTTAATCCAGGCTGCCCTCCCCACCTCAAAGTCCACAGCCTAAATTCCATCTGCCAGTTCTGCTTGCCATGCTGCTGTGAACATAGGGGTATTAGATATCCGTTTGAATTCCTGCTTTCAATTCTTTTGGGTATAAGCCCAGAAGTGGAATGAATAAATCCACATAATTCTATGTTTTATATCTTTAGAACCTATGTAGCATATTCTACAGTAGCCAAACCATTTCTCATTGTCACTAGCAAGGTGCAAAGGTTCTAATTTCTCCAATGCTTGTTATTTTCTACTTTTTTGATAAGAGCTATCCTAATGAGTGTGAAGTGGTATCTCATTGTGGCAACAAAGGGTTTTCATTTCACAAAATGGAATTGTATGGTGTACGTTGGTCATCAATCCTTCACTTAAAAAGTCCAGCCTGGTGCCTTTTTATAGCAGCACATACAAGTTGCCTCTTTTATGGTCCATACTCTTGTTTTACAGGTGAAGAAACTGTGGCTTGGTGATTTCAGAGGACACAGCAGTTCCTTCTGGGAAAGGGGTTGGAAGCCCCCGATTCAGTTACTAGAGCTGCGCAATACCTAAATTGGCGGCAGAAAACAGCCATTTGTTCACCCCCTCTGCAGGTCAGGAGTGGGAAGAGAGCTTGTCTCTGTTCCCTGATGTCGAGGGCCTCAGAAGGAAACCTCAATGGCTGCTATATTTTCAATTGCTGCTGTGACAAATTACCACAAACATGGAGACTTAAAACTATCCCAGTTTATTATCTTACAATTGTTATGGGTTGGACGTCCTGTGGGCTTGAGTGGGTATCTGCTTAGAGTCTCACAAGGCTGAACTCAGGGCGTGGCAGGGGAGAGTCCATTTTCTTGCTCATTCAGACTGTTGGGAAAATTAATTTCCTTGCAATTGCTGGGCTGTTTTCTTGCTGGCAGTACTCCAATGAAGAGGCAGCCTGCATCCCTTGGCTTGGAGCCCCATTCCTCCATTTTCAAAGGTAGCCACAGCAGGTCGAGCCTCTCTTCCTTTTAAGTCTCTTCTGCCCTTTCTGATTACATCTCTCTGCCCCTCCAATTCTGTTTGCCAGCTGTCTGGCAGCTGAGGAAATGTTCTTTGCTTGTATAAGGGCTCATGTGCTTAGATAGGGCCCACCTGTGTAATCCAGGCTGCCCTCCCCACCTCAAGCTCCACACCCTAAATTCCATCTGCCAGCTCTGCTTGCCATGTGATGTAGCAGATTCACAGGTTCCAGGAATTAGGGCATGGAAATCTTTGTGAGACGGGAGGGGGCATTATTCTGCTGGGTGCTGGACTCATTTGAAGGCTCATTCATACACGTGGCTGTGGGTAATCTTGGCTGTTGGCTGAAACCTTGGCTGGGGCAGCCAACTGGACCCATATGGTCTGTCCATGTGACTGGGCTTCCTTACAATGTGGAGCCTGGGTTCCAAGGGTAAGAAGAAGGGGAGAAAAAGTGAGAGAAAGAGAAAGAGAGAGAGAGGGAGAGGGAGAGGGAGAGGGAGAGAGAGACAGAGAGAGACAAAGGGAAGCTGTATCTACATCTTAGCCTTAGAAGTCACATAGCAAGACTTCCTTCTTAGTGAGTTTTAAGGAAGTAGAAATAGACTGTAACTCCTCCACTTCTTTTTCCTTTTTTATATTTTTGTAAGATGGGATCTCCCCATGTTGCTCAGGCTGGTCTCGAACTCCTGGGCTCAAGCAATCCTCTCGCCTCGGCCTCTGAAAGTGCTGGGATTACAGGCATAAGCCACACACAGGGCCTTTCCAGTCCTTGATGGGATGTGATGATGTTCTCTTCAAGACCACATGGGACTGAAAATATTTTGGAAAATACAGCTTGCCATATCCTCCTAGATAGCACTAATGACAACAACACAACATTCACTGAGTTCTTACCAAGTCCCAGGCTCTGTTCTAAACATTTTACCTGCGTTCTCTAATTATAACCCTCACTGCCACCTTGCGATGTAAATATTCGCCTTGTCCACATATGCAGATGTGGGAACTGAAGCACAAAAGGGGAGCCCTAGCAGGCTTGGTGGATGGCTGGGTGTAGGGGAACAGATTGCTGAAGAAGTAGAGCTGGGGGAAGCGAGGCTGGGGAATGTGAGGGAGAGGAAGCATGCAGGGAGGAGTCTGGGGTAAGAGTGGTGGGCAAGGCTGGGCAGCCCCACACTGGAGCCAGGCTTTGAAGGACAGATCAAACTTGGGTCAGTGGTGGTGGGAAGGGTGTTCTGTGTGTAGCGCATGGACTGAATCAAAGTATGCATTACAGCTGTGTGGGCACGTTGTCTGAGTGTAGAGAAGTGGTGGGGTATTAAGGAGAAGCAGTGGAGGCCGGGAATGTCGGCTGGGATGTGCAGATCTTCTGCTGGGGGACCTGGGAGCTACAGCAGGTGTAAAAGTAGGGCTGATGGCAAGAAGGGCTTTTCTGTTCTGGAAGGGCAGTCTAGGGGTCAGGGACAGCGACTGAATTTGGGATCATGTTTGGTATGAGGCCATATATTTATCTCTAAGCAATGCCCACTCCACTCCCCATTCTCTTCAGTCCTGGAGTGAAGAAAGCTCTGTGGGCCCCCTAAGGTCTCCACACAATGTGCTGAAGGCCAGCTGGGCATGGGGTCAGTGGGAATGCATAGTGAGTTGGGCTGCCAAAGCCTCGGGCTGCCTCCCTTTCCTGCCCAGCTGGGAGACTCGCCTTATCGTGCTTTGGCGATGGTGGCAGGGCTGCCTGCGTCCCCCAGGTTCTGCAGGGCTGTCTCTCCTCTTTGCATGCCTCTTTTTGCCTCTATGTCTCTGTTTTCCTCTGCAGTTCTCATCCCCTCCTCCCACTTGCAGCAATGCGTCTCTGACCCAAGTCTGAGCCCCTTTTAAAGATGAAGAGATGGAGGCCCAGAGAATCTTGGTCCCAGGCCTC
The DNA here is from genome assembly GCF_000001405.40 of Homo sapiens. Lineage (NCBI taxonomy): Eukaryota > Metazoa > Chordata > Mammalia > Primates > Hominidae > Homo > Homo sapiens. Next base: position 50,858,807 of record NC_000016.10, read on the forward strand.
TTCAGGAAAGCTGACTTCAGGGCTTTGGGGCAGTCAGTGTGCTGAATTCCCTGTAGAATCTTCTGTGCTAGACCGAAAGCCATTCAGCAAAGCTCACAGCACTTGCCGGGCTAGCTCTGAACTCAGAGTGGCATCAGAGGCACCGCCCCCCCCGTCCCCCCCCCCCCCGCCAAGGAGCATGGTCGGGCACTTGCAAAGGTTCAGGCTCTGCATCCACATGCCTAGGTGCCAGAGCTCTGCCAGTCACTAGCTGTATGACCTTGGGCAAGTCATTTGACTTCTCTGTGCCTGAGTTTCCTTATCTGTAAAATGGGGGTAACAAAAGTATCGACCTCATGGGATTATGTGAGGATGAAAAGGCTTGATGCATGTAAAGTGCTTTGGAGAGTTCCTGGCCCCTGGTAAGAACTACAAAAATATTTCTAGGCAGATAAATATAAACATATTTTTAAAAATATACAATAAAGCCTAGTGGTTTAGAGCATAGGCTCTTCAGTTTGATGCATTCAGCACTTCCTGTGAGATCACAGGCAGGTTATTTAGTCTCCCTTAACATCTCTGAGCCTCAATTTCCTTATCTGCAAAATGGCAATTAGACAGAGTTGGAATAAGAATCGAATGAGATCATGCAACTAAAGTGCCTAGCAGACAGTGAGCGCTCAGTGAACAGGTTCATCAGGTCCCTCTCCCACACCAGGCCAAGGGCAGGAAGAGCTGCCGCTTTGGCCAGTGGAGGGTGGGTAGAGGTGGGTGGTATCTCACTGGAGCATCAGGGGCAGGTCTGGTGGGAGCCTAACCCTGAGCCTTCCTCATCTCCCTCATCAAGATGGGTGACAGGTGCTGGGGACCTGAGAATCGGGGCCTTCCATGCTGACCTGGCCAACAGAGCTCCCCTGGTCTTCCTCTGGGACATCTGAGCCAGGAGCCGGAACCCGGGAGCTGGCTGGGGCACGGCTCTGACCTTTGAACTGTGAGGTGCACTTGGGGCCTCTGCTCCTTTTGCACTGTGTTTTCTTCCTGCATGGCCTCCAGACTGGCTCTGCCTCACCCTCAAACTCCAACCCACATCCCCAGCGGCTGCCAAAGGTCTCTGCTGCTTGTCCCACGGTCGGTCCAGCCTATGCAGCCTTTGCCCTCCTTCCCCAGACCTCATTTCCAAATGGAAAATCTTGGCATTGGATGTGGCCTTCAGGTATTTGTCCCTTATTCCCTTCCCCTCTTTTGGGGAATCTCCTTCCAACCAAGGGTCCTGCCTCCCTTCCCCAGGGCAGATCATGTGACTTTTATAGGCCAATCAGGAGACCTCTCCTGCCTGGAAAGAGGGATTGGTCCAGAACTGAACATGTGATTCGCGGATGGCCAATTGGAGTTTCTTCTGGGGAGATTGCTAGGGATGTGGGGAGAGAGAGGGTCTTCGAAATCAGCAGCTGAAGGACCATCCTTCCTGTTATTGGGAACCAGCCCGCCTGGTGTCAGAGCTGATGCAGAGGAGAGCTGAGACATGGAGAGAGAGGCGGGTTTTTGAGGACACTGCTTGAACCCCTGAATCCAGCCATGCCTGAAGGTGGTGTTTGGCTCCCAGTTATATAAGTCAATCAATTAATTCTCTCTCACTCTCTCTCTCTCTCTTTTTTTTTTTTTTTTCTGGAGCCGGTTTGAATTGGGTTTTATTACTCTCAGCCCAAAGAGTTCTGACTAACTCAGAGCCATATTTGGTGCCCCTTCTTCTACCATCCATCTGCCCATGTCCCTTCCTAATCTTTTTCTTTCTCATCTCCTGATCCTTCACTGTGGTTTGAGCTTTTAGGCTACTTCTTGCCAGTGGGTAGGAGAGGAGATGAGATGAGGGAAAGGAAGACAGAGTGGAAGGACGGAGGTGATGGAATGGGGAGGCAGAGGTGTGTCATGCGAGTCCAGGGAGGCTGAAAACCAAGGATGTGGCTGCAGCAACCCCATAGATGTGCACAGCTCTCATCAGCCTGCTCATTTTAGAGAGAAGAAAATAGACACAGAGAGGTCGAGTGACTTGTTAAAGGACACACAGCTAGGAAGTGGCAGAAGCGGGGTTAGAATCTGGGTCTTTTGACTTTAAACTCTGTTAACACAAAGCCTCAGGCTGTCAGAGGGAAAGGGCCCTCACTCAAGCTTCTCATTAGGCAGATTAGAAAATCTGAGGCCCAGATGGAATAGAGGCTGGGTCACTGTCCCCCCAGTGGTGATTTATGGGATGCATGGCAGAGGTGCAAATGTGTACACACACACACATAGGCACACACACAGACAAACCCTCCTATCCGAGTTCTCAGGGAGTCAGTAAAACCATTCAGGGTGATGGGAATGGGTGAATTGGAGGCACAGTCAGGAGCATAAACAAAAGCTCCTTAATAAAATATTAAACAAAGGCCAGACCCCTTCTCCACCCATCCCCACCCATGCCTGCTCCCCAGAGGCCTCTACATTAACTTCCAGTCTTGTCTCCACACCAGTGCCCCATATCTCTAAATAATGCATGTCTGCCACTATTTCCTGATTCATCAGTTTTGGACATTATCTATTGACTTTCCAAGATGATGGATGAGAATTTTGCTCCCACTCATACCCCCTCCACTCCACCACATTCTCCCATTATTAATTTTTGGTGCTTCTAGTTGGAGGCACTAGACCTTTCTAGTGGAGGACTAACTTGGAGGACTAGACCCGCGCCTTTGTTTCTGGGTCATGCAATGCTAGAAGCATCTCCTGAAGCTTTCAAAGCTCTTCTTGGTAAGATGAGGCTCTCCAGGCCCTTGCCCTCCCTGCAGTTCTACAAGCCCCCTCTCCTGGTGGCCAATCACATCCTGCAGGGACCAGACAGTCACGAGTGTCATAGGACCCTGGGCCTTGGGTCTCTGAGCTCATGTTCCATCACTCCACTCAGTCTTTTCTCTCGTGTTCTGTCTCCCATCCCAGGCTCTGCCACAGGCCCCTGCAAGGAGAGGGAGTATCAGCCTGGTCAGAAATCCTGTGGCTTTCCTGGGGACATTCTGCTTCTTGGGGTCTTATGGCCCAAGGATTTCTAATGTTGCCTCCCCACTCCTTCTGCATCATCACTTTGAAATAGAAATGAAGGTCTCCAGTGGGCTTGCTCTTCTTTTGAAATTATCTGGCTTCATTATGTCATTAGAAAAAGAGAGAACCAAAACACCCCAAAGACTGACAGGCAGTTTGACAAGTGTCAGCAGTCAAAGTCTGAATCCGTCCTCTGAGTTTGCAATCACTTAGCTCCCCCCCCTTTACCTTTAAAATAAGAACAATGGGGTCTTTTGTGGGGTTTGTTGCTTCTGCTGGGCCCTTCTGAGTCACTGCATATTTTTATGCGTTCAGTAATATAGTGTGAGTCATTCTCCAGCTTGGGGGTATTTTGGGACTTGTGGTGTTTTACTTACAATTGCAGAAAAAAATCAAATATTACAGAGGTGATAAAAAATACAGCAAATTCATATGACCCAGCTCAGTGTGCATAAAATTCCAGGACGGGAAAGAGAGCCACGGCATGAGGTCATTGCCAAGGGTTCTTTGGGGAATGTGGTTAAGGTACAACCCATTTTTTTTGCTGAAGTCAAATAAGGGGGTGATTTTAACATTCCTAAGAAATCTTCTTAGGCCAAAGGTTGAAGGTGCCAGTCTTCATCCCATTCGCAAGAGTCCAAAGAGGGGAGGAAGTTCCTCCCTCAACGAGAGCTGTTTATTCCAGATTTTCTAGTTTCTAGACTGGGGTGTTGGCTGTGGGAAGGGGGTTGGATGGAAGCAGGGATGGAGAGGATGGTGCTGAAGCTGTTTCCCCAAATGCGCCATGGCTTCAGCTCATCCGGCTCTGACAGAGCCCCCATCTCAAGAAGCTGGGGGTGACAGTGGCTGAGTCAGGCTGGTGAAAGGGCTGAGGCGGGTGCATTTGCCTTGAGAAACTTTAGGGAGAGATGAAGGAATGCTGAGTGTCCCCAAGGGGATTCTGTCATAATGGAGAAACCGAGTCACAGTTGAGCAGCTCCTTACAGGTGATGTGTCATGGAACCAGGCACTAAAGCAGGGATGAATATCACTTTTCCCCCACCAGAATGTCCCCCTTACTGCTCTGTTCCCTCTATTATACCACACACCTTGGACGAGCCACTTCCCTACTGTGGGCATTGGTTTCCCCATCTGTAACAGTGAACTAGATGATTGACAAGGCTGACCCAGCTGGATGCTCTGCTTTTCTGACATGATCTAGGCTGCTGAGACTAGAACCCTTGTTCCTCCGGGAGCCCAAGTGTGCAGGGCACCGAGGCAGGTCCTAGGGAGTGAGGTGTGGCCCAGGTATTGGGGTTGCAGCATTAATTGCATTCTGAGCACATGTCTACCTCTCAGAGCTGCGGGGCCTGTCTCTTTCTATTAGTTTAACAAGCCCTGGTATTAATGAGATTGCTCTATAATTGAACCTTTTCACGGGTCCCTCGGTAATGAAATTATGCTAATTTGCATTCAGCACCACCAGGCATCCATCACGCGGGACCAGCCGGGAGCGGCCGGTGAGGCGGCGTGAATGCGCCGCTAATTATCACCGAAATGAACAAACCCAGCAGTATTATTATTTCATCTTCTGCCCCATCCCTTCCTCACTACCCGCCTCCCCCACCCCATCTATATTTTTGTCTTTTCATTCACATGACTGCCGGGGCAGGGGTGGGAGAGGGTGGGAGAGGGTGCCGGGGAGGATGCCGCCTCTCCACTGTGTGGCAGCATGGACCAGGGAACAGCACAGGCCCAGGACTGCCCGCGGGCTCCGTGGGTGCAGGCGTGGGGCATGTGTGCACGTGTGTGCAAGAACCCATGCTGCTTCTCAGCCCGTGTGCAGCGTGTGCTGGTGTCTGGGTGTGCAAACCAACTGCATTTATTCGTGAGGCTGGGTATGTCAGAGTGTGAACCTAACCTTGGGTGTATGTCTGTGCTGTTGCGATGCAGGCATGCTTCTGTCTGGGCAGGTCTGTCTGCTTGTGTGGGAGTGTGTGTGTGTCCTTGTGAAAGCGGTGTGTGTGTCACTGTCCTGGCTGGGGGTCACAGTGTGTGTCTCTGCTGAGGGCCTGAGTGCGTGTGTGTGTGTGTTTTTGCCAGTGTGCATATCTGTTTTAGTGGGAATCTCAGCAAATATCTGTGCTTGTGTCATTGTGTGTGAGTGTGCGGTATAGACGTTAGTACATTTGTGCATGGGGCCTGGCACATCAGTGTGTGTTATAAGGTGTGTGTTTGGGATGACTGGTGTGGTGTCTGTGTTGGTGTGAGTAGGTTCTCAGTGTGTGTCTCTATGTGCCTATGTCAGTGTTTAGATGGTGTGAATATGTGTGTGAGCATCTGGCCTTGTGTTTGGGAACATCCACTTACCTGGCCTCGGAATGGTGTCTGGGAAACCCAATGGCCTGGGAATGGTGGCTCACTGAAATGGCTACACCCATAATGGCTCTTGGTGAAGGGACAGGGCCACCATGACAAGGGGGCAACTACAGTGCCCTCCTTCCCATTCGCTGAGCCCCAAGGAATCCTCCTGGTCTCTCAGGTGAACAAAGAATAGTTCAGATTGATTTTCTGGCCAGGCCTGCTGGATGGAGGCTTGGAGGAGAAATTTTATTTGATTCAGAGAAAATATTTTGATATTCCTTTTTAACCTGAGTATGTGCAGTAAGATTCACTCTGGCTTCGTTGGGTAAACATTTCTTGGGTGCCCCTCTGTGCCAGGCCTGCTGGGTGCTTGGGGCCAATGGACTGGGAGGGAAAGAGGCCACTGAAATCCTCTCCGGTGTCTATTAGGGCAGAGGCGAAGCTCCTAATAAGAACGTGTCCTGGTTCTGCTAGCAACCAGGTATTGACTTTGGGCGAGACTCTCTCCCTTCTCAGAGACTCAGTTTTCCTGGCTATAAAATGGGAGTTGGAGACACATTGGCTAAGATGAATTCTAAGATCCCTTCTAGCAATGGAATGCCATGGCTCTGAGAGTTGTACTTGGGGAGCTGCTTTTACTGTGTGGTGAATAAAAGTCTGGACTTTGGAGACAGTCAGCTCTGAGCTTGAGCAAGTTAATTAATTTTTCTGATTCTCCATTTCCTTTCCACAAAACATTTATAATAATATATGTTATTATATGTTTGTGTTGTGGCTAAATCAATAATGTGCTGGTAAATGTATAACAACCAGCTTGATAAAAAAGTTGCATGTATATATGTAAGTTAATTATAAAACTTACTGATACAAAGGAATGTAATACAGAATTTACAAATAATAAAGTATACAGTTCTTTTTATGATAAATTCCATATGGCCAGTTGATTCTCCAAGAATTCTTTTGTTGATTTTTGTCAAACTCTCCTATTCATAGACAACCTACAGTTGCAATTGACAAATGAGTATAGTTCTGACATGAATATTTGTTGGTATTTTTGTTTTTTTTTTTAAATGAGGAAGATATAAGTGAAACAACTAAAATATCTATCAAAAATTTAATTTTTTGTCATCAGCATAAGAGACTTCTTGTTGAATTGATGATTAATATCATTTTCTTTCTTTTCTTTTTTTTTGTTTTTCCAGAGACACAGCCTTGCTCTGTTGCCCAAGCTGGGGTACAGTGGTATGATCATAGCTCACTGCCACCTTGAACTCCTGAGATCAAGCGATCCTCCTGCCTCGGCTTCCAACTAGCTAGAACTACACACTTGTCACCCCATATGGCTAATTTTTAATTTTTTTTTTAAGAGCCGGGGTCTTGTTATGTTGCCCAGGCTGGTCTTGAGCTCCTGGTCTCAAGTGATTCTCCTGCTTCAGCCTCCCAAAGTGCTGGGATTATAGGTGTGAACCACTGCTCCTAGCTTTCATCAGTTTCTTGAAGTCCAGATCATCCATAAAACAATAAATCAAGCCCTGCTTTGTGGTGTTTGCTGATTTCCACGGTGTAAAGACTTCTACTATGGCCAGTTTAAAACAACATGATGTCACTAACCCTGAAGTGGGGAAGAGATGCACAGGAGCACACAAGCACATACTATTTTCACTATAAAGTTACAATAGATATAAATAACCCCAAGAGCACGGATCATAGGAGAATAATTAGAAAGTGATGATTTTTAAGAATTACTAACTTTTGTTTTTAATATAATTTATTTGATTGTAAATTTATATGATTTGATTTTTAATGGTAGATGTATTTAACAACCCACTGACACTTTTTTTTTTTTGGAAAATTGAACTATTGACCTTTGCAAGCTGGTATGAACGACCTCCAGCATAGACACTGAATGGGATAAAATAATGCAAGACCTAATACATTTTAGTTACTCAAAATAATTTAGCTATTATTGTTAGTAGTAGTAGTAGTGATAGTGATACTACATAAGTAGTATTTTAACACTACTTCTTACCCACTAAGAGATATCTGCCCTGTAACATGTTGATTTAGTCACAAATTGTGACTAATTTTCTTCATTTGTGAAATGGAGTTCACAATCCTGTCTCTATTTCCTAGAAGTCTCAGTGAAATGTATGGAAACACTTTGGGAATGCTATGTGTCTGGAAACTGGGTAGGGCCAGGTAAAGCCACAGAGACAGCAGCAAGTATAGGCAGCTTATACTTGTGATGTGTGTGTGTATGTGTGTACAAATACTTTTAAGATATTGAGATAAAATGTCAAACACTGGAGTGCACACATCTGAAGTCTACAATTTGGGCTTTGACAAGTGTGTGACTGATAACATTTCCATCACTGTAGGGGGTTCCCTAATGCCCTTTTCCAGTTCAGTCCTTCCACTCCCACCATAGGCTATGAATGTTCTTATTTTTGTCAACATAGATCCATTTTGTCTGTTTTTGAACTTAATATACAATCATCCATCATTTAACAACGGAGAATTGCTCTGAGCAATACATTGGTAGGTGATTTTGTTATTGCGTGAACATTACAGAGTGTACTTACACAAACCTGTATGGTATAGCCTACTACATACACACCTAGGCTATCTGGTATAGCCTATTGCTTCTAGGTTACAAACATGTAGTGCACGTATACTGTACTGAATGCCACAGGCAATTGTAACATAGTGGTATTTGTGCATCCAAACATAGCTAAATATAGGAAAGGTACAGTGAAAATATGAAATAATCTTACGAAACCATCATCATTGACTGAGACATCATTATACAGTGCATGACTGTAAATGCAGTCATACATGTGTAATCTTTTATGTCTGGCTTAGTTTGCCCAACATTATGTTATTGAATCCATCCATATTTAGCATGTATCAGTAGTTCTTTAGTTTTGCTTGCTGAGTATCCCACTTGTAATTCACTTATTAATGGACATTGGGGTGGTTTCCAGTTTGGGGCTATTATAACTAAAATTTCTATGAGCATTCTTACACATGTATTTGGGGGACCACATATATTTTCATCTCCTTTGGGTAAATACTACCTACGAGTAGAATTGCTTGGTCATTGGTAAGATTTACTTCAGACACCTACCTAGGGTGGTTGTACTAATTTATATACCCACTATCAATGTGTGGGACTTCTGGCTGCTCCAGATTTCTGCCAATATTTAGTGTTGTCAGTGTTTTTAATTTTAGTTATTATCGTGGGTGTGTAGAAGTATCTCATGTGGTTATAATTTGTATTTCCTTGAAGACCAATAACATTGAGCAATTTTTTGCAAGTGTATTCTATGACATTTACATATGTTCCTTCATTAAGTGCCTATTCAAATTTGTGCTTATTGTTTATTGAATTGTTAATATCTGTTATTATTGAGTTGTAGGACTTCCTTATATATCATAATTTTTAGCCTTTCATCAAGGATTTGTTTTGCAAATATTTTCTCCCAGACCATGGCTTGCCTATTAATATTATTAACAAGACCTTTTGATGACCATTTAAAAAAGTTGATGGATTCTAAGTTATTATTTTTTCTCTATTGTTATTGTTGTTTATATCTTATCTAATGAATTTTTGCCTACCCCCCAGGTAGTGAAGATAGTCTTCTGTGCTTTTTTTCTACATTTTTATAGTTTTAGCTTTTACATTTAAGTCTATGATCTATCTCAATTTGTGTACGGTGTGAGGTAGGGGTTAAAGTTCCCTTTCCACCTTCTATTTATACAGTTGTTTCAGCACTATTTGTTGAGAAAACTTCTTTCTTTAAGTTGCCTGGATGACTTTCTTGAGAATCAAATGATTGTATATGTGTGAATCTTCTTCTGGTCTCTCTATTCTATTCTATTGATCAATTTTTCTATACTTTTCATTACTATACTATTTTGGTTATTATGGCTTTATAGGAAATCTTGAAATCAAATCATATGAATGCTTCAATTTTGTCTTTTTTCTCTCTCAAAATTGTTTTGGCTATTCAAGCTCCTTTGAATTTTGATGTAAATTTAGGAATCAACTTGTAAATCTATACAAAAATAAACTTTCTGGGATTTTGATTGAGACTGTCTTGAATATTTATATTAATTCTGGGACAATGGACATCTTAACAACATTGAGCTTTCAATCTATGAACATGGTATATCTATTTATTGAGGCCTGATTTCATTCCCCACAGCAAAGTTTTTTAGTTTTTGGTGTGGAGTTTTGTTCATATGTTGTTACATTTATTCCTTATTATGTTTTATATATTATGGCAATGGTATAATTTTTAAATTTATTTACAATAGTAGTATTTTATTTACTATTATATACAAATATAATTGTTTTTTGTATATTAACCTTGTTTCCTGCAATCTTATTCAATCCACCTCTTAGTTTGAATAGTATTTTTGGTAGGTTGCTTAGGATTTTTCTATCTAAACAATCATTGTCTAAGGCAGCTCAGGCTGTCAAAACAAAATACCATAAACTGGGTGGCTCAAACAACAGACATTGGCTGGGTGCCATGGCTCAGGCCTGTAAGGCCAGCACTTTGGGAGGCCAAGGTGAGTGGATCACCTGAGGTCAGGAGTTCAAGGCTAGCCTGGTCAACATGTTGAAACCCTGTCTCTACTAAAAATGCAAAAATTAGCCAGGCATGGTGGTGCACCTCTATAATCCCAGCTACTCAAGAAGCTGAGTGGGAGAATTGCTTGAACCTGGCAGGCAGAGGTTGCAGTGAGCCAAGATGGTGCCACTGCCTTCCAGCCTGGGCAACAGAGCAAGACTCCGTCAAACAAAAACAAAAACAAAAACAAGAAAACCTAGACATTTATTTCTCAGTTCTGGAGGCTGGTAACTGTATCACCAGATTTGGTTCTTGGTGAGGGCCCTCTTTCTGGCTTGCAAATGACTACCTTCTCTTTGTAGCTTCACATGGCAGAGAGAGGACACTGATATTTCTTCCTCTAAGAAGTGGTGGCAGTACTTATATGGGTACTAATCCCATCATAAGGGCTTCACCGTCCTGAGCTCATCTAAATCTAATTACCTCACAAAAGTCTCACCTCCTAATACTATCACATTGGGGGGTTGAAGCTTCAACATAGCCTCCTCCTCCTGAGGAGGAGACATAAATATTTAGTCAATAATAATAATGTAATCTAGAAATAAATGTAACTATTTCTTCTTGATATTTATGGCTTTCAATTAGTTTTCCTCTTCTTTAAAAAAAAATGTTTTTTAAGCCTACAGCACCCGGTATTCCCTTGAAGTCTCCCATCCAAGCACTAACCAGGCCTGACCCTGCTTAGGTTCATAAGATCAGATGAGATAGGGCATATTCATGGTGATATGGCTAATACACACACACACACACACACACACACACACACACACACACGATATTTTAGGACGAAAGATGTTGCTAAATAAATTCTTTTTCTTACCTCCATTGCACTGACAAAAATCCCCAATACATACTGAATAGAAATACTTAGAAGAGACATACTTGCCTTGTTCTCGATCTCTGCAAGGAAGTATTAAATATTTTGTCATAAGTATGATCCTTATTGTAGGTTTGTTTGTTTTTAGTTTCCTTTTATTACGTAGAGGAAAGTTTTCTTCTATTTCTAGTTTCTTGCTAGCTTTTGAGTGGGTGTTAAATTTGTTAAATGATTTTTATGAATCTATTAAGATGATCATATAGTTTTTCCTCTATTTTGTTAATGTGGTAAATTACATGGCTTGCCTTTCAAATATAAAATGAATCTTGCATGCAGAAATACATTTCATTTTGTTGACATAATGTATTATCCTTTTTATATATTGCTGTATTCTATTTGTTAATATTTTGTTAATGATTTGAACTTATGGATACGAGGGAGATTGTACATATTGTGCAATTTTCTTTTATTATAATATTGGCATCTAGATTTTTTGTGGTATCTTATCTTTTTATTGTGGTAAAATGAACATAACATAAAATTCACCATTTTAACTATCTTAAAGTGTACAATTCAGTGGCATTTAGAATTTGCATAATGTTTTGCAACCATCACCATGATCTAGTTCAAGATCATTTTCACCAACCCCAAAGAAAATCCTATATAACAACTCCTAATCCTTTTCTGCCTTTTGTCCTGTAGCAACCAGTAATATGTTTTCTGAACCTATGGATCTGTCTTTATATCCTAGATATTTCATACAAATGAATTATACAGTATATGGCTTTTGTGCCTAGTTCTCTCACTTAGCATCATAATGTTTAAGACATGTATCAATGTTGTAACTTGTATCAGGACTATATTACCTTTTGTGGTTGAGTAATATCCCATTATATGAATATCCCATATTTTGTTTATTTATTCATCAATTGATGAACATTTGGGTATTTTTACCTTTTGTCTATTGTGAATATTGCTACTATGAACATTTGTGTACAAGCTTTTGTTTGAAAACCTATTTCCAATTCTCTTGGGTATACACCTAGGAGTGGACGGGCTGGGTCAGACGGTAATTCGATGCTTAACTTATTGAAGAACTGCCAAACTGCTTTCCAAAGTGGCTGCACCATTTTACATTTCCACCAGCAGTTCATGAGGGCTTCACATTCTCCACATTCTCACCAAAACTTGTTATTTTCCATTTGTTTTATTATAGCCAACCTAGGGATAACTCATTGTAGTTTTGATTTGCATTTTGTTTATGATTAATGCCATTGAACATTATTTCATGTGCTTCTTGGGATTTTCTATATCTTCCTAAGAAAATGATTATTCAAGTCCTTTTCCCACATTTTGATTGAATTGTCTTTTGCTTGTTGAGTTATAAGATAATACATATTAGATACTATACTTAGCAGATATATTATTTGCAAATATTTTCTTTAATTTTTAAGATTTTTTATCGCTCTCTTGATAGTGTTCTTTGATGCAGAAAAGTTTCTAATTTTGATTAATTCCAATTTATCCATTTTTTTCTTTTGTTGCTTGTGTTTTCGGTATTATATCTAAAAAGCCATTGCCAAATTCAAAGTCATGAAGACTTAGCCTTACGTTTTCTTCTGAGAGTATTATTGTTTTAGCTTTTACATTTAGGTCTTTGATCTATTTTGAGGTAATTTTTGTATAACGTGTGAAGCAAGGGTCCAACTGAATTCTTTTGCTTGCAGATATGCAGTCATTCAGCATACTTGTTGAAAACTCTATGCTTTTTCCCATCGAATGATCTTGGTTGGCACCCTTGTCAAAACAATTGACCATAGATGTAGTGGTTTTATTTTCATGTTTTGATTATAGACCATTCTCAATTCTATTCTATTGACCTATACATGTATCCTATGGCAGTACCACTCTATTTTGATCTATGACTTTGTGGTGAGTTTTGAAAACAGGAAACATGAATATTACAAATGTATTATTCTTTTTCAGGATTTTCTGGTTATTCGGGGTTCCTTGCAATTCCACATGAATTTTAAGTCAGGTTTTTCGTTTTTTGCATAAAAGGCCATTGGGGTTTTGATAGGGATTGCATTGAATCTGTAGATTACTTTGGGTAATATTGACATTTTAACTATTTTAACTCTTCAAATCTATAAACACAAGATGTTTTTTCATTTATTTAGGGCTTCTTTTATTTTTCAGCAGTGTTTTATAGTTTTTAGTGTCAGTCTTGCATCTCCTTGGTTAAATTTATTACTAGGTATTCTTTTTCATACTATTAAAAATGGAATTGTTTCTTTTTTCTTTCTTTTCTTTTTTCTTTTTTTTTTTTTGAGATAGAGTCTCACTCTGTTGCCCAGGCTGGGGCGCAGTGGCAAAATCTCGGCTCACTGCAACCTCCACCTCCCAGGTTCATGCAATTCTTCTGCCTCTGTCTCCCTGGTAGCTGGGACCACAGGCGTGTGCCACCACTCCTGGCTAATTTTTTGTATATTTAGTAGAGAGAGGTTTCACTGTATTAGCCAGGATGGTCTCCATCTCCTTACCTCGTGATCCACCTGCCTTGGCCTCTCAAAGTGCTGGGATTACAGGTGTGAGCCACTGCCCCCCACTGGAATTGTTTCTTAACTTTACATATTATTCATTGCTAGTGTATAGAAATACCACTTATTTTTGTGTGTTGATCTTGTATACTACAACTTTGCTGAATTTATTAGCTTCACTTGATTATTTTTGTAGATTCTTTCGAGTTCTCTATACGTAAGATCATGTCATTTGTGAACAGAGTTAGTTTTACTCCTTTCCAATTTTGGTGACTTCATTTCTTTTTCTTGCCTAATTACTCTGGCTAGAACTATTTCAATTTTGAATATAAGTGAGGAAAACAAGAATCTTTGTCTTGTTCTTGATCTTAGGGAGACAGCTATTAATTTTTCACCTTTGACTATGATATAAGCTGTGGGTTTTTCATAGATGCCCCTTAACTGGTTGAAAAGCTTCCCTTCTTTTCCTAGTTGTATTATGAAAGGATGTTGGATTATGTCAAATACTTTTTCTGTATAAGTTGAGATGATTGTGTGGGTTTTTTTTGCCCCTTCATTCTGTTAATGTGGTATATTACATTGATTTTCATATATTGAGCCACTCTTTCATTCCAGGAATAAATATCACTTGGTCCAAATCCAAATATGCTGTTGGATTTACATATATATTCATAAGGTATATTACCTGAAGCTTTCTTTTCTTGTGATATTTTTATCTAGATTTGGTGTCAGGGAAATGCTGACCCCATAGAATAAGTAAGAAATGCTTCCTCCTTTTCAAATTTCTGGAAGAATTTGAGAAGGACTGGTATTGATTCTTCCTTTAATGTTTGCTAGAATTTACCAGTGGGTATGTCTGGTTCTAGGCTTTTCTTTTTTGGGAGATTTTGATTAACTGATTTCATCTCTTTACTTGTTATAGGTCTGTTGAGATTTCTATTTCTTCTTGAGTCAGTTTAGGTAATTTGTATCCTTCTAGGAATTTGTCCATTTAATCTGGGTTACATGTTTGGCATGTAATTGTTTACTTAATCTCTTTTTAATTCCTTTATTTCCCAGTAAGGTCAGTAACAATTCCCTTATTTTCATTCCTGTGATTTCTTCTTTGATTCATGGGTTATTCAGAAGTGTGTTGTACAATTTCCAAATGTTTGGGGATTATTAAAGTATCTTATTGTTATTGATTGCTAAATTAATTTCATTGTTGTCAGAGATTATACTCTGTAAAATTTCAATCATTTGAAATTGATTGGATTTATTTTCTGGCCAAATATATAGTCTATTTTGGTAACTGTGTCATGTGCACCCACAAAAGATGTTTATTATGCAGTTGTTGGGTGTAATGTTTTCATGAATTTCTAGTAAATCAAATTGGTTGATATTATTTTTCACATACTCTTATATTTTGTCTAACTAGTATGAGAAGCATTTTATAATAAGTTACTATGATTGTGGATTTGTCTATTTTTTCCTAGTTATGTCAGCTTTTGTTTCATGTATTTTAAAATTTATTTTTAGGCTTATAGGCATTTATAATTGTCATATCTTTCTAATGAATTCCCCTTTTGTAATTATGAAATGTGCTCACTTATTTCTAGAAATACTCTGTCTTAAAGTCTATTTTTCTGATAATATAGCTACAGCAGCTTTCTTATGTTTATTGTTTGCGTAGTATATCTTTTTTCTCTTTCCTTTTAATTGTTGTCTTAATATTTAAAATATTTCTTTTGTAGGAATAGAGTTGGTCTTGTTTGTGTGATTCAGAATGACAACAGCTGCCTTTTAACTGGAGTGTTTAAAGCATTTACACTTAATGTAATTATTGCTATGACTGGGTTTAAACCTATGATCTTATATTTGTTTTCTATTTCACTGACTTTTTACTTCTGCCTTCCCTGTCTGCTTCATTTTGGGCATACAGCATACTTTTATATTCTATGTCGTTTTATTTTATTTATTCTCTTTTTAGCTCTATCTCTTTCTATTTTTAGCTATCCTCCTCATCATAGCCTACTTAGAATTAATACTCTATAAATTCACTTAAAATTTAAGTGAAATTTTAACTTTAATTTTAATTTTAACTACGACTTCACTTTAAATTTAAGTGAAACCCTGTAACACTACAATTCCATTTATCTTTAATGTTCTTTCTGTTTTCACATATACTATTTCTATATATGTTGTAATTCCACAAAACAATGCTATTATTTTTGTTTTAAATAGTCAGTTGTCTGTTACAAAACTGAAGAGAGGAAAAGATAATCATTTATGCTTAGCCACTTATTTATTATTTCCAGTGCTCTTTATTTTTTCCTCAATAACTGAATTTCCATCTGATTTAATTACCCCCAAGCCTAAATTACTTTTGAAAGCATTTGTGTTTGTGTTTGTGTGTGTGTGTGTGTGTGTTTGTGTGTGTGTTGAAAGTCTGTTGACAAGGAATTCTCTCAGCTTTTGTTTATCTGCAAATGTCTATTTCACCCTTATTTTGAGCAACATTTTTGCTAGATATACAATTCTGAATACATATATATATATGTGTGTGTGTGTGTGTGTGTATATATATATTTCTTTCACCATCTTAAAATATGTCCTTTAAAAACATTTATTGTATTTACTCTTGGGGTCTGCTGAGATCTTGGATCTTTCAGCTGATGCTTTTCATGAAATTTGGGAAATAATCTTTTAAACATTTTTCCTGTCCTATTCTCTCTCATCACTCTGGGACCCCAATAGCATGTGTCTAACTATTCAGTAAACTATTTAATATTATCCCACAGGTGATGGGGCTCTGTTAATTTTTTAAGTGTTTTCTTTCTGTTCTTCAAATTGGATATTTTCACTGATCTAGCCTCAAGTTCATTGGCTTTTTCTACAATATCTAATATGATTCTAAATATTCACTAATTTTAGTGAATATTTCATTTCATTATATTATGTTTCTTAGTTCTAGAATTTCATTTTGTTCCTTTGTAGTTTGTATTTGAGTCCTTATTTTTCATTCATCATGTCCATGTTTTTGTTTAAATTGTTAAACATATTTATAATAGCTGTTTTCAAGTCCTTGGATGTTAATTCCAACTTCTGAACCTCTCAAGGTTGTCTGTTTTTTTGTTGATTTTGGGTCACTTTTGCCTACATTTTTGCATGTGTAGTAATTTTTATTGTGTTCTGAATATTCTGAATTTTGTTGTCATCCTTTAAATGATGTTGATTTTGTTATGGAAGGCAGTTGAACTACTGGTGGAGTCTTTTGATTCTGTTGGACTGAATTTTATTTTTTGTTAGAGTACATCTATTTAGGTTTTGTCCTTAGTGTTAGGACATGGTTCTTTCTCTAAGATGTGGTCCTTACCTTTTATGCATAGACTTTCTGATTTCTCAGCTGAATGGCTGAGGTGCTCAGTGAGGGTTTCTTCATTCTGGCTGGGCCAGAACCCCCTACACTTTGTAGCCTCTGGTATCACCATTCAGCGCTCAGCCTTCAGCAGCAGCTGTCAACTAGGCTTGCAGAGGCTCACTGTGTATATCCATAGCACATCTATTGGTCAAGGATCTTCAGGGAGTGTGTCCCAAAAGAAACTTCAGGGTCTTATTGTTAACACATCCCCCCATACTCTAATGTCCTGGCTTGAAAACCCGGAGTCATTCAGGCTGGTGAAATGCCCAAGGGAAGAACTTGGGAAAGGGAAAAGTCTTCTACAGAGTGCTTCCTACCACTTTCCAGCTATGTGAACAGGACAACTTGCCTAATTTCCCCATGACTCAGTTTAATCACTTGCAAAATGAGGATAATAGTAGTACCCAACTGATAGGGTCATATTGAAAGCTAAATGAGATAATACACGTGTGATGCTTAGAACAGGGTCTAGCACATAGTAGGTGCTGTCTAGGAATTATCTGCTATTTTTCTTCCTGGCTCTGCAGAGCTTGTCTGTAGCTCATGCAAGTAGTGGCAGCATTTGAAAGATGAAGCTTCATGGTAAGAGAAGCTCATTCTGTATCCTTGTGCTGAGCAGCATTAGAAGCTTTCTGGGGCATTTATAGGCTAGGAAGTTGTCTTAGTTCATTTGTGCTGTTATTACAGAATACATAAGACAGTGTTTTGCCCAGCATACCCAAGAGAATGCTGGATTTGTGCACAATTGTAACAAAAATTGCCATTTACTGGGCATTTGACATGGGCCAGGAACCTTGCTGACGACTTCTGTGCATTACCTCCAGTCCTTAAAGCATTTCTGTAGGTGGCTTTCATGAGCCTGTGTGGGTGTGTGTGTGTGCACGTGTGCGTGCGTGTGTGTGTTGCTATTTAATCTTTTCATTTCCAGCATACAGTTCCCTGTTAATTCCTTTGGGCAAAGAGCATTTAGCTGACTTCTTCTGATTTTTATTCTGCAGCACTGGGGACAGGCCTGCACATATAGGAGTAGACACAAATATTATTTGGAAGAGAAAAGTGGACCCAAACAGCCTTGGTTACCCTCACACTTCAGCATTCTCAGCGTGCCAAGCTCCAGATTAATCCTAGTCTGAAGGAAACTTAGGACCAGAGGTCCTTGGAGGCCACCGTGTATAATGCTTTCATTTTAGAAAATGGGGAAACTGAGGCCCAGAGGGGGGAAGCCTTGTACTAGGCCGAGCAGAATCGTAAATGCTTTCAATGTTCAGATGTCGGGGCATATAGAACAGGGCTTCTCACGCTTGGCTGCATTTTAGGATCATCTGGGAGAATTTAAAAAACCCTGATATCCAGGTCACAGCACAGACCAAAGAAAACAACTTCTGGAGTGAAACCTGGTCATCAACAGTTTTAAAATCTGCCCAGGTGATTCCAATGTGGGGCCAACTTTGAGAACCAGGGCTTTAGAGAGCACAGGCACCAGCAGTTTCCAATCTGTCTCCCAGGAAACCCAGTGGTTTGCAGAGTTATTTCAGAGGGTGCTGGCAGATAGGATAAGGACAGGGAGTCTCCAGACCTTCTTGTTTTGCCTTAATCAAAGGCTCTGCTTGCATCTGTTTTGTTTATTGCTCCCTTATAAAGTATCACTTGATACTTTACAAAGTGGCCCCTGCAATGCATCCCTAGGTCCATTCCTCCAACTTTGCAGATGGAGGAAGAGGTGACCTGTTCAACACCACATCAAGACCCTGAGAGAACCAGGACTTAGACCCCATCTCCTGACTCTCGGCCCGAGTTCTTCAGCCACCCTCTGATCCCAAATTCTTTTCTTTTGAAATGATGCAAGTCCTGCAAGTTCCCCCCCAAAGCATCCACATGTTCCCTCTTAATCCCGCTGGCATATCCACGCTCTCCTGTGGACCAAATTGTTTGTTTTGGGTTCTGCAGATTAATCAAGGATAGCTGGTGGTCATGGGGCATTTTGGATATAGAGATTATGTAGGAGGCTGTGAGTTGGGGGGGGTAGCAACTGACATCTAATTAGCCTTCATTTTAAGTCTCGATGCAGCAATTATGACTTCTGAATAGCAGTGGTTGTTACTGAGGATGGTCGCTTAAGCAGTGCACATAATTATTATAATTACTGTGTACCTAATGATGCCTAATAAGGAGCAACATTGCACAGAGGCGCGGTTGTTGCTCAGCCTGGTGGTCTGGGCTCTGGAGGGGGAGCAGCCGGGGTTCCGATGCTTGTGTGGGACTGTTTTGTAGGGACACCAGGCTGCCTGTTGGAGACTAGGGGCTGCAGAGTGCACAGGAAGGGAAAGCTCCCAGAGTGCACAGGAAGGGAAAGCTGTGCTGGCATCAGCTCAGAGGCAATGAGTGTGGAAGTTGCTAAGCTGGAGCTGTCCTCCTTCAACCATTGACTTCTAGGTTTTGCTTAGATCCATGCTAATTCCAGGGCTTATGGGAACTCTGCTTGGGGAAGGCACAAATGGATAGCCTTCATGGATGGAGTGTGTGTGTGTGTGTGTGTATGTGTGCATGTATTAATGAAAAATAACCACAAATCTTTATAGAGGGTGCACTACGTGCAAAGCGCTTTACATTTGCTATCTCATTTAATTTTTACAACAACCCCATTTCACAAAGGGGGTAATTGGGGTCCAAGAATAAACACAGCTAGCATTTATTAAACACTTGAATATCTGCCAGGCGCTGTACATACATGATTTCACCTGATTCCCACAACAATGCCATGAGATAGAAATTATTATCATTGCTTTCTTATTTATTCCTGTCCTACAGACGAGAAGCTGAGACACAGAGAGTGAAGACTTCCAAGGTCATTCAGCTGATACGTGGCAGAGCCAAGATTTAAATCCAAGCAGCTGAACCTTCCTTCCCTCCCTAACCAATACTGTATTTATTAACTAGCATATGCCAGGCACAGGCCAAAGCAGATTACATTCTAGTTTAGGGACACCAAACAAAATCAGATAAGCAAATAAATACATATTATCAATTATAGCAGGATATATAGCAGGATAGCAGGATGAGGAGGTGGACAGGAAGAGAGATGAGAGGAGGGTCTATTGTAAGGAGGATATACAGTGAAGAACTCAATAATCACGTGACATTTGAACAGAGGCTTGAATGTAGTGAGAGGAACAGCTGCGTATTAGGTTGGTGCAAAAGTTGGAGCCTGATCCTCTAAGGCCTTCTAGAACAGGATAATCTCTTGGTATTTTATTCCAAATGTATTGGGAAGCCCTAGGAGGGTATTGAGCAGGACGTTGTGTCTCAGAAGATGGCATGAGAATATTCCCAATGATCTGGCTAAAAATCTGGTGTAGCTCACCCCATCAGTGCCCCGCCCATATCCCCTGGGCACTCACCTTTAGACCTGAAGGCTGCTTACTGCAAAGTCCAGCAGCTCTGCACAGTGCGACAGAGGGGGACCCAGCTCCTTAGCCGCTCAGGTCTGAGATGGCTGCTCCACTCTGTCTCCCCAAAGTTCTCAGCAGGAGTAAGCTGCTCCCCACATGGAAGTCCTGTGCCTTCTCCATGGACAGAGCGCTTCCGCAACGTTTGCAGAGCTTGTCCTTCTCTCACCTCCACCTGCCCCTGGCTTTGGGCACCCATCAGGCAAGCGTGCTGCTCCCTCAAGACCTTTCCTCCCCTGCTCACCCCCATCTATTTGGCCCAAACACTGTTCTAATTTCCAGTTCCTTGAAGAGAGGTTCTGATTGGCTCATCTCGCTTGGAAGGCCCCACCCCTTCTGCACAGTCCAATCAATGGCGCTGGGGGTGGAGCCTGGTGGTAGAAAGGGGCCTCTTCTGCGCTGTTGTTGGGGCCGACACTCAGAGGAGGCGGGGCCAGGGTTTCATCAGGTTCTGGGGTTCCGGGACCCCCATTTGCCCAGTTTACAAACTCCCCATCTGGTACTTTCACTGCGCCTGGCACAGAATGAGTGCTTAATACAAACCATAATTCAGATAATCCGAGTTCCTGCCTCTACTTCTCCATCTACCAGCTGGGTGACTTTGGGTAAATCGCCTGGGATCTCTGTCAGTTTCCTCTTACGTTAAGTGGGAACAAGGACTATACCCCTGAGGTTGGCAGGTGGAGGCATCTCATCAGGGATGTGAATCAGCATGAGCTCTCATGTACTAGGCATCTAGGAGAAGATGCTGATATTCATGTTGGGCTAATTATAACCATTAGTACTAGGGACTACCGCCCCCGACCTAGGACAGCTCTGGAGCTGCCCTTTTTCTCCCCGCCCCCATCCACGCCCCTCCCCAATCCATGCTCTGCGCTGCTGTGCTGGGACCTTGCCTTCCAGTTAATAGGGGTATTGTCCCCGCCCTGCGGGAACAAGGCGAGCTCAGCTGGCCTTAGTCACAGGTCAATTGCTTCATACAAATCCGCAGGGATCCGCGGATGCTGTGACAAGGGGCGGGCGAGGGAGGGCTCCGCGTCAGGGGCAGACAGCTCCAGGTGCTGGAGGCTGCCGCGCGGAGAGGTCCGCCCAGCCAGGATGTGCGTTGTCCTGAGAATCGAATTACCCGGAACCCCAGAGCTCACCCTCTCTGAAGGAGAGCAGGTGCCTCCTGAGAGCAGGGCTTCTCTACCTTGGGGCACTATGAACATTCTGAGTGGGGTAAGTGTTTACTGTGGGAGGCCCTATTCATGGCAGGAGGTTTAGCAATCTCCCTGGCCTCTAGCCACTAGATGACAATAGCACCCCTGCCACACCCACTGTGTAACAACCAAAAATGTCTCCAGACATTGCCAAATGCCCCCTGGGTCGGGGACGAGAGGGCAAAAGCAGCCCCAGTTGGGAGCCACTGCTTTAGAGAATGGAGCTTGGAGCTGATTTCTGGGACAAATCCCATGGGATAGCCAGGACGTGCACCTGGGTAAGGCTGGAGGAGGGTATGAAAAAGGGGAGGGCTTAGGCCCTGACCAGAAAGCATCCCAGTACCGGGTAGAGATGAGGACCCCAAGTAGTGCTAAGTGGCAGCACTGCAGATGCAGAGGGTTGGAGCATGGCTTCATGGGAGGTGGTGTTCCTGGAGGAGGTGAGAAGTAGGCTGGCCTCAGGCAAGGAGGTGGAGGGGATACTCCAGGTGTTGGAAACAGCCTGAGCAAGGGCCCTGGGGTATGAAGTGAGCGTGAGACCGTATGAAGATCAGACACAGGCTGGGATCTGTCAGGGCAGGAAATGGAAATAATATTAATAGCAATAAACTGTGACCTTGATTTTTGAGTAATGGCCATGTGCCACATTCTGTTCTGAGCAGGTTACTCGTGTCATTTCATTTAGTCCTCAAAAATCTCTACAAGGTAGATTTGATTATTATTCTCATCTTGCAAGTGAGGAAACCACGGCCTCCAGATGTTTCGGGGTTCACCAGTGCACACAGCCTATAAAGGCAGGTTCACACTTCAAAGCCAGGCTATTGACCTGGCTTCACTCCTTGCCCTCAGAGCCACACCCCTCTGGGTGGGCTTGGGAGGGTGAACACAGCAGCCTTCTCCTAATTCCCTGAAGGTGGGATCAGGGCTAATCCATCAAGCGAATGAATGAACACATGAATAAGTGAATGCATGAATAGAGAAAGACTCTGGTCTGCTGTGTGTCCTGCTCCTCAGGCAGAAATCACCTTCCCACCCTACTCCTGGCCCCACCCAGCACCCCCAGCTCTCTCCCTAGGTACTCTTTCACTTTGGAAACATTCACAGGGCTTGGAGCATGCTCTGGCATGAGAGCCCCACGAAATGCGGGTTTTCTTTGATCCCCTAGCTGGGTCATGTAGAAAGAAGAGAAAGAGAGAAAGATCTAGACACCAAGAACTTCTAAGTGATGTAAACACCAGAGCAGCCGCCGAGAGCGCTCACTGCTTGTGTTGGTCTGCTAGGGTTGCCACAACAAAATACCATAGCCTGGGTGGCTTAAGACAGAAATGCATTTTCTCAGAGTCCTGGAGGCTGGAAGTCTGAGATAGAGGAATCAACAGGGGCGGTTTCCTCTGAGGCTTCTTTCCTAGGCTTGCAGATGGCACTCTTCTCACTGTGACCTCACATGGTCCTCCCTCTGTCTGTCTGTGTCCTAATCTCCTTTTCTTTTAAGGACGCTTGTCAGATTGGATTAGGGCCCACCCCAATGACCTCATTTAACCTGAATTGCTTCTTTAAAGGCCTTATCTCCAAATACAGCCACCTTCTGAGGTCCTGGGGGTTAGGACTTCAACATACAAAGTATGAGGGTACAATTCGGTTCATAATGTTGGTTTATTTCGCAGGCGCCCTGAACGAGTGCCCAGATGCTTGTGAGGCCCAGATCTTGGGGTGTGCAGCCAGGAAGGGCTCTGCTAGCTTTCCCACCTCCCTCCTGACCTCTTCTGCCCCTCACTGGACCCAGCCCGTTGGCTTCAGGATGGGCCCCACGGGACATGCTTTCATGGAACCTGAGGAAAGAATGCACTTACAACAGCGCCGGGAGCACAGAGGCTTCCCACTACCCTTTCCGAGAAGCACGTCTATTTTCTCTAATTTATTCAGTGCCGCTGTGCGTGTGTGGCCTCTCAGGTAAAGAGTGATTTCAGCTAACATGCACCATGCCTGCCACCTACCTGTACTGGAGATTTCAGACTGATGCCTCCCTTGGGTCTCCAGGGAACTTTCTGATTCAAATTCCATTTGACACAGATTCTGAAAGTGTGCCTTGCGAGGGCCCTGGCCTGCCATCCTCATTATACTCAGAAGCCCAGAAGTAGCAGTGGCAGGGGCACCCTGGAAGCCCCGGGGTTCTCATTAGGTGACAGATGCCACCACAGGCCTCTGCCATTTGCCAAGCTTCCTATTACAAGCCACCTGGGAACATTCACTCAGGGCTTTTTCAGACAGAGCTGCACATCTGGCACTATCTTGAGTCTGTGCCTCTGGGGACCCCGTCTGTACTCAGTTTCCCTATCTGCAAAATGAAAAACATAATACTTATTTCTCAGGGATGAATAGAGATAATTCAGCATGTTTTTCAAATTTCAGTGTGTTGCCTGCGCCCTCATGAGTTTTACTATGACCACATGCCACCTGTACCATTATGTTTATTTTATTTTTTAGAGATGGAAGGTCTCATTCTGTTGCCCAGGCTGTAGGGCAGTGGTGCTATCCGTAGTTCACTGCATCTTCAAACTCCCGGGCTCAAGGGATCCTCTCACCTTAGTCTCTAGTACTACAGGTACACACTACCAAACTTGGCTGACTCCTTTATTTATATAGAGATGAGGTCTCGCTATGTTGCCTAGGCAGCTCTGGAACTCCTGGCCTCAAGCCATACTCCCATCTTGGCCTCCCAAACTGTTGGGATTACAGACATAAGCCACCACACCCAACTTCATTATTTATTTAATTAATATTTCCTTAAATGAATCCATGTTGAAAGACTTGAGCTGATCTATTTCAAAAGGAAATTTTTATATTATTAGCATTAGAGGAAAATTGATATCACTTGTCACAAATGCAAAGCAATAAGAAAAGACAAAGAAGACGACGTCATAACTGTTTATCTGTGTACCAACTAAACTCATGATGAAGAGCCATGCTGTGCCTCCTGTGCTTTTGGAAGCACATGAATATAAAGGATGCCTAGGGTCTGGCACATAGTAAGTACTCAATGAATGATCACTGCTATGAAGAAAATGAGGCCAACGTGGTGTCGGCCCTTGGAAACATTTCTCTGAGTTGGTCAAGGGGAACAATTTTGCTCCAAGAAACTGTCATATTTATTCTTCTCTGATAATTAGAGCTCCACAATTTATCATGGTCGTAAGTTGCAAAAATGGCAACAACCATCACTCTTCCCAATAAGAAGTGAAGTCCATTTCCTGCCCCTAAAATCTGGTCTGGCCTTGTGACTTGCTTCAGCCAATGGAACATAGCAGGAGTGCTGGTATACCAGTTCTAAGCCTAGAGGAAGAGGCTTTCCAAGGGGCCTGACAGCTTCTGCTTTCTCGGGCCCCTGCTATCACCATGTGAACAAGCCTGGGTTGGCCTGCTGCTGGATGAGAGGCCATGTAGAACCCAGCCAAGGTGTCCCAGTTAAGGCCATCTCAGAGCAGCCAGCACCCAGCACCCAGCAGCCTGCCATTGGTCTCCAGATGCACGCATGAGCCCAACCAAGATCAGCCAATCCTGCCTCAGACCAGCAGAACTGTGCAGCCCAGCCTGAGATTTGTGAGGAGTGACAAATGGTGTTTTCAGCTTCTAGATGTTGGGGAGATTTGTTATGCAGCAACAGCTGGCCTTCCCATTTTGTCTTGTTTGTTGCGATGGTGCCCAGTCATAGCAGCTCCATTTGTGCTAGAATTATTTATCTATTTCCTCTTCTTAATTGTCTTCCCTTCCTTTTTCACTCCTTTGTGTGTGTTTTTGAAAGACACCTCAAGTATCTTTGGAAAGGAGCTGGATATAGATAATAAATTGAAAATCGAACTGAGAGTTGGTCTGAGAGTCCCTGCCATTCTTGAGGCTAGCCTGTGGGGACACGAGGAAGCATGGAAGATGGACAGCGGTGGTTTTGGTGACAAGGGGATCTTTTCTCTGCAGTGCCCACTTTGTTCATCTCTGCTCACTGGGGGAGCCAGGACACGGATCCAGGTTTTCTGACTCCAGGTCTCAGGCTTGCTCCATAGCGCCACCTGCTGGTGACGGCAATCGGTGTGGCGGGATGGGCTGGGGGAGGCGGGATGGGCTGGGGGAGGCGGGATGGGCTGGGGGAGGCGGGATGGGCTGGGGGAGGCGGGATGGGCTGGGGGAGGCGGGATGGGGGTTTGCTCCTGGCATTACCACTGGGCTCTTTCTGTTTGCTGGGCACAGGTAGGCACCCAAATCAAGACTCAGATTTCCTCATCTCAGAAGTTGTCCACTTCTTCTCCGACCTCCACGGTAACTCGGAACCACACCGTGGAGTTATCCCTGTGTCCTCTTTCTCGGAAGTTCCACATCCAACCCCTCAGCAGGTCTCAGCGGCACTCTCACCACCTCCTCTGCTCTGTTCCTGTTTCTCTTGGATGGTCGAATGTTTCCTAAGGAGTGTCTGCTGCTTCACGCTTGCCCCCTGGAGTGGCATCTAAAAGGTGCAGGTCAGATGAATCTTTCTTCTGCCAGGGCTCCCGGCTTAGCCAAGGAAAAGCACAAGTCCCTGACCATATCCTGCAAAATTCCACATCTGGGAACTCAGGCATATCAGGCCTGGTCTCTTTTTCTTCTTCCTTTTAAAATAACGAATACATTGACATGCCCCTTATTACACCATGCTGAAATGAAATTCATAGGCAATATCACCTATCTATAGACACAATTTACATAAATCCATGTAAGCCACATAATGCCCTAATTGTATTCTAGAGGAGAATTAAAAGGAAACGAATTTATAATAAAATAATAGTTATCTCAGCATGTAAATATTCCAGCCCAACTCTTCTGAAAAACACAATGAAGGTGTCAAAGCCCCCTCTGCAGGTAGACTTTCTAAGAATGGGACACGACAAATACAGTTTGGCGCCCACTCAGTGATTCAAACTCCATGAAGGGCATGGCTTTCACTGATGGAGTCCTCATGAAGGTGATCAGCTCCTGATAAAGCCCCCAGAATAACAGAGCATAACCTCCGCTTGATCCACACACAAGCAGCAGCCCCAGAAATCTCAGTGTTTAATGAAATTGAGCAAAACATGAACACAAAACCAAAAATAACCCCACATTCCTTTGGGTTAAATGTGAAATCAAGTTAGGTTCCAGGCTCCAAATTCTATCTAGGTTTTTTACCTGCCTTGATATATGTTGGATAATTCTTTGTGTGAGGAGCTGTCCACACATCACAAAGGTTCTAGCATGTGGGCCTCTACCCACTAAATGCCATTAACACCCCCAATCTTTGTGATGACCAAAAACAGGCCTACAAATTTATAACCTTCCCACCACTCACCTATAATCTGGCTGTTCTGGATTCCACCCCAACTTCTTTCCTGCTATATTCCTCCTCACCTACTGCATTCCAGCCCTACTGGCCTCCTGACCTATGAGTTTATCTGGGAGAAGAATGTTCTAGGCAGAGGGAATATTCAGTGCAAATATCCTGGGGTGGAAATGTGCCTGTCTTGGTCCAAGAACAGTAAAGAAGCCAGTGTGGCCTTAGCAGGGTGAGTGAAGGGTAGAGAAGTCGGAGATGAAATTAGAGGCAGCAGGGCCCAGAATGAGGGACCTGCGAGGTTGTTAAAGGGACTGACATTTTAAATTCAAATTGATGGCTTATTTTGAAATGTCAGGAGATTTTGCAAAACTGAGCCTGCATTTCTGCATAGCAACCATTGGTGAGGCTTGTTCCCTGTGGCAGGGCTGTCTCCTCTTCAATTTGCCACAAGCCCCACCCATCCCTATTGCCTCATGCATCCACCTGCTTTGCTCGTGTACATTGCCTGTCTGCCCCATAGGGATATGAGGTTACAAAGTCTCCCCACAGGGGAAAGGGTGAGGGGAAAGATAGTGAATATGGGTGTGGAGGGAGAAGGCAGTTTTCCCCCTTCCCTCCTCTGGGGAGCACAAGGCCAGGCTTTTCTGGGAAGGGACTCTGGGAGGCTGTGGGTGAGGTCTCCTCTCTGACACTGCTCTGCATGCTCCACTCCCAGGTCACCTGCTGAGAAGGCATCTCTGCAGGGGAGGCCGAGGCAAGGGCACCCATGGGGACGCCTCGAGGAAATAGTGAAAATGTTTTCCCAGGGAAAGCCAACACTGCCATTTGTTTTAGTTGCTTAAATTATATGTGTTATTTATTTTTTAAGTGGTCTGTCATTATTGGTGAATGGGGAAGCCACCCAGCCTCACAATGCAACCAAAATTTTAGATATTGCTATGTAGTTATTAACGAATGAGCTTTTCATCTTTGGAAAATGTGCTGTGCATGAAGCCCAGGGGGCTGGGTTTCTTGTTATTGGGTAATTATAGCCCATGAGGAGGGGGTGGCCTGGGTCTTCAGCAGCAGGCGGGGTGGGACTTTTCAGGCTCTCTGCATGGTGGCTCAGCCATCCATTCGTATATTTATTCAAACATGCATATTGGGCGCCTACTGTGTATGAGGTGCTGCTCCAGATACTGAGAGCAATGATATTAATATAAAGAATAAAGCCACCACTTTCATCATGCTTACTGTGTGCCAGGCACTGTTCTGAGTGCTGTACCTATATTAACTCATTTCATTATCCAAACAACCCAGCAGGTAGCATTTTCCCCATTTTACAGATGTGGAAACTGAGGCACAGAGAGACAGGAACAAGAGACACTGGCTTCATGTATGCATAAGAAATTTCCATGCAATGGAGAAAAATCCAGCAGAATTATATGACAGAGAGGGCCTGGAAGGGGCCACCTGTAGATAGGGTGGTCAGGGAAGGCCTCCCTGGGGGAGGTGGTGGGGAGAAGGAGACAACTATGGAGAGATGTTAGTGCTACCCGTGGCGAATCCCTATGGGTCTGCAGAACCTCAATTCTTGCCTCATCAGAAGAAACAATCCCACTGAGTAGGCATAAGACAGAAGGAGAGACCGAGGAAAGTCTTTAGAGCAGGAATGAACGTTTATTAAAAAGTTTTAGAGTGGGAACAGAATGAAGGCAAGCATATTTGGAAGAGGGCCAAGTGGGCAACTTGAAAGACAAGTGCCCTGTTTGACCTTTGAATTGGGGTCTTATATGTGGGCATACTTCTGGGGTCCGGCTTCTCTTCTCCCCTGATTCTTCCATTGGGGTGGGCTGTCTGCATGCACAGCAGCCTGCCAGCGCTTGGGAGGGGACCATGCACAGTATATTTACTGAAGTTGTACGTGTGCTTACTTGAGGCGTTCTTCCCTTACCAGTCAAATGTCCCTGGAAGGTCATATACCAAGTAAATGCTGCCATTTTGCCTCTTAGCGCGCATGCTTGAGTCCACTTGCCCAACTCTGGGATCTTATCAGGAAGCTGCTGATCACCAGTTTCAGATGTTTTCAGCTATTGGGAGACTGCTTTTCTCTGGCGCTGGCTGCGACCAGTTATTACTTCAGAGAAACAGAAAGAAGGAAGCTGGGGCCGAGGGAATGTGGTTTTGCTGTAAAAATCTGACTGCACTCAGAGCCTGGGACTTTCTAACCGGCATGTGATGGTCCTGGGTGGGGGGCCTTGGCTGCTAAGCTGGAGGCTGGGGTCAGGGCATGGCTGGGAATAGCGGTCTCTCAGGGTGCAGAGAGGACACTCAGGCACTTGAGTTGACCCTCACTTGTGGGTGGCTGGACAAGGAGGTGCTGAGGCCTCAGGCGGGGTTTCTCAAGGCAGAATTAAGGGCCACCTCCCCCATCCCCTACTCCCACCCTCTCCACTTAGGAATTCCCTGTGGTGTTTTTTTTTTTTTTTTTTTTTAACATATGCAGATTTATGGGCTTCACCAGATCCTTCTAATGCTAAATATTAATGGCATTTGCAGTCTGGAGCAGAGGAGCTGGGTGGGGGCACTGGGAGCTGAACACATCCCTGGACACGGCTGTCTCACTGGAGGGGGTTGAGTTCTGCAGAGAGAACCCTAAATGCAGAACCAGGACCGAGGGGCACACGTTCTAGGAAGAAATTTTAATTCAAGTTACTCAAGGATTTTGTAAAGGCTGGAGCTGTCCAAAAGCTGGAAGACGTGGACTCTAGGGTCAGGCAGACCAGATTGAGTCTTTGCTTGACCACTCTTGGTTGTCAGACCAAGGGACTTAACTTCCTGTTGCCTGAGCTTTCTCAGCAATAGAATGGGGACAAACACAGCAGCCACTCATAAGAGTGAAATGAGTTAACACATGGACAGTGCCTAGAACACTGCACACAGTAAGTGCTCAATAAATGTCAGCTGTAGTCATCCGCACATTCTTATTACTGGCAATAGAAGGACTTGCCTTTACAGGCAGATCAACCTCTTGTGAGGACGGAAGCAGACTCTAATGCCCCTTGTTGCTGATTCAAGGGGCCTCTGGAAGACCCTTCCACCCTAAAGTGATGTTTCCAACTGTCCTCTATTGCCACGGGCTAAAATGGCAATGGCTTTTGCTTCCCTGCTCTGGGGTCTCTCTGGGAAGCTCTAGAAAACTGGGAGAATAAACAGATCCAGCCTGGCCACAAGGGACTCTCTCACCATCAGATGCCATTAACCAACGGAGTGTCCTTCCCCATCACTTGGGAATCACAAAGTCACCAGAATTCTTACGCCTTTGAGAAAGGGTGTGCCATGCCGGTCGGTAGTGTGACTTGTACTGGATCAAAGTCTCTCTCTGGAGGAAGCTGGGCCCAGGGACTGCTCACTGCCAGAGAACATTTCAGCCTTCCCTCTGAGACTGGGTTCTTTCTGCTGAGAGCCTGTGGAGGCTGAGATGGCCAGGTGGGGAGTGATGATTGATGATGGTGATGATGATGATGATGATGATGATGATGATGATGATGGTGACGGTAAAGATGAAAAAGAAGAGAAAATCATAAAGATGGCAACCATTACTATTGTTCTTTCTCACTCCGCTGAGCACTCACAATGTATCAGACACAGCATTCAGGGTGCTTCCCCATTCATTATCCCAGCTAATCCTTGCAGCAACCTTTATGAGGTGCGTGCTGTCGTCTCTACTTTATTTAAGAGAGAAAATGAGGCTGGTGGAGTTGAAGCTCCATGTTCAAGGCTCCAGGCAAGCAGGAGCTGGAGCCGGATTAGAGCCCAGTTCTGGGCATCCACGCCTTTAACCGCTAAGCCATGCTGTCTCAATGTAGCCACCCCAGCAGCCTTGGCCCAGTGGGCCGGTAAGGCTGGCTTGTTGAGAAAGGGACACTGGTATAGGGCATACCCTTGGTGTCAATGGGGTGAGTTTGAGAGATGGGACCGTTGAGGACTGAGGAATGTGAAAGGCAAGACTTTTTAGCAGAAGCTGCCTCTAAGGAGAGGCCTCCTTCATCACCCTGCTCAGACTGCACTCCACCCTTGGCATTCCACACTCCCTTGGTACTGCAAGACAAGGCAATGATAACCACTCGATTTCAACTGAAATCACTTGTTTTTTCCCCCTTCCCAACTGGGCTCTCCCCTGAGACCCAGGTGTTAATGAAATCAAACAAATGAAAATGGGTAAATTATTGCAAAGCTATGAACACCTCCACAGGGCCACGCCTCACTAGTTTCCAATACCACCTCATTCTGGAGGCTGCCGGAGGAGCTGAAGCAATTTTGTCCCATGGGTGAGGTGGTGGAAGGAAGGGACAAAAGAGACAAGATATTGCAATCAGAAGGTCGCTGACCCAGGCTTTTGTATAATTATAGAATTTCATTTCGGGCCAACTGGATGGACGACTGAGCTTGTTGGCAAATTAGTGGTGAAAAATAAAGCAATTTTTAGCGTCCTTGAAAGAGTTGCCACTCCAGTGAAGTGTCAGGGCCCCAGAGTCGGGGAGGAAGGGATGGATGGAGAAGAGGGGCCTAGGTTGGAAGCAGCTAATCATTTGAACTCATGAGGCAGAGACGTTTTAGTTGGGGATCTGGGTGAACATGCCCCTTGCTGCCCAAGGGGATGATCCTGACTACCTTTGGGGTGTGTCTTCAGGATAGAAGGTGCTGAGACATGAATCTGGCCTGAACTGCCCTCTTCCTAGAATGATTCTCCAAGAATCAGGTGCGGAGATTTTTCTTTTTTCTAAGTAGTGTCCAGACCAGTCTGACATATAACCCTGGCTTTGCCTTGACATGACCAAGGACAAGCCTCTTAGTCTTTCTGAACCTCAGTTTTAATTATTTTGTTAAAATGGAGAACAGGAACATTCACCACATGAGATTAGCCCAGTTGATTATAGATGAGAAAGTACTTTACACATTAAAATGAAATATGGTTTTGCTTGATATTATTCTTTCCACGCTTTTATTATGAACATTGCTTTTTATTTTTAGCAAATAGATTTGGCCTCTTGCCTTATCACCAATTACCTTTATTATTATTATTGTTGTTGCTATATCTGCCCATGGATCCACTCTATAATTATTTTGTTGACACTTTTTTTTAGATTGTCTTACTTTTGCAATTTTCACTTAAATACCCCTTCTAGCTTTATGTTAAGCCAAAATATACATGAACATACTGGTTTCTTTTCTTTCTTTCTTTCTTTTTTTTCTGAGACAGAATCTCTCTCTGTTTCTCAGGCTGGAGTGCAATGGTGTGGTCTTGGCTCACCACAACCTCTGCCTCCTGGATTCAAGGGATTCTCCTGCCTCAGCCTCCCAAGTAGCTGGGATTATGGGCATCCACCACCACACCTGGCTAATTTTTTGTATTTTTAGTAGAGACGAGGTTTCACCATGTTGGCCAGTCAGGTCTCGAACTCCTGACCTCTGGTGATCAGTTCGCCTTGGCCTCCCAAAGTGCTGAGATTACAGGTGTGAGCCACCACGCCCAGTTCACAGTCTGGATTATTAATGACCCTATTTCAGATCAAAAGTTCCTGAGGATTGGAGAGAGGGACAAGACTTGCCTGAAGACATACAGTCAGGCAGTGGTAGAGCCAGGACTCGAACTCAGAATCCTGTGACCCCCAAAGTGCTGTGTCCTCTCCATGAATGGACCAGACCACAGAGGCTGGGAAGTGGTGTCATTACTCTCTTCCTTTCCCCATAATTAACCAGTTGGGGAAGGTGAGATAAACCAAAGCTGAACTAGGTACCCACAAGGGTTTACATTAGCCTTAGCCCATTCAGGGTTTTCCACTCATATCACACAGAGCTTTTGTGTGTTGGTGAGCCAGGCCAGGTGAGCCTTGAGAAGTGATGTGGTTCTTGATGTTTCAGGGGAAGTAAAGAGGGAAATCGTGATGTCTTTGAATTTTAGGACAAGATGGGGGGAAACTGCAGCTGGATTTATATATAGGCTCTCCAGTGGGGCCATATGTGGGCATCTAGGGATAAGTGGTGGCAGGAAGATCACCTGCCGTTAGCCCAATGATAATTTGATCACAGATAGGTACCTCTGGGAGGCTCCCAAAATAATTGGAGACATAAGAGAATTCCCAGGAAGAGAACTAAAGAGCACCCCTGCTCTCTAGAAACTGGGAGCAGAGGGAAATCATGGGATGGTTAGAGAATAGTATGAGATGGCATGTGAGAGAGTAACAGAAGATGTTACAAGATCCTAGGAGCAGTTGGCATTTTGAGGAAGGAGAGACTGGGACATTGGGGTAACCTGGGATGGCTACCTGGGATGGCTGCCTGGAGGAGGTGAGACTTTATCAGGGATTTGGGAGGAGAGTACATTAGCCAGAACGTTTAGCTACAAAGATCAGAAAGTGCATCTTGACCTGGTTAAAGCAAAGTTAAAAAAAGAAAAAAAAGAAAAAAAAAACCTTATGTTTTGTTTTGTTTGTGGCTCATATAAACACTACGCTCAGGGTGAAGCCTATGAACCCAGGTGCTACAAAACTGTGGTCCACGCTGTGGCCGTGTGTTCATTTCTTAGCTCTGCCTCCCCTGGGTTGGGGTGGTTATTTAGCAGCTTGCTACATGGGGCTGTAAAGATGCCCCTGGCAACTCCAGTTTTCAAGGTCCTTGTATCCTGTGTCTCAAAGCATACCTGCAGGATTTTAATATACGGAGGTGGCCACGGGATGACACAAAGGGGTCAATGGCATTGAAATAAGACCTTTGTTACTGAACAGCTCATGAGAGAAGGGGCATACTACACCACAAGAGGCCTCAGAGAGAAGCATCAGTTTTGGTCAGGAGGCAGAGGGAGTGAGGGGGAAGCCTCTGCCAGAGCCTTTATTAGGGTTTCCTCAGGCAAGGCAAGGCATTGGGTATGGGTGTGGGGGGTAGTTAGTTTAGAATTGGCTATTCTGAATAATTCTGTCAGGCTTTGGGGCATAGGGACTTGTGTCTAGTGGTCTGGTACTTGAGCTTGGGTTGATTTGGGGCAGGGGAAATATTGCCTTGGGGAGTGAGAGTTGAATAAAGGAGGTGTTTAGGGGTATGGACTCAGGGTTGGTTGGTTTGCATATGAAAGGCGTGTAGTCAGGTGGAGTTTATTATCTCTAGGAATCAGCTAGTCCTGGGAGAGGCAGTTTCTCTCCAGTTAGAGAGGCCACAAATGCCAGAGCATCAATACTACAGAAAATAAGCAAATATTGTTAATACAATTGGCCCAATGAGTGGATGCCCAATAGATGAATACCGACTCTAAGAAAACACAGGACATCCTGCGAGCATCTTTTTCTTCCTAGCTTTGATGGGATGGAGTCCTGTGATTGGTCAGTCCTGAGAGACGCACCTACGCCGGGAAGGCCAGGCCAACCTCGTTGGGAACACAGGAACATGTTACTGCAATGGTTGGAGGGATGATGATGATGCTTGGCTGAAAACCCTGTGTCTAGGGGAGAGAAAGGATTCTGCTGTGGTGGGCTGAGGGCAGGGGCATTTCAGACATAGGAGGAAGAGGCAGGACAGAGATGTTAGCCATTTATGAAACAGTCTTCATACATTACTGTCTTCAAACTATCTTGCCTGCTCCTTCCCTTGTCAATATCTCAGATGAATGGGTTAGCTTTCCTGTTAACTTCTGTAATTGACTCATTTTCAGGTATTAAAATGTCCAGCCTAGTTTCTATCAAATCCAGTCTTGCAGCCTTTTCCAGTCTTCTTCCTTCCTCTTGTCTCAGCTTGACTTGAGCTGGAATCCTGGAGGAGGGGAGGTTGGGGAACTGGGACTGTCTGGCATCTTCCTCCCTCCTTGCCCTCTTATCTGCTGCTGTGGGTGTTCTGTCCCCTGTGTGTGAGCCCTGAGGTGAGAGGACAGATGTTATCCTGGATAGGCTGTTACAAGGCATCAATTCTATCAGGGAGTGGCATCTTCTGTTGGCTTTCATGGGGCATCATGGTTTTCTCAGGAAGGATCTCTGTGTGACACTATTTCTGGGTATGGGTTTCCTGTTCTCTGGGTGACCTCATGGGACCTTTCTCTCGCTCCCCTTTCTTGCAGGATACCCTACAACTAACAGGCATGATGCCATCAAGACATCTTGAGCCTGGCTACCTCCCGTGGCCTGTATTTTGTCCACAGGAAACTCGCGCAGTCTCACTACAGCAAATTGAGGTGGTATGGGGTGCCTGCTGCTGCCTCTCTCTTCACCTTTCCACAGAGGGCTGCCCCAGCCTGACTCCCACTTCCAGAGTTTCTCCAGGTAAGAAATGGGTGTGAATCTCTGTACATATACGCTGTGGTGGGCATGCACCTCTCCTTGCTGTCATATTCCATGGGGTGAAAGTCGCAGTTAGCACCTGTCACTTTCTTCCTGTGGGCTCTGCTCAATGTACCAGGGGAGCTGACATGCCTGGGAATAGGAGTCTGTGGATAAATACCCCAGCTTCCTTGACTTTATTTGGGACACAGTGTGTGCATGATAGTCATCAATGGGTTTGAGCTCCAGTTGCCCACAATGGTCCCTGCTCATTAATGCATGCTGTATTGGCTTCCTTTCCATCCTTCTCTCATTTTCCTACTTCCCTCTCAGTACTTCCTGGAATATTTCTCAAACTGCTGTACTTGAGTCTTTAGCACAGGGTCTGATTCCAGGGGGAACCCAGCCTAAGACATGTGTCCTTAAGCTCCCAAGTACACACTCCCAGGATGGTTCTTATCTCATCTCATCCTATCCTAGTTGAGGGTGGAATGGGGCTCCCAGATTCCACAGCTCAGCAAGCCACCAGCCATGGGTATCAGGCTGGTCCCTGAAGCCAATCTCTTGAGCAACCTCCTATGCTTGGTGGCTGCTGTGCCTTCCATGCCTTGTCCCTTTCTGTACCTCTTCCTGAGTCACAGTGCTCTCTGCCCAGGGTGACAACTCTCAAAGCTGACTATCTTTTTACTTCCCCATATTTCTCTCAAACATTTACTCCTCTCCTTATATAGATTGGAGTGGGTGATGGGGATACTCTTAGGTCTTAGTGGGTGACCTGTTAGGCCACCTCTTAAGAAGTCTGAGGGTGTGTGTCCTGCAGCTCCTCTATAGAATATGGGGCACTTATCACTTATCTTATGACAAATTTAGCTCAGGGACTTAGTCAGAGAGAAAAGTCCCACTCACCAGCTTGTTTCAAAATACAGTTGATGCACATACACCTACCCTGAGACCCCGCAATTCTACTCCTTCATATGCACCCAACAGAAATGTGCTTGTATGTTCATCAACAGACACATACAAGAAGGCTTATGGCAGTGCTATTGGTGATATCACAAAACTGGAAAAAAAGCCAATGCCCATAGACTGTAAAAGAGATTATTATATTGTGATATAATCATACGGTGGGTTACTACTCAGCAATGAGAATTCATGAACTACAACCTCATGTAAAACCATGGATGAAACTCACAAACATGGTTGGGGCAAAGAAGCCAGACACAAAGGCATATATACTGCGTGATTCCACTTATAAAGAGTTCGAAGTCAAACAAAATTTACCTGTGATGTAGAAGTCAGGCTCATGCTTATCTTTAGAAGGGAGGCATTGACTGGGAGGTACCACGAGATGAGCTTCTGGAGAGCTGACCATGTTTCATTTCTTGACCTGGGTGATGGATGTCTGGGTGTGTTTACTTCATGCAAATTAATCCATCAATACACTCAGGATTTGTGCATCTTTATTACATATGGCATGCTTCAATTTCTGTATTAATATATGAATACCAGGCCAGTATAAACCTGCTGGGAGCATGCTAAGCCTGACAAGAGGAGAAAGAGGTCTCATTCTGAGGGAGTTGCATGAATGAGCAAGTAAGTACTGTCAGGAGGCAAGAGAATACCTCTGGGATAGGATTTCTGCAGTGTTTGATCAAAAGTCCAGAACATATAACTGAACAAGTAAGAATTCATTGAATTGACATCACTCTCTTGGAATGTAAGATTTAATACCCTTGCAAAAGCCTGAGGAGATGGGACAAACTCACTGCTAAAGAAGCTTCTAGAAGCCTAGAGAAGGCAATGGCCCATACTGAGATGAAGTAGAAATAGCTGAGTTTCCCCGGCAGGAGGAAAAAACCTGAGGGAAAGGGACATGCAGTATATGAGGCCAGAAGGCCCATAGAGGATATGTTTCATTGGAGGACCCAGAGGACACACCATTCACCAATAACATTAGGAATGCACTGGTGAGAAGCACACCAGTCTCCCAAGTAACTCATTGTTGGTTCTCCTCTGCAGATTAAGGCTGCTGATAGGAGAGACAGATGCAGAACTGGACCATTAGGAAGATGATGACTTCCTAATATATCAGAAGCCAGAGGGCTACAATTATCATAAAGACTGGCAAGGTCAGAAGGGCTGCAATGGTGGCTTGAACTGAGAGCATGGATAACAGAGCCTGGCGTCCTTAGAGGCAAAATATTTAGGCAGCCAATAAGGCTGCTGCCTAACATTTACAAACAGAAGGCAAATATGGAGGAACAGAGGTGGAGAACTTCTGCTTTCAGCCAAGATGGAGTAGCAAGTTTCAGATTTGCTCTTGTTCCTGAAACAACCAAAAATACACAAAATAAGTGAAACATTAGTTTTCTAGACATGACAATTTAGGCAATGAAGAGGAATAACCTTTCAGAAATGGGAATCAAATGAAGGGAGCCCTATGAGTGCCCCATCTTATTACCTTGAGAGATTTTCCAGTTTATGGCACAGAAAGGGGAAACTCAGGTAGACTCTCGAGTTCAGAAGGCAGAGTTCAAAGTTGGGAGAGAAAAAGGCAGTTAGAGTTTGCAGGATGGTACACTGGAGAAGAGAATGCTGCACAGGGGGATAACTCTAGAGGTCTACGGAAGGATTCCCTCAAGTATTCAGAAAAGAACTGATAAATACCTATGTGTCAGGAAACTGACCAGGGCTAGGGATAGAACCATCCGAAATGATTGTAAGGAATAGCACTCCATACTCACATAGGGCTGGAAATAGTGCTTGTTTCCATTAGCCATAAGGGAAAACCTAAAGATTCATGAGGCATTGGGTAGAATACACAGAAGGGTCTTGACTCAGTTGTGTGGAATAATTTGCTGTAGATTGGACATTGTTCTGGTTCTGCCTAATGAATCTTAAAAGCAAGACCCTGAAGGATCAAACTGTTTCTGCATAACTGAACTGTATCCAAAACAAAGCTCAAGAATATTTTTAGGAATTAAAAAATCCAGCATACACAAAAGTGAAATCCACAATGCTTGGCATTCAATAAAATATTACTATGCATGAAAAAAAGCATTAAAATATCTCCCATAATAAGGAGAAAAATCAGGCAAATAAAATTGACCAAAACTGACACAGAAGTTAGAATTAGCGGACATTAGTTAATATTTA
Source organism: Homo sapiens (assembly GCF_000001405.40). Lineage (NCBI taxonomy): Eukaryota > Metazoa > Chordata > Mammalia > Primates > Hominidae > Homo > Homo sapiens. The sequence goes on from NC_000016.10 coordinate 50,897,016, forward strand.
ATAATTAGTATGGACATATTTTAAAAGTTAAGTAGTGATATGCAATAGAAAAAATGATCCAAATTGAACTTCTAAGTCTCATAGTACAATATGTGAGATAAAAAATACACTGCATAAGATCAATGGTATATTAGATACTGCAGAAGAAAGGATTAGTGACTTGAAGACATAGCAATAGAATCTATCTGAGCTGAAATACACAGAAAAAAGGCAACAAGAACAAAAACAAACAGAGCATCAGTGAACTGCGGGACAACTTTATGTGACCTCTTATATGTAGAGTACTCAAAGGAGAGGAGAGAGAAGTATGGATAAAAACTTTGAAAAGTAATGGCTAAAATATTTCCCAAATTTGATAAAAACTATAAACCCACGGATTCAAGAAATTCCACAAAATTGAAGCACAGGAAACATGAAGAAATCCATAACAAGGCAGATCATAATCAAACTACTCAAAACTGGTTGTAAAAAGAAAGTCTTAAAAGCAGCCAGAGGGGAGAGAAAAAGAGTCTTGGTATACACAGATAAAGACAATGGTGACAGAAGATTTCTTGTTGGAAACAATGCAAATGGGAAGATAGTGGAGCAATATTTTTTAAAAGCAAAGGAAAAAACATATCAACTTAGAATTCTATACTCAGAAAAAATATCTTTCAAAGGAAGGAGAAGTGGCCCAAGTTGAGAATATGTAGAGATTCCTGGACAGAGGCCAATAGCCTGGCTTCCTGGTCAGAGTCCTGGAAGGAAAAGGATGAAAGGATTGGAGACAAGGAGGTCTGAGGTTGAGACATATGGATGGACATATGGACATTGGTGTGAACTCTGAAGATTTTTTTTATCACATATTAACTCTGACAAGAAGCTATCCACCACAGAAGAGGCACTGAATAAGAAGACAAAATGACTCAGCCAGTTGACTTTAATCACCCTTCATCATTGGCCACCCCAGAACTGGCAGAATGGACAAATGAATAGAATGGTCATGATTGTAGAGATAAAGGTTAGTATGGGTCTCATTATGAATTTCCACTAAGGAAAGACAATGTAGCTACTGCTGCTACTGAATACCTAACTTGCCAGCACCATGGACCAATACTGAGCCTCTAGATCTGGCACTATTCCTCAAGGAGAACACTGAGCCACTTGGTAGCAAGTTGACTACATTGGGCCCCTTCTATTCTAGAAGGACCAGTGGCTCAACCTTATAGGATAGATACCTGTTACAGGTATAGTTCTGCCTTTCTGCCTGCAGAGTCTCAGCTGGCACAACTATTCAGGGATTTGTAGAATTCTTGATTCACAGACATGGAATCCCACACAATGTAGCATCTGTCTAGGGAACCCATTTTATAGTGAAGAAGGTGTAAAATTGAGTCAGTGACCATAGGGTCTACTGGTTATATCACATACCATATCATCCAGAAAGAGCTGGCCTCATAGAGTGCTAGAATGGCCTTCCAAATGCACAAGTAAGTGCCAGCTTGGAGGCAAGGCCATCAGATGCCATCTTTCAGAATGCAATACATGCATTCTATCAGAGATCCCTGGGTCCCAGATAGGAAAAGTACATGGACTCAGGAACCAAAGAATGGGAACATCCCTTAACATTATTCCCACTGACCCTGCAGGGAACTTTATGCTTTCCATCCTCCCAACTGTGGACTCTGCTGGGATTAAAGATTTTGGTTCCCAAAGAGGATATACTCTTGCCAGGGACACAGCAAGTATACCATTGAATTACAAAACTACCACTGCTACAAGGGTGCTTTAAATACTTTGTATCCAGGGGCCAGCAGGTAAGAGAGGAGTCACCATCATGGCAGAGATAATTGATCCTATCATCAGGAAGCGACAGAGCTGCTAGTACACAATGGGGATGAAGAGGAATATGTGTGGAACTTGGTATTCCCTTTCCCCATTGTAACAGTGAAGGAACACATGCAGAAAACACAACGTAAGAAATGCATGATAAGGCCGGTTATGGTGGCTCACACCTGTAATCCCAGCACTTTGAGAGGCCAAGATGGGCAGATCGCTTGAGCCCAGGAATTCAAGACCAGCCTGGGCAACATGGCAAAACCCCGTTTCTACAAAAAATACAAAAATTAGCCAGGCATGGTTCACCTGCAATCCCAGTTACTTGGGATTTGTTGCTTGGATGCATCTGTAATCCCAGTTACTTGGGAGGCTGAGGTGGGAGGATGGCTTTAGCCGGGAGGCAGAGTTTGCAGCAAGCCGAGATCACGCCATAGCACTCCAGCCTGGGTGAGAGAGCGAGACTCTGTCTCAAAATTGTACCTAAATTGGTACACCTTCTCTGCCCAACTCTCCTAAACACCTTCCCTTCTATATTTCTTCACTGTGGGGTTCTATTTTCCCTTTCATGGATCTGATCCTAATTAGTGATTGTTTTATATTTCCGTGTGTGTGTGTGTATGTGTGTGTGTGTGGTCCTGCTCCTTCGAAATGTGAAGTTTGTGCGGACAGGATGCTTTGAAGGATACCTGCATTGTTTACTGCTGTGCCCATGGTACCTGGCACATGACAGGCATTCATAGTTCCCGTGGGCCTCTCTTTCTGAGGGGACACTTAGAAGAAGGGAGGTGGCAGGATGAGCTACAACACCCATTGCTCCATTGATCTCAGGACCACAAATGGTACCCATCTTCTTCCTCTTCCACTACCTTTCCTAAATTCCTCCCACCTTCTCCAGGTCTTGATGACTTGTTGGTGGTGTGATACCTGTTAAATGAATGTTCAATAAATGGTGGGAAAATTGAGGAAGCACACATTAAACATATAACAATGCTTTGAAAAAACCCAAGTGCTCTACTTTCCAGAAGTGCCCACTCAGTGATCTGGTAGTATTTCCAGCCTCAATCACCAAGGCTCTCCCTGTGGCTGTTTGGAGCATGGGCCCAGGCCCCAGCATGGGGAGGCACCAGCTGGGAGGATGCTGAAGCCTCCTGGCTGCATTTCACCAGAGGCCAGATACACATTCATAAGGTTGAGATGATGAGCCATCCTCTTGCTGGAGTGGGTACTTTAGGAACATTACCCCTTGAAAAGCATCTCTCTGGGATAAATGCTGAACAGGGTGTTTATCTTCAGAATGCGAAATGTATGAAGTGCTGTAATTAAACCAGCAGGGGTGGGGATGGAGCACTAGCTCCAAACAGTTTCTTTGAAGATGAAAGTCATTAGATTTCAATGAAAATCTAGGATGCAGCATCCCACTGACACAAGAATATTTAACCTACATCCTAGAGCAGGGCAAGCAATTGATAGTATGATTGATAATAACTTGATTGCAGTAATTGCGAAGGGGAATTTGAAAATGGTTAGATTAGCAAGAAGCAGGCAATGAGTTGATGGGATCTTTGTGGAGCCAAATTTTCCTAGAATGTTGAATGTTGAAGTTTCTCCACGTTCTTTTTTTTTTTTCAGCCAGGAGAATCCTGAAATCTCTGTAAATAAGCAATCCAGGAGCCAGAGAATCATGGGATCTCATATAAACAAATCATCAAGGAAAAACACAGCCAGAGTCTCCATTTGGTAAACCTCCGTGACTGGGGATCCCCGGCCACCCAGAAAGCAGTATTGCCTGCCATGCATGTCATCACTGATTTTTACTGCTGCAGCAGACTCCGTCAGACCTGCCTGCTGCTTCAGCGAATTGTTCAGTGCACACCACCAGCTACCTGCTGTAAGCATTCACACTCCTCTACCTGCCTGGCAGCATTTCTCAGCTGAACACAGGCCAGGCCAGAAGTGCCAGGGATTTAATGCCCTTAGAAGTAGCTCTCTACCAATGACAAATGGAGCTGGTGGATACATTCTCAGCTTCCTCCCCTCTCAGGTGGAACAGCCCTGAGATGTGCTCTATGCAATCTCCCACAAGTCCCCAGCAGGCTCAAGCTCCCATTGTCCAACCCTGGTAACCTGCTCATTGACACCCCTGTCTTGCCTTCCCTTCCTGGCCTCACTTTCTCACTCTCTTACTGTTGCCTCCTGAGATCGCATCCAAAATAAATGACCTGCACCCAGATCTGTGTCTCACAGTCTGCCTCTGGGGGAACTCAAAGTAAGATAACTGTCGAGTGTTTTCAAGGGTGAGATGCAAACCATGGACAAATGGTTCAGCTGGGGCACTGAAAGGGCTGCCAACTGCAGTACCAGGCCTTACCTCCTGACCTGTGCATGGCCATGGGAGGGTGGGGATGCGTGAGGAAGTTATCTCCTGACTTGCATCACTGCAGAGGGCTGGAAGTGCTGGATACTGTGGTTAGGCACCAGGGGAGGCCCTCAGGGTTTCAAGGCAGTGGTAATGAACCAATAAGCACAGAATTATTTCAATATTTTGTCTGATGGAGCTATGCCAATGATTGCTGTTTATCAATTCTGAATATATTTGAAATTTATAAAAATTATTTCAGTCACTTCTGGGGTCAGGGAAGTAATAGAAGTGAATGAAGCAGGCTAAGTGTAAGAAAAATCAAGCAGCTGACCCAGTGTGGTGACTTACGCCTGTAATCCCAGCACTTTGGGAGGCCTAGGCAGGTGGATCACTTGAGGTCAGGAGGTTGAGACCAGCCTGGCCAACATGGCAAAACCCCGTCTCTACTAAAAATACAAAAATTATCTGGGCATGGTCGTGGGCGCCTATAATCCCAGCAGTGAACCAAGATCGTTCCACTGCACTCCAGCCTGGCTGACAAAGCAAGAGTCTGTCAAAAATAAATAAAGAAAGAAAGAAAGAAAGAAAGAAAGAAAGAAAGAAAGAAAGAAAGAAAGAAAGAAAGAAAGGAGGGAGGGAAGGCAGGCAGGCAGGAAGGAAGGGAAAGAGAGAAAGAAATAAGAGGAAAGAAAGAAACAAAGAAAGAAAGAAAGAAAGAAATCATGCACCCACATGGACACATGGATATTTATTTTTCCATTTGATTGACGGGGTAGAGAAACACAGCAGCCAGCACAAGCTCGCTGACAAATGTCAGTGATGGCAGGGTGTTGGGAGACAACAGGGTGGAGACAGGAGTGTCCTTGCCTTTCTTAAAGGGGCGACCATGTCTCACTCCAATCAGTTGTTACCTTGTGAGATATGGGCCTGGTGGTGCCAGCTTTCTAAGAGACTTAGAAATTTTAGATTCTTGGCCAAGCATGGTGGCTCACGCTTGTAATCCCAGCACTTTGGGAAGCTGAGGCAGGCGGATTACGAGGTCAGGAGATCAAGACCATCCTGTCTAATATGGTGAAACCCCGTCTCTACTACAAATACAAAAAATTAGCCGGGCGTGGTGGCAGGCACCTGTAGTTCCAGCTACTTGGGAGACCGAGGCAGGAGAATCACTTGAACCCAGGAGGCAGAGGTTGCAGTGAGCCGAGATCACACCACTGCACTCCAGCCTGGGCGACAGAGCGAGACTTCATCTCAAAATAATTAATTAATTAAAAAAAAGAAAGTTTGGATTCTTATATGACATTCTTCAGTTTCAAATAATTTAAAACCACTATGTGAGCCAAGTGAAACATAAGTGTGTGCTGGTCCAATGAGCAGGCTGCCAGTTGGTGACCTCTGTCTTAAAGAGTGGATTTGAATTCAAAATTGCCTCCCATTAACTGGCATCCCCCACTGGGTGGTGTTGCTGACCTTGCCTCTGTCTCTACCCTCCTCTCACTGAGCTTCCTCCTAAGTTGCTTGCATCTGATCCCTTGCACTTTTGTATGTGGAGACACAGAATGCAAAGGGCTGAAGCCCGGCTGGGACCTGCCTTCCTTGGTTATCTGTTCCTAACCAGATATACTGCAGGACCTCTCTGCACATGGAGAGAGTTATGTCAAGGAGGCCTGAGTGGAGACTTCCTGAAAATGATGCTGCTGAGGGAGGAGGCGCTGAAGATGGGTCTGGATTCATGGTTGAGGGAGCTATGGAGTTTAGCTTGGAGAAGACTCTGTGTGTGTGCATTATGTGTGTGCAGGTGTGTATATGCATGTGTGTGTGTGCCTGTGTATGTGGTGGTGGAGGCGGAAGAGTGGCAGAGGAAAGCAGGCAGATAGCTGAGAGTTACCTTCATATGTCTAAAAGGAGAAGAAGGCACCTTTCTTCCTACAACTCAAAACTAAGATTAAAAGTAGAAGAGAGAAGGTCAAGCTTGCTGGTTTTTGTTTTCTTTTTTTCCCATTGCACAAATTCTCAAAAGCTTAGTTGAGAGTGACAGATTTGCAACTCAGGCTGACCTAAGCAGTAAAGGGAGATTACTGGTTTATGTTACGACAGGGGAAGATGGACTTCAGGGATTGCTGGATACAGGTGCTCAATTATATTAGCATTTTCTCTCTCTCTCCCTCAGTCCCTTCATCTCTCTGCTCTATTTTCCTCTGGACCAGCTCCATTTTCAGGCAGGTTCTCCCCTTTTGGTGATAAGACAGCTGCAAGTATCTCTGGATACATATCATCACAACTTTTATTGCTTCCCTAATGGCTCAAGAAGTCTCAGGTAAATCTACCCATAAGTCAATCCTAGAGCTAGGGGGAATGGAATGTGCCGGTCAGGTGGGCTTAGAGCATGCACCCATCCCTGGAGCTAGTGGAGGTGGGCTTAGCTTCACCAAACTACATGAATTGAGAATAGGGAGGGATGGTTTGGAAAGGAAAACCAGAATGCCTTTGCCAGAGGAAGAAGAAGAAGGCATGGCCAATAGTATGGTAGAAACCACCAAAATCTACTAGATCCATCATGAAAAATCAAGTGACATTACAGAAACCCTGAAAGAGGAGAGACAAAAATATTCATCTCTAACCTTATCACTGGAACTCAACTATAGGTAATATTTTAAATTGAATTTTGCCCCCCAACACCTTTACACTTCTAATTTATTTTAAATTTATGTGTAAACATAGTAACACACATTTGCTATCTTGCTTGTTTTCCAACCCCGAGTCTTTTTTTCCCGAGTTGCTAGAGATTCCTCATTGACATCATTCTTTACTTATTTAGAGGCAAGGTCTTACTCTGTCACCCAGGCTAATGTGCAGTGGCACAATCACAACTCACTGCAGCCTCAAATTCCAAGTGACCCTCCTGCCTCAGTCTCCCAAATATCTGGGACTACGGGCGTGTGCCACCACACCCAGTTAATTTTTCTATTTTTTATATAGGTGGGGTCTAGTTATGTTGCCCAGGCTGGTCTCAAACTCCTAGCATCAAGAGATCCTCCCACCTTGGCCTCCTAAAGGGCTGGGATAACAGGCATGAGCCACCACACCCAGCTGGCTTTTCTATTTTTGAATGGTTCTCATATAAATGCCTACATAGTGTCCTTGATTTTGCCTCTTGACTTGAAAAGCTGGAAAATATTTATTATCTGGATCTTTACAGGAAAAGTTTTCAGATCCCTGGCTTGGAAAAACACCAGATAAGAGATTCGTCTCCTGAAATGGGCAATGTGTTTATGATCACTAGGGAGAAATAAATATTCCTCCTTTTTAGGGGAGAAACAATGAAATAACCATCATTCTTAATGAATGAAGGTGACAACCTCCCAGGCACTGGAGGGGTACTCCTGGGTCTGCACAGCCTCTTGTCAGGGAGGCTATGGAGGGAGGAATCCCGTCATGAGTGGGAGGCTGGAACCCAGGACTTCTGAGGATTTGGTGATGTGACTCCAAGTCTGTGACCTCCTTTCTCTGGTCACCATAGAGGGAGGGCTTGGGAGAATGGCTTTGGCCAAACGGGGCAGATGCTGCTCCAGTCCTCACCCTCTCCTGGAGTTTGACTCCAAGGCCTGGAGGGGGCCAGGTGTTTGCAGGGCTCAGTGGCCGGCCAGCACTTTGAGGAACTGCTACCTGCTGACAGCATCTCAGTTGAGAGGCCTCCCAGATCTCGTGCTCCACCACTTCACGAAACAGGAAACTCCGAGGCCTGTGGAAAGAGCTTGCTCTTTGGGAAAACTGAACACCCAGCTCAATGAGGAGCCACCATCAGGAACTTTGGAGATTTAGCCTAAACTCAGAGGTAGCTACTTTGATAGCTTGGTGATTTGAGGAATAATGTTACAAGCTTTGTGGATCAAACGTCTCACAATACCTTGCAATTTTTTTAGGAGAGGCAGATGGCTGCAATGAACCTCAAAAGGTCAACCAGTCCAGGAATGATAAGTCATCTCATGTGTTAATTCTGATTAGGTGCACGGTGTTAAGAGAGATTCTGAGGCTGCATTCTGGTTCAGGGGAAATTAGATTGACTAGTAATGTCTGCCATGGTCTTTCGATGCTAAAGTGATGGTGTGCATGTCAAGAACTTGGTATTCTTGGTATAGTTTAAACTGTGTTCCTTGCCCAGAGTCACTGCTCCTTTCTCTGCTCTATTATTTCTAGATTCTCCATCCACCCATCCCTTTAATGATGCAGTTTTGTGTACCTTTATGCACTAAGTGCCAGGACATAGTAAGGAATAAAACACATACCAGTTCTCAAACAGCTCAAGGGTCCCATCAAGGCTTTTGAGAATCTGCACATTAAAGCTTCACTCCCTGGGCTGGACAAGGTGGTTCATTCCTGTAAATCCAACACTTTGGGAGGCTAAGGTGGGAGGATCGCTTCAGCCCAAGAGTTCAAGACCAGCCTGGGCAAGATAGTGATATATTATCTCTACAAAAAATAAAACAATTAGCCAGGTGTGGTGGGGCACGCCTGTGGTCCCAGCTACTCAGGAGGTTGAGACAGCAAGATTGCTTGAGCCCAGGAGGTCAAGGCTGCAGTGAGCCATGATCACACATGCACTCCAGCCTGGGTGACAGAGCAAGACCTTATCTCATATATATACACCTCACACCCAGGAAGCCAGCAGGGAGGAGGAGAACTCAGCCCTCAGGCAATGGAGATGAGGTCTCCAGAAACTCAGCAACGTGGGGTGATAATTTAGTGAACTTACCAAAAACTTATTTGGAAAGCATGATGATGGCAGATATTTGTGAGCCCCGGAAGCACAGGAGGGTCCCTGCTTCGGTTAGACTGGAACTTCCTTTCTCTGAGGAGTGACAGGTGGGGCTGCCGTAGGGTGGAGGGCCTGATTTCTTCATCCTATTTCATCCAGTCATCCCCCATTTGGCAGTAGAGCTTACACTGTCTTTGGTATAGAGTAGGTTAGAGCCTTGACAGTTCCAGCAGCTTCCGCTTATGAGAACTAAAGAACTTTAAGGGAAGCACAACGTCAACCCTGTACATGCAGCGGTCCACCAGGCTAGCCTAGCTGGACCAACCGACTGCCCAGCCTTCTGCATCACATCACATCACATCAGCCCACTCACATCAGCTTAGAGATATACAGAACCTCTCCCAGCCTCAGTTCCCCTCTCTGTCACAGGGAGGCTGGGGAGGCCTCCCTCATAAGGCGAGTGAGAGGATGCAGGAAGACCTGGATTTATCCAAGAGCCAGGCCCTCCTGGCCCTCGCCCCCCTCCCCATTTTCTGCCGCCCTTGCCTGTGGTTTCCGTTTGGGGGGATTATCAGAGGAACCCAGTCTCAAAGTTAATTCTCTTAATGAATTGTAAATAACCAGGCCAGTATGGAAAATGCTAACGATCCCCTTTGAAATTCTAAGCATGTCTGGCTCCAGTTTACAGGCAATCCTCTGAAGAGGCTTGGGGTTGATGCTGTCACTGTCTTAGGAGGGGCGTGTGGAGCTCTAGCTGGCGTGGCCCAGTGGGGCCCAGCAATGCCAGACAAGGCCGGGGCTTTGAAGAGCTCTGCTCAGTGCCCTGCAGGGGTGCGTGTCCATGGCTGTAGGGCAAAGACGCTGGGGTCGTCTGCATGGCCAGCCCACCCTGACCTTCCCCCTAACCCCCTACTCTTTTAAAAATAATTTTAGCTTTTATTTTAGATTTAAGGGGTACATGTGCAGGCTTATTACATGAATATATTATGTGATGCTACGGTTTGGGTATAATTGAATCTGTCACCCAGGAAGTGAGTATAGTCCCCATCAGTTAGTTTTGCAGACTTTGCCCCTCTCATTCTCTCCCCCATCTACTAGTCCCCAGTGTCTACTGTTGCCATCTTTATGCCCATGAGTACCCAGTGTTTAGCTTTCACTTATGAGTGAGAACATGCAATATTTGGTTTTCTGTTCCCACATTAATTCACTTAGGATAATGGCCTCAAGCTGCATCCATGTTGCTGCAAAGGATATGATATTGTTCTTTATTATGGCTGCATAGTATTCCATGGTGTATATGTACCACATTTTCTTTATCTGATTGACCATTGATGGATACCCGTGTTGGTTCCACGTCTTCGCTGTTGTGAATAGCACTGCAATGAACATATGAGTGCATGTGTCTTTTTGACAGGACGATTTATTTTCCTTTGTGTATATACCCAGTAATGGGATTGCTGGGTCGAATGGTAGTTCCATGTTTTTTTTTTTTGCTCTTATTAAGAATATATCATAGTAAATTTTTGAGTTTCTTTTGTATCTTGATGTTGGTATGATAAAAGGACATAGCAATGTCAGTATTGATGAATGATAGTTCTGTTTTAAGGTCTTTGAGAAATCTCCAAACAGGTTTCCACAGTAGCTGAACTAATTTACATTCCCATCAACAGGGTATAAGAGTTCGCTTTTCACTGCAGCTTCACCAGCATCTGTTGTTTTTTGACTCTTTAAAGATAGGTAGGCCCCCACTCTTTTCCAGCTATGTCACCCCCCATTTTGTTGTCATCCCTCTCTTTCCCATCAGCCTGTGAAGCCAGAGATAGGGCTGACTTTGGTCTTGAGTTTGCCATTAATTGGCCTGTGAACTTAGGCAGGTCATTTTCTCTCTCTGGAGCTTCAGTTTCTTCATCTGTATAAGAAACTAGACCAAGGGTTGCAAACTTAAAAGCCTCAGAGCTGGGCAGGTAATGCAGATTGATGAGAGCAGGCTGTGGGCCAGCTGCCACTCAGTGAGAGCTGATGGCTACCACGTGAAAATGCCGACCCAACATCATCAGTTCTGATTTTTTAAAAGAGAAATTGTAATTTTTATGCAAAATCTCCTCATTGAAAAATACTGGCAACTAATGTTTAAGCATTTAAACACTACATAGGTCAAGCAGAACCTGGGTGTGCGCTGATTACTGTCTGCGGATCTCCAGTTTGAGACTCTGGCCTTGCAGCCCTGCCTGTCAAAGGTCTTCGGATTTATTTTTAGGGCTGAGGCCCTCACTCTGCCCTCACAACCCCAGGTACCCCCAGCTCTATTCCTCCTGCTTGGAGCACTGTACTAGTTGTGAGATTTTTTGGTGGTTTTTTTTGAGACAGGGTCTGGTTCTGTTGCCCAGGCTGGAGTGCAGTGGCACAATCTCTCCACTCACTGCAACCTCCACCTCCCAGGCTCAAGCAATTCTCCCACCTTGGCCTCTCGAGTAGCTGGGACTATAGGCTCATGCCACCACGCCCGGCTAATTGTTTTGTTTTTTTTTTTTGTATTTTTCATATAGACAGGTTTCGCCATGCTGCCCAGGCTGGTCTCTAACTCCGTAGCTCAAGGGATCTGCCTGTCTTGCCTCAGGCTCTCAAAGTGCTGGGATTACAGGTGTGAGCCACTGTGCCCGGCTGGTCTTAGATATTTGGTTTCTACTTTCGCATCCTCTTGAATTCAGGTGTAGTCATGTGACTTACTTTGACCATTAACGGGAACAGATGTAACATGTGCCACATAGAAACAGAAGCATGGAGAACTAGCAGAAGCGACCTCATGCTCTATTTCCCTCTGCCACAGGGCCTAGGATTGTTCCAGGTGCTGGCAACCCATCCACCGGGCTCCCAGAGGACAACAATGCAAAGCAGAGCCCATTTTGCCTTGCAAGGGACACATAGAGTGAATGAGAGTTCATGTATGTTTGTTATTGCAGCATAACTGATCCTATCCTGTTACCATTTTCCTCTTACCCATAGCTGTTGGGTTCATGGCTGGTCTTCTAGAGGCCAGAGAGACAGCTGGACAGTAGCAGCAGATGGCAATGGCAGCCCTCAATTTGATTTGCTTTTTTCTCTGCTGTGTCTCCAGTGTGTGGCCCAGGGCTTGGCACATAGCAGGTGCTCAATAAACATTTGTTAAATGAATAAATGTATTGGCATGTAGGAGGGTTTCAGCCATCTGGTTGGGTGGCCATGAAGGCCAAGGGAGGCTGCAATCAACTGTTGTGTATGGGTGGAGCTTGGCTGGGTCTCTGACAGTCTTTTCTTGGTTTTCAATATCTCCCAAAGTTCTGGAGGAAGTCAGGCCCTGCCTTCAGGGTTCATGCTCCTAAACCCTAGGCTATGGGCAGACTGGAAAGGTCCGTGCATGTGATTCTAGGGCAAGCTCTGTTCTTTGCATGCCATGAGGCCCAGGGCAAATCCCTTGTTCCTTCTCTTCTCTGCTTCCTCATCCCAACCTCCACTCATTTGAGTGCTGCCTTCACAACTACTGTCACAGTTGTGTGTCACCTTAATGAGAATTGACTTAATGCTTTTTATTTCTTTCCTTACATGCTTTATTTACATCCTAAGCAACATTTCTAATATGTATTAAAATAAATCTATAGCTGGGCAAAACTTAACATCATTCTTGAATCATTTGTCTCCTTTTCATTTTTTTTTTTGTTTAGGAACAGAGTCTTGCTCTGTTGCCCAGGCTGGAGTGTAGTGGTGTGATCACTGCTCACTGCAGCCTTGAACTCCTAGGCCCAAGCAATCCTTCCAACTCAGCCTCCTGAGCAGCTGGGATTACAGGCATGCACCACCATGCCCAGCTAGTTTTTAAATTTTTTGTAGAGACAGGGTCTTGCTATGTTGCTCAGGCTGATCTTGAACTACTGAGCTCAAAGGGTCCTCCTGCCTCACGCTGGGATTACAGGCGTGAGTCAAAGTGCTTGGCCCATTTTTCTGCCTCTTATGCCATATTAGATTTCAATGTTCTGTCAACACAGCCTCAAAAACATGTCCCTGCTCTCCGGCTGCTGTCATTCTCTGCCCTGCTGCTGGGCACCCTTAAGTTCCCTAACTCCAGCCACACTGGCCTGCCCTATGCCCCTGAATCTTGCCAAGCTCCTTCCTGCTGTGCCGTCTTTGCACAGCTCTTTTCTCTGCCAGTAATGCCCTTTCCCCAAGTCTTCTCCTGGCCGGATCCTTGGCATTATTTAGGTTTCGGTTTAAGTGCCACCTCCTCACAGAGGTCTGCCCTGATCTTGCCGTCTAAAGTAGCTTTAGAATACCCATCTCACCTCCTTATTTTATTTGTTCATTGCCTTTATCACTGCCAGCTATTTTCTTGCCCATTTATAGGTTAATTGTCTCTTTCCACTAGAACAGGATTTCTCAACCTCAGCTCTATTGACATTTGGAGCCAGATTATTCTTTGTTTTGGGGGATTGTCCTGTTTGGCAGCTTCCTCCAACACATTCTCTACCTCCAGAAGCCAGCAGCACCCCCTCCATGGTTGTGACAATCAAAAATGTCTCCTGCAGGGGTGTGGGCAAAATCATGCCTGGGTGTCAAGAATCACTGCTGTAGAATGTGAATGTCACCAAGACAATGATCTCCCTTGTTCAGCTCTGCACCCCCCACGCCCAGGACACTGTACAGTAAGTAATAGTGGAACTGAATAAATTGGTGAAAGAATCATTAAAATGGAGGGAAATAACTTGAGTAGCACCTGAAGTAATGTCGATGCCCTCAAGGGTCTGCAAGTCACGTTAGGGGAAATGCAGAGAGTGTCACCTCTAAGGTCACGTCCAGCTTAAAGAACAACTCTGAAATTCTCCCAGACCGAAGGTCTCCATGGAGGCCGGGGCAAGCCTGAGAGGGCTGGCTCTAAGCATCCTGATGGGCTGTCAGTTTTTAATGCAAAACTGAAAGAAAAGTTTGCAGCCACGACAGGGCACAATCTGAAGAAGATAAATCACAGTTACTTGCGGCCGGCTGACAGCAGTTTAAGCCGCTGCAATCATCGGGCTCCAAGGGAGAAGCTTCTTTTATCTTACTAAATGCAAAAAGTAGAGCTGAAATTGGCAATATCGTGGCCCTCTCAGCGGCTGGGCTTTTTACATAAATATCAGCAAGCAGTAAGTAAATTCTGTTGACGAAATGTAATAAAACAAAGACTGTTTCAAATATGATCATTCCCTGATGTATTCTGAAGCCTCGTCCCACTCACTTATTGCACGCTGCTGAGATTATAAGGTTTGCTTTTATCTGTCAGAAATCAATATTTCAAACATCGGATAAAAGAGGAAATTGAACTGGGAATAGGCTGAAGTGCTGTAAAAACTACAAAGCACAATTATCAAAAAGCACTTAAAGTGCTTAATAGGACACACATATAAAAATGCTCAAATTAATGTCAGGGAGCCATAATGAGAACTTTTCCTATGCTTTTTCATCTCCATGCAGAGTAATTTGAAGGCTGGCCAGTCCATCAATATGGTTTTCGATTTCTATGATGCCCCGAGGACCCTGATCTCTGCATTTGTTAGAAATGAGCCATTACATATGATTGGTTAATATTTCAGTTTATTGAAGATACATTATTTTGTATGGAGTGTTTAAGTTGTTGAGGTTTAACCATTACAAACAGTTATGACAAAAATAGATCCAGGGGTAAACAGCCTCCACAGTCATGCTTTTAATAAGCACAGCCATAACTAGGAAATTGGATTTCCAGGAGCTGGGAGACAGGAGGGGGGAAAGTTGCAGAGACATGGGAAGGAATGGGAAGGACCCTCAGTTCTTCTCTGCACCCATAACACTTATCAGAAAATTGATGAGGATATCTTTTTTTTAAACCAAATATTGTTTGGTTATTTTGTTGATTTCCTCTTAAAATAGAGGAACATTTCATCCCTTCTAGTAATCATAAACATATTTGCCCCTTTCTAGAGAGGAATCTTTTCTCTGGTGTCTTTCCAGGCCAGGGATCTGGAAACTTTTTCTGTAAAGAGCCAGATAGTAAATATTTTCATCTTTGTAGCTCAAGAGGCAAAATCAAGGATACTACGGAGGCGCTTACATGAGAACCATTAAAAAATGGAGAAGCCAGTCTTTGCTTGTGGGCTGTATCAAGATAGAGGGCGACCCCTATTTGTTTGAGGATCCCTTTGCTAGGCAGAAACGTGTGCTTACATAACTTTCATAATAGTTTGTGTCATTGTCGGGGCAGAGGCATAGGATAAAATAAATCTACAGCCACCTGGCCTGGCCTGTAAGACCCTGTGACCTGTTACCCGCCCTGCCCAACACCTTCCCTCCCCTCCACTCCCGCGCCCCTCACCACTGTGCTCCAGCCCCTGGGCCTTTGCTCTGCTGCTTGGTTTCTCTTCCCAAGACTTGCATTTTTAATTCCTTCTGCCTGGCATATTCTCTCCCCAACACCTTCTGGGGTGGCTGGTTCCTTCTGGAGCTTCAGATCTTGGTTCAAATGACCCTTGCTTGAGAGGCCTTCCTAGGCCACCTGGTTCTGCCCTCCAATGCACTCCAGCGTGCATTCCCATTCAGATTTTATTTATTTGTTCAGTTGTTTCTTACCTATCACCTCCCTCCTTCAAGAGCAGCCACCACATCTGATTTGTTCACCTCTGTATCCTCTGGACCAAGCACAAAATGTTTTTGAATATGGTTTCCAATGTCTATTTCAACTGTTTCAAGTTCAGAGTCTCCAGGCTCAATAACTATATGCTGAATAAGTGAATGAATGAATGACAATTTATTATCCCTCTTGGGTAGCTGGTCCCAGTTTGCTGACAAGAAAGACCATAGTCAAGAGACTTTCTCTCATTCCTAGATGCATGTCTCTCTAAGAAAGGTAATTTCTTGCATTTTGTTCATGGTGTTCCTTTTGCCTGGGGTCCAATTTTCCTCTCTTCCCTCCAACCCCAGCTCATCCATGCATATCCAAATCCTCCTCATTCCTTACCTGGATAAATGACCATTCCTCCAGGAAGCCCTCCTTGATCTTCCAGTCACGATAATGCTGGCCTGCTTGGGGCTCCTCATGTGTCCGTGTCTCACACACAGCCTATCATGTGGCTGGGCTCACCTGGGGGCAGGGTCCCCTCCATTCCTCTCCCTTACAGAGCCTTGCATGAAGGGGTTGGGTCAGGGTCGGGTCAGGACTAGCAGCTCGACAGCCAATGGGTGATGGCACCAAACTCCAGAGTCAAGACCTGCACTCAGTTTTGTCTCTAAATCACGCCACCAAGGATTCATACAGCAAAATTGGTCTTGGAGCTCAAGCCATGATCTATGTCGTGGTGTCAATAAATGTTCTCAGGCCTGCAGTCAGGTTTGAGATCTATACAAGGTTCTGCATGGAAAGGGGGTGGGAATGGCTAGGGAGAGTCAATCTGGAAGTTGTCTGGAAAAGAGGCATGAAGTTAGGGAATGTTCGTCTATGTGTTTGGTAACTGGCCTCTGACAGCTGAGCCTTTCTGTTTACACCTCTGCAAACATGCAGGTCTATGTCCTTAGATTTGAAGGTGTCCCTCTTAGCATGTAGACTGTGGAAGGAGGAGGCTCTATTGCTGCTGGAAGGAGGTGAGGGGGAAGGGTAAAGGTGAGCTCTCTTTGCTCAGTTGTGTACTTGAACATGGGATGCAGAGCCTGTGTCTGCCTGGAGCTCACATCTTCTCCAGAAGAAGTTTTCTCTGGCTTGGGGGAGAGAATGCCACTGTTCGGAAAGAAATTGCCTTTGGTGTGAGCAGAGAAAAGGGAACGATGTCAAATATGAACAGAGGTTTTCCTCAGGAGGCTGGTGCAATGTGAGCCTTACTTTCTCTTGGTGTTCTATCAGTCTACAACAGCTGGCAAGTCCTCGCATCATTTTTGTTTTCTTTAAAATGAGAAGGTGGAGGGTGAACCTGGTGCTCATAAGCCCTGCCTCGCCTGGTGCACATTTGCTGGCATGAGGTGGAACAGGGTGGGTATTCATGTAGCTACAATATCAGAGCTCTATAGATTGCGATTGGCAGAAACCAAAGTCAAACTAGCAGAAGCCCAGAGAGGCTGAATCCGAGAAGGGCTGGACAGTCAAGTGCATAAAAGGACGGAGATACATCTGGGCCTCAGGACAATGAGACCAGGGGTTCAAACTCTGTCCCCCATTAATTCAGCAATGCAACCAGCACCTGCTGGGTGCCTTCTATGTGCTGGGCACCTACCAGAATCTGAGTAGACAGGAGTGAAAAAAATCATTGTGGCCCTCGCCCTCATGGGCTGACAACCAGCTTCTCTGTGTGCATCGACATCTTCAATGCTCATTCCTTCCTGGCCAGCCTTCTGCACCCAGTGAAAACATGGCTGCAGACAATGGGGACAACTCACAACTGCATGATGCTATCTCATTCCAGGTCCAAACATCCGGGAGAAAAAAGGAAGCAGTGCCCATTGCGAGACCAATCCCTTAGGACCAGGGCTGAAGTCTCACTGTATGAACATGGAGGTTTCATTAGGTACTGTGGATAGAACCCCATTTTAGAGTTGGAGAAATCAAGTCTCCAAAATGTGATTAGTTTGCCAAAGATGACACAGTGTTAGCGTCAGGATTCAAACTCCAGTCAATCTGACCCCATACCCTATGCTGTCTCTATAACAATATAATCAAGGAGATTGGATGCTACAAGTCTGAAGACTTGGACAAGAGGGTTGGCTCCTCCATTAGGGGGTGCAGGGCCATGGTGGAGATGTGGAGGAGAGACAGGAGTGTGCTAAGTGAGGTAGCAGGGGCAGTGGCTGGGCATGTCTTTGTCCAGATGGGGAGGGGCCGGTTGCAACCTTAGGGTGGGTCAGAACACAGGTGAGAATGCTCCCGGGTGCCATGGGGGCCAGTGCTCGCCCTCTAGATGAGAGACTTTCTGCAGCGTCACACCTACCCAGAGAAAGAGCCTTGGCACTGCAGAGCTGGGTCCCATGCATTGTTCCAAAGTAGCTCTGCCCCACAGTAGAGTGAGGAGGGCTCGTCCTGCAGGGACCATAGAATTGCACTTTTCAAAGCTGCAAAGTGCCTCTCAAAGAGGAGATAATGGGAGAAAGGAGATGTCTGCACCCACAAAGGAGGAGCATTACTCTAAGTAGAGGATTTTGTAATTATATCCATTTGAAATAATCAAGCATTTCCACCTATTAAGGGAACCTAAAGGAGGTGCTGGAGAAAGTGATCCAGCCATTTCCCAGGGCTGCTCCTCATTGTTCACATGAAGAAAAGGAGCTGCAAATATAGATTGGTCTCTCGGTGAAAGGAGGCGGAAGTCAATGGAGCAGAGGAGGAGGGAGGGCTGGGTCACTGTGCCCTGGCAGCCACAGAGCCTGCAACAGGCCAGGCATTTGCTTGAAAGGGATGGTTGGGCACTGTGGTGGGGCCAGCAGGGTCCATGGGGGGATTTTAGAGCAGTGCTGTCCAAGAGAACTTTCTGGGATGCAGTACATGGTCTCTCATACTGTGCTGTGGACAGGGTGCCTGCTACCCACCAGAAGTTGTTGAGCACTTAAAATTTGGCTAGTGTGACTAAGGAGCCAAAATTTTAATTGTATTTAAATTTAATTCATTTAGTGAATTAAACTAGTGGCTCCCATAGTGGACAGTGAAGAGGCAGAGAGAGTTGCAGGTAGTAGGCTCTGGTTGCTTATCTCCTAAGATCAGTACCTGCAGGTGCAAGGCCTCAAGTGTCTACAGGGTCTGGACAGGTGATGTCAAGATGAATGAGGTTATTAGGTAAATAAACAAAAATCTCATTTCTCTTGTAACATGCCACCCTTTTGGCCCATCTTTGGTTTTCCCATGTTTGAGAGACATCAGATAAGCAATAGGCCTGGTTCTCTATCAAAAAGTGGGCTCAGGGCTACAGAAATCAGGGAGAAGTAGAGGCTCACACCACGAGGACTAACAGAACTTCTCTGTGGTCAAATCCAGAGCAAAAGGCTACCAGTTGCAACCTCTGATGCAACACCTCTTTCCATCTTAGAGAGGAGGAAGAGGAGGGTCAAAGTGGGTCAGAGACTTGGACAAAGTTGGTGGTAGACCCACCTAGGACTAAAGTTCAGATTTTTTTTCATTCTCAGCCAGGGTAAAATATTAATAGTGAACAATCATCATCATAGCACTAGACTATTGTTTTCCACTGTGGCCTCAAAAATGGGAAGATTGTTTACTGTGCTCATACTACCTGCCTGATCTTGTGCTAGGTGCCAGGAAATCAACCATGAATTAGAAGCATGAGAAGCTTGACAGGCATTCAGCATCCTGGATCCTCCTCCAGCAAAAACAAGATCAGGCATGAGATGGCAACTCACCTACCCTTCCAAGGACACTTTTCAAGTGTGTCTTTTGGAGTCATAGCAGTAGAATGAAGAAAAGAAAAAGAAAAGCAAACCCTGACCCAGGTGCTTTTAACCTGTGTGATTTTGGGCAACTCCTTTTATTTCTCTGAGCCTCAGTCTCCTCGTCTGGAAATTGGGATCATAGTCCTATTTCATGAGGGAAGATCGAATGGCAAAACATATGTGAGAGTGTCTAGCATAGCAGGTGCTTTATAAATGTTAGAGGAAAGGGAAGTTAGGACATGATTTAAATATATCCCATCAGTAGAGGCCAAGGTAAAATATTAATAGTGAACAATCATCATCACTATTAATATTTCTCTCTTTCTGGGGGATCCCCAGCCATAGCCCTCTTCATATGCTAGGAGATTCCACTCCATGTGACCCTTAGGGGACAGAGTCCGTCACCCACCAGAGTGGCTGACACTTTCCTGCCCCCCTTGCAGGAGGCAGAGGCATATAACCTGGTCCTGACCAATGACCTGCATCTGCCACAAATTTACCAGGACCCATGCCAAGAAGAAGCAGGAATGGACTGCTTCAGCAGCGCCCACAGTGTTGGGTGGCCAGAGCCTGGTTCCAGCTGTGGGATATGGTATTTTGTGGTGGCAGCAGGGACTACCCTACTGGACTGGGGAGACCTTCACTCTGGCTCCTTGCACACACTTCCTTCCCCAGCCCTCCCAAGAAGTCTGGGATGCTTTCAACATAGTCTTAAAAATTCTCTTTCTGCTTAAATCAGCTAGTCCATTTCTGTTGATTGCAACTGCGGTTCTAAGTGATACCCTTTCCTTTAAGGTTTAATCTGAGCAACCTTGTCCATCAAGTGCAGGAAACGAGTTCAAGGGCATTTGACTGTTTGCCACCCTGGCCCCTCTGTCATGAGGTTGCGTAGGTAAGTGGGCATTGCTAGAAGACACGGAGACATTCATTAGCGAACTGACCCCTTGTAAAACGAGTCCTCCTCGAACAAACAGCCCTCTCCTCTCATCTTGATACCCATTTGTTGTGTTAAAGAATCCTGGGCTCTGACACCAAGCCACTGGCCAATGATGGCCTGCTAGAGGAAGAAAACCATTGTCGGGAACAGCAATAGGAAAAGGGATTCAATATCCCATGTTCAATAATTGATCGCCAAGTCATTTAAATGTCATAGGTGAAGACTGGATTTTGGAAAACTGATGCAGCCTTTGAATAGTTTTGCCCAAATCGCCCACTATGTAACTGTGAAAATCTATCACGAGGGGAAGCATGATATATATAGTGGTGAAATAGTTTTGACTTAAAAAATAAACCCCAAATTGATAGTTTTCTTTATTCTAAGATTTAACACTACTGTATTACATTTATTGCCTATATTTTATTTCATAGAACATAAAATGAAATTTTTCTAAGTCTTAGTTTCAGTTTTCAAGATAAGACCCCACTTATTTATCTACTGACGATGAAGAAATGCTGGCTTCCATGTTAAATAGCTTTTAACAGGAACCTGTTGCCCTTGGACAACAAAGATATTTGGGAACAGCCTCTCTATGCCTAGCCCTAGCCAGCCCACATCCCAGGTGACCACAATGCCCTCCAAACTGTGATCTACTTGTCTTCTGGTACATCATCCCCCTAATGAGGCCCTTCCCAGCCTGGCTGGTGTCCCACGCAGACCTGGGCTGTAAAGACCAAAATGCTTGGCTCTCTGGCTGAGTTTGCCCCCGGCCCTTCATATTACCGCCTGACCCCTCCATCTCGAGCAGGAACTAGGCAGGGCAGCCGCAGCTGCTCAGCAGCCCCGGGCCACCCAGGAATTCTGGTCACCGCAGCTGCTCTAATTACTTTTTCCTCCTGCCTCCTGCTCGGGCCGTCTGCATGCTGATGGTGCAGGGCCGGGTCTCCACTGGATTGGAGTGGTATTTTTTTAGCGTCCCAACCAGTGTGTCCAGTTGACTGAGACATTTCGGGGAAGAAGCAGGTGCATTTACTTTTCAAGTATTATTTTACTAATCAATTGAAAAATTACCTTCATGAATGACAGAAGTGCAGACCTTTGGAGTATTTCATTAAAGGGAGCAAACATTAATTACGAATCCAGCCCAACCTTGCACAGACATAAATTATGGGCCTGATCTATTTTCTCTGTGCTTAATTGCAAGCAGTGACTAGTTCTTTAAATTATTATCTGCTAGGCCTCCAATGAAAAGAGAATTTATGGAGTGATATCCCGAGGCCTTGCTGGTGCCTACGCTGCTGCTCTGTGGGGATAGATGGAGAAGGAGAAGGCCACATCAGAGGAGCCGGGGTGGCATAGGTGCCCTAGGGAATGTGTCACATCCTTTCAAAGAATGGAGAAGGGAACAATTTCCACCACTGTATTTCTAAGTCTCTGATCTGGTGTCTCAGGAGTTGGCCTGGGTCCCACTGAAATGGGTGAATTAGAGACAGATGCCCCTCCCTCGGTTCACTTACAGCCATCTGCCAGAAAGCAGGCATAAAAACTGTACCAATCTAGGCTAACCATGCAGTAAGTGGTGCCCCCTGCAGTTGTGCAATGCAACTTGCAGAGCTGTACAGGGTGGCCCTTGGGGATGGCCATTAGTCCAAATTAAGCTCTCTCTGCCTTTCAGATGATATCTGTCTTGCTGTAACCCCCACCCTTGCTTCATTGACACAACTGGTGGGTAAATATCTTTGAGTGGGCAGAAGTTTAGGATTTATCCTGGAGGAACTGACCTCTACTTTAAAGGCATGACTCAAATCATGAAGACCTTTGAGTTTTACGGGAGCACCCACTTGTAGGCAGGGCCTGGTCATAGTGACTCCTGTCTTGGACGCTTTCTCTGGAAGTTAGTAGTCCCCATATTGGGCACCCCAGACAGCAACATGGAGGATCAGGATATTCCTAGGGGAGAAATTTGGCCAGAGTTGGAGATGAGATGGGGAGGGACAGCTGGCCTGGGCTCCTGGCTTTTGCTAGGGGAGTGGATGCTGGTCTCTAGTGAGCAACTCCTCTGTGAACCCGGAGCAGGTATACTTGCTGTCCTAAAAATAGTCCTGGTGAATGTGAGTCCATCGATTGGGAAGCACACTCGCAGCCCCTTCTCTCTGAATGGGATAGGGGCATGGTGAACAGTCTCAGCTGACTCCTTTACCACTGGCCTGAGGTTCCTGGACAACCTGGACTCACCAGAGAGGGCCCCAGGCCACAGAACTGCAGGGTGAGACCAGGGTAGGATGAGACACTGCCTCTCACTGTCTGAGCCTGGGCCATTTGCCATTGGGTTGAATGAAGAGTGGCCAATGGGAGAAACAGTGAGTGACCCTCTTCCATGTGGGTGTTCAGGCATCTACAGCACCAGGTATGTCAAAAAGCCCTTCCAAACCTGAATCCAATCATGGCTTAGCTCCGGCCCTCTCATCATCCTGGTGCCTTTAAGGGTTTGGCATCTCAGGCTATTTTTTAGCCCCTGGAGTGGATGTTTCCATGACGTTTTCCCTCAGTCATTTGGTTTATGGCATTTTCCCCAACAATGACAGATCTAAGGCCAACTGGACAGGGCCCAAAAGTAGCCAGAGTACTGCAACAAGATTACCAGGTGCCAGGGGTCTACAAAAAAACCCACGAAAGTTCTGGCACAGGTGTGTTTGACTGCCTGAAAAAAATAAACGGAAAACATGATAGAAAAATGATATTGTTCAAAATCATGAAGCAGATGATCTCTTAGTGGGATCCACATTTCCTTCTATCAGTCAGAGTCTTGGCTGAAACCAATGGCACACTCGGACTGGGCAACTAAGATAGTTTAATACAGGGGCTCTTTACAGAGGAATGGGCCCACCTGGGATGGAGCAGCACACGGGGCTCGGAACAGCATTGAACAATGACCTCCCCGAGACCTAACACAGTGAGGGAAGAGGACAATTGCTAGATGCTGGAGGCAGAGGGCTGTGTGAAGAGGGCAGCTGGCAGGAACCTTGGTGATCCCGGTGGGGGCAGGGATATGGTCATGTCCACGACAACTCTGGGGGACAGGTCTGCTAGTGCTGCCCATCAGTTGAGTCCAACTAGAAGCCAAAAGGCATGGGATCCCAGGTCTCCAGTTCATTTATCTGAAGGGGCCCAGAGCCGAGAGGGAAAGCGTGGAGAGAGGATTTGAGCAGCCAAAGAAGATGCCCAGCATATTTGCCCTTGACTCAGTTTGGAGGTACCACTGACATTCACATTGACATTGAGGTGTTGAGCTCCCCTGGCTCTTGACCCCACCTGCTGCCACACGGCCTCCTCAGTCCTATAAATCTCTCCCTCTCCAAGTATTTCAGAGAGTTCTCAGGGGAAGTCTTACGCATGCTCACAAACAAGTCTTTTCTAGTTGGGTATGACCACTGCTCTGGGCACCACTGACAATGCATTGGAGCCTTGCTGTGCAAAGCTTCATGGTGGTCTGCAAAGAAGTGAGGGAGAAGGCCTCTCCCACCCTGAGCTACACCTGCCAGAGGAGTCCCAAAGCAATGACAAGTTCTCCCACATCTTGAGTACAGTCTGGAGTGAAATATCCTTTGCAGTTTTTACCTTCAGCTCTCTTGCTGTCAGGACTCTGATGCTAGTGTGCAAAGCTTCCCCAGAAGACATATCAGGGACAAACTGCTCCCCTCATCATATTCAGAATCTTAATTCCTTCCTTAATACCCTATAACCAAGGTTTTCTTCCCTGATCGAGCTGGTCCTACTTGAATCTCTTTATCAGGATAGGCTGTCTCAGGACGCCATGGAACTTTTAGACCCACCACCCAGTCTTCAAATTCATCTGAATCCTGGTGTGGTTTCAAACAAGGAAGCTCACTATATAAGAAACTATCACATGTTACCTTGTCTTTTGTGTTACAAAATTTCATCATATCCCTGCTACATGAATTCACAAAAATAAATTTTTTCTTCAGGACTCAGTTTCTTCATTTGCTAAGTGGGGATAATAGTTTCTACCCTCTTGGGGTCATTGTGAGGATTACGTAAGATAATAAATGTCAAGTGCTTAGCACAATCTCTAGAACATATCTATTTTCTATTTTGCATAAAATTTGAAGCATATTAACAGTACACATTATCAGTCAGTTTCTTTCAGGAATAGAAACCCATCTCACGGTGACTGTAGCATACATTTATCAATCCTTTAGGCTGTCTTATGTTTGAACCCCCTTCTCATGTTTGGGGAATTCCCCACGTTTTGAAGCAAAGCCTGTCTTCCACTGTAGTAATGGGAAAATGCCCTCTGTTCACTTTCCCAGCCTCCATTGCAGCTAGAGTATGGTTGCATGACCTAAGCCTTCATCGGTAAAGATATACCTGCCCTAGGCTTTCCAAAAGACAAGGAGAAGCAGGCACTTTGTGGAATCCATTCCACAAAAGACAGTGACCATGGTGTTAGCTATATTCAACCCCAGCAGCAGCATCAGGGGTGCCAATGAGCAAGGTGAGATACAAGTGCTCAGTGTCACCTTCAATGGTGTCCCCCCAGTTCCAATTCGGTGGCATAAATCTGGCATTGTTCTGAGCGGTGTAGTCCCAGTCCTGGCTCTCCTGCCCTCGTGGAGTGTCTGTGAGCAATTACTACCCTTTTAATGCATTCCTTCTCAGTTTTGAGTTAGCCAGAGAAGATGTCTATTGTTTATGACTAAAAGCCCTGATTGAAACACTAGCTGAATTAAGGAAGATAATGGTAGCTGTTATTACAAAGAGGCTTAGGAATTTTGGTGGCTTAACATATAGGAAGTTTACTTTTCATTTACCTCAGTCTCAATGGCAGTGGACACAAACTTCCAATGTCATTTTCAGCATGTGGCTCCCAAGATCATCCTAGATGTTTTGACATTTAATCAGTGGATGGAAGAAAAGAGTGTGAAAGATTGCACAGAAGGTTTTGGTGGAAGCGCTATACTTCACTTCTGCCTCCAATTGCATTGGCCAGAACTCAGTCGCCTGGTACCACCTAGTTGTAAGGATGCTGAAAAATATTGTCCTTAACTGGGAAATTGCTTCCCAGTGAAAACTCCACAAATCTCTGCTGGCTGTCTCTGCCATTGGGTAAACCAGTTACAGGGAATTTATTGCTCCCTATGACTGAAAAGTGCAGAGGATTTAGTCTCAGGAATGGCTGCATCTACGAGTCCAAAAAACATATTCCATCAAGACTCAGTGTCTCCCCAGCTCTTATTTCCCTCCCCATCATTGTGTGGACTCATTAAGAGAGAGGCTCTCTAGCTCAGTAGCAAGATGCCTGCCAGCAGCTCCAGAATAACATCTTACCGGCATAACGAAACCAATGGAAATACAGTGTCTCTTTCCCCATAGTTTCAGCCAAAGTCCCAGGGCTGACTCTCATTGGATCATCTTGAGTCACATGTCCTTCCCTGAACCAATCACTATGACCAGGGAGATGAAACAAGCAGATTGGCAGGCATGTGCTTACCTGGCTTGGAAGCAAACAGATTCAACTGGTACCTAAATCTCATGTACTCAGAGTGGGAAGGAAGAGGGTGGCTCCCCAAAGAGAAATGTAGTTGCTTTTACCAGAACAGAAAATGGCAAAAGCAATCATTGTCTACCAAACGTACATAGACATTTGCTCTTGGCTGTGGCTCTCAGAGGAATATTCCTGGGACTTGGCGGGGCTCATCCTGGAGTTGAGCCTTAATTAATACATGGAAGATGTTTCCAACATTGGGATTTTTAACATAGAGAATAACAGCCTAGGCATGTCTAGGCACCCCAAACAAAACATTTCCTTTTTTTTTTTTTTTTTTTTGTTAATTTATTATCTGTGTCCTGGCTTTGGCTCTATCACTTTTCTCACATGTGACCTTGAATAACTTTTTCCCATTCTGTGAAGTTGGGGAAGATATGATGTGATAACATCTGAGCTCCCTCCAACTCTGACATTCCAGGGATCTATGGAAAGCAGTCTTTCTGCTGGTTTTTGTTTAAATCCAGCAAACCCAGCCTGTGTCTTATCTGCACAAACAGGAAAATTAAATGAACACTGGGTTGGTGGTGGGGATTCTTGCTAATCTTTGCTTTGTTTCTGTAGAATAATTCAATTTAGCAATTCAATTCTACAAATATTTATTGATTGACTATCAGAGTCAAGATAAGCCCAGCATTTGGATAATTATTTTTATGTTTAAAAAAAGCTGTTCTCTGTTAATTTCCAGTGTGAGCTGTACATGTGGGAAAGAGCCAGGGCAAGTGAGGAGATTCCATTCTACAGATAAAGATGCTGAGGCCATGTGCAATGTTAAATCCAGCTGGTACAACTTTTGTCTGCCTCTCCTGGGCATAGCTGTAATTTTACATTTATGCATGTGATAATTTGATTACTGCTGGTCTTTCCCACGAAGGCGTTTGCTCTAGAAGGGGAGGGATCTAGGCTGTTTCTGCACCTAACACAGTGCCTGGCACATAGCAGATACTCAACAAATGTTTGTTGAATAAATGCATGAATGAAAGAGAGAAGGAAGGAGGGATGGAGGGAGGAAGGAAGGAAAGAAGGAAAGAAGGGAAGAAAGGGAGGGAGGGAAGAAAAGAAAGACAGAAGAAGAGAGGAATGAAAGAAGGAAGGTAGGAAGAAGAAGGGAAGGAGAAAAAGAGGGAGGATGGAAGGAAAGGAGAAAGGAAGAAATCAAGAAACTATTAAAAGATCTGCTTGTAACTCTCTGTGGGATCTCGGCCAAACCCTTTTCCTCTGTGACTCAATTTCCTTCTCTGTCAAATGAATAGTGATTTCCCAGCAGGCTTTACATCAGGGTTGTGCCTGACACTGAATGGCAATACGATTGCCCTGGCTGTGCCCCAGATTTCCTAATTCAGAAACACGAAGGGTGGGATCCAGTTGTCTGCATTTTTAGCAAGCTCCCAGGTGATTCTGAAACCATCCCCACAGAGTTGACAAGAATTGCATGCCAGCTTCTAGACAGAAATAGAGTTAGAATTAAGCATTTATCAGGCTGTACTTTGGCCCACTTCCTTGTTGCTAAAAGTCATGTAGCACTAGATCTTGACCATTGCAACCCCATTGTTGCTATAGATAGGGTTTGTGACACTGGGATCCTAAGACTGTTTGAGAATTGATTTGCATCCTCATTGTTCCTACAGGCAAGATCTCTGACATTAGAATCATAAGACTTTTGCTTAAAGATTGCTTAAGATGTTTTTGGACCCCGAATTCCAGCAACCAGTTTGGAGACCCTTCCAGAGGAACGGGATCAGCATGAGAACACGGCCTCATCCTCTCCCAGTCCCATGACTTCACCTGCACTTTTCAACCAACCGGCCCACTACAAAATCCTTAAAACCCCAACTCCAAACTCCTCCAGAGATGGATCTGAGGTTTCCTCTCATCTCACTCGGTGACCCTATGACTAAATCTCTTTCTCTGCTGCAACCCGGTGTTTCAGTATATTGATTTGCTGTGTACATCACGCAACAAAGCTGTTCCGGTTACAGTTCTACTGCAGCTTGCTAGTCCCCAGACATTTGTAACTAGTAGGCAAGAAAGCCTCTCAAAACCTGTCCAGTTCTGACATCCGGGGATTTCCAAGTGATGCCCACACCAAGTCCACATGAGCTCCTCCCCCTCCCCCACTCCCCACCTGCCAGGCTGGCCTCTTTGTTCTACTGAGATGATACCAGATAGACTTGCCCTGGCAGCTCCCATTGCCTCATCCCCCTCCAGAAAGCACCAGGTAATTTGTGTCAGATTTTATTCTCATCTCTTTATCTTTCCCTTCCATCTCTGGGTTTTTTTGGGGGCAAACTCCTGAATCTCACCTTTAGATCACAGTAGTCCCATGCTGTGCAAATTACATGGGGACTTGCTCACACCAGTTGGGGCCCACCACCTTCTCAAGGAGCTGCACACTTTAATCAAGGTGCAAGGTACAGCTCAGCCATTTCCGTAGCTGGAGAGAGACAATGGGTCCAGCGACTGGCGGGCTGCAAATGCCAGGAAAGGGAGAAGGCACTCTGGCACCACAACAAGCACAAATGGCAGTATTTGCCAAGCCCAGAGTCTTCCCCTTTGGACAGACAAGCAGCCCTGGGAGGGATCATAGCTCAATCATGTAGCGACAGCTACCCTTTCAGAGTGCAGAAGCTTCTGCCACACTGTTTTGATGGTGGTGTGGGGAGTGGGAAGAACCCTGCAGGGAGCATAGGCTGTACTCGGAGCCTCAGTTTGCAATCACACCCCATGATCTGCCCACATCATGGACACATATGAAAGCAAAAGAGAAAAAGATGGAAATGTGATCAAACCGTCCACATGGTGCTCATGCTAACTTATCTCACCTCCCCAGTCAAGTTGTACCCCCACTGACCACAGCCCAGTAGTGCGAACAGATGGCTATTTGCACAGTTACTTGGGCACTTGTTATTTCTATCCCAGTGAAGTGCACTTCCCAAGGACAGGTGGTCCTCACGTTGTTCATCTATGTTCTCCCTGAATATATCAGGCAGTGAGGAAAAAGTGACTGAGGACAAGGCTGAAAGTCAATGGTCCTGCCGGCTGACTTTCTTCCGGGGTGACTGACTATGGTTCCAAAGTCCCGCATCTCACTCTCAGCACCCATGAAGCGGACACCCTGTATTCAAGGAAAATTGACTTTGGATTGAGTTCATACAAAACCAGAGAGTGGGGAGCAATGTTTCTCAGAACTCAAGTGAAAAAAACATAATGTAGTTAATATTAAATAAGGAGATTGGGCAACCCTGTCCCCCCGTTTCTTTTTCATGGTTTGTGCTGATGTGTCC